>NC_000002.12:113550224-113853254 GCF_000001405.40 Homo sapiens
TGACTCTCTTAGTTATGAATAAGAGGATATCTAGAATATATATGTGACTTGTTAAAATGAAAATCCACCTTCTCTGAGTCTTCAAATATCTTTCATATCTTACATTTTTAGTAACATCAACTTTTGAAGTCATGTCCGTAGTTGCATGAAAAGAAAAATTTCAGGAACATTCAACCTCAAAAGTTCTTTTTCTTAGTCTGAAGTCGTAGAAGCATTTGACTTTTACTTTCTCTTTTTAAGTTTGTACTAGTAGGTATTTTATATAAATATAATATTTAATTATTGCCTTTGTATTCTTTTTCTCTAGTAAACATCCTGGTTTTTAGCTATCAATATGTAGTTTTACATTTAGGGATTTCTAACGGAAAGAGAAAGGAATCTGAAATCAGAGGACAAGAGTTTATTCTACTTGACCAAACACATACAAAATACTGGAAGGAGAGTTTTACAACAAATATTTAATGTCTATGACATGTAAAAAGGTTTTCCAAATCAAGAAAATTCAAACAATTCAATACAAATATCATCAATAATAACACATGAACAGGTGGCCAACCTTATTAATAACCAGAGAAATACAAATTAAAACAATCCATCAACTTGTAAAAAAGATGAAATTACCCAGAGTTGGTGTAGGTGATGGAAAATTGTCATGTTTGTATACTGTTCATAGAAGTTAAATTGACATAACTTTTTGGTCAGGCAATTTGGAAGTATATATCTAAATTAATAGAGTAGTTTTCTAATAACCTGGGAATCTCTTAATCTAAGAATCTTTACTGTAGATTTTTCTAGAACAAATGTACAAACATCTATGTACAAGGGTACTCACTGCAGCATTTTGCTAAGGAAAAACTCAGAAAAAATCTATATGTTCAACAGAGAACAGGTACATAATTTATGACACAACCGCACAATATACACCACTAAATAAAGGATATAAATTTATATGTAGTATGAAAAAGATGTGAATGATAGCTTATTGGTGAAAAACAGCAATGACTGGAATATTGTGTGTAACGTAATCCTGCTTTTCTGTATATAATGTAGGCATAGAAAATAGGATTGAAAGGACATACTGTAGTCAACAGTGGATATAGCTTTGGTGGAGGGGGTGTATAATGGGGAAGGAGAGTCCCTTTTCCTATCTATTCCATATACATCTCTGGATTTAAAAGATCATACATGCATATGCATTACCTTCAAAATTAAAATGATAAAGACAAAAGGAGAAGGTTTGGATTTGAATCATGATACTACTGTTTGCAACTTATATGACCGTGGGGAAGTCGCCTAGCCTCCTGGGGTTTATTTCCTCATTTATAAAAATAGGGAAAATAATAATATTTGTCTACACATCTTCTAGGGTTGTTGGGAGGATTGAATGTGATCATGGGTTACAGCATTATGAATTATTTATTCATATAACACAATTATTATAAAAATATTTTGCTCTGATTAAAATAAAAGAAGGACGAGATCGTGTGTGTTTTTGTCCCAGTAGCTTTACTAACCAGAAAGCGCCTCCTGATGTGGTGATCACAGTTGCTTTGGTGCAGCTTCCTCTTGACTTTTGGCATTTCTCCATGCTGCTAGCTAAGGCTGAGGTGGCGACTGTTGAAGGTGTGAG
This sequence comes from Homo sapiens, assembly GCF_000001405.40. Taxonomy (NCBI): domain Eukaryota; kingdom Metazoa; phylum Chordata; class Mammalia; order Primates; family Hominidae; genus Homo; species Homo sapiens. Next base: position 113,551,855 of record NC_000002.12, read on the forward strand.
CTCCTCCCCCTCCCGGCACACATTTGTGTGAGTACTCACACTCATGCACACACAAACACACACATGCACACTCTATCACAGTACATGAGGTGGCAGCAGCTGCTCCGGCATAGACTTTCACACAACATAAAGGGCTTTTTTGGTGTGGTCTGTGCATTATTTCCTGTTAAGCATGAGCTGAGTCAGTGCCCTGCTTTTCCATCTGAAACCTTTCTGAGGCTCAGGCTGTGTTAAGAGCAAACCCTCTCCCCTCCATGCCCACCCCATGGCCCTTTACTGAAGCCAGATCTTAATCTGCTCATTGCATGAGGATTTTCAAACCGAATGGACTGGGCCATGTGAGAGATCACTGAAAGGAACAGACCAAGCAGAGGCTAAGAGACTCCACGCTAATCTGCTGAGTCGTCTGAAAATGCACAGCTGTGGGAGCTCACGGTGCTTTAAAGTACTTCGGCAGGATGTTTGTTCAGGGGGCCTGTTCCTGCAGCCCTGCTGAATGTTTGGTTAGGAGGCATAATCTTTTTTTGGACAGGATCTCCCAAATGTAAAGTGATAGATGCTAATGTGGAATATAATACGGAAGATCCAGCTTGGATGTCATAAATAACAATAAATTGTTTAATCTTGCTGAGCTGTAAATCTATGATTGCCAGAGGTCTTTAGTTCACTGGAACATAGTATGGGGGCAGGGGCACTTAGCAAATAGGCAGTTATTATTTTCCAACCAGACAGAAACTGGTCTGATGGAATTTATCTAAAAAGGCATACACATGTATTTTAATTAATTGTGACAATTACTCAGAGAAAACACATGGCCCTAAAGAGGCTGAGGGGTTTTTTTGTTCTACCTATAAATGTATATGTATATTCACCTATATTCTACCTATGTATAAGTAAGAGAATGAGTTTTTGTTTTGGGGATATATATTTATACGTATCTATACAGATACGTATAATTTCTGTCTTAATTTCTGTCTACCTATTAAGGTGCGGTGCCAGATGGAAAGTATTTTTAAGCATTTAGATAGCTTATTCTATAGCATATGTGTGCATATAGCCCCCCCATAAAGCTTTGTCTCTTTTCTGGATATATTTAACAAGAGGCTAGAACAGAGTCCAAAATGTCAGAAATGTTTGAACATTCCATAGAAATGAAGGAGGTGTTTCCAAATGACCTATGTTTCTATGGCAATAAATAGAACTTGTGCTGCGTTGGATGGGTCAGGAGTAAGGAATATAAACAGTGTAAGTATGACTATTCCAGGCAGAAATCTACCTTGTAAGAACAGCTTTGTGCAGTGAGCTCAACAACATTGATCAGTTAGCAGTCCGGTTCAGTACAACATTGATCAGGTAGCAAGCCGGTTCGGCAGTGCCAGTCGGAGACACAGATGGGGACAATCAAAGAAGATGCAGGTCAGGACAAGGATGCAGACATGTACCTGTCACTACCATGGACTTCAGCAGCTTCTTAGCAGGTTTATGATTAAAGAAGAAAGACATCGTTGATATGTAAGCATGTTACAATTAATTTGCTGTTTAGTTATTAGCAAACTACATCCAGTTTTTAGTTTTTAGGGTTTTTTTTCTTTTTTTCTTTTTTGAAACAGGTTCTTGTTCTGTCATCCAGGCTGGAGTGCAGTCGTTATCCAAGCTCACTGCAGCCTTAAACTCCTGGGCTCAGTGGATCCTCCCACCTCAGCCTCCCAAGAAGCTGGGACTACAGGTGCACGCCACCATGGCCAGCTAATTTTTCCTATTTTTTTGTAGAGATGAGGTCTTGCTGTATTGCCCAGGCTGCTCTTGAGCTTCTGGCTTCAAGCCATCCTCCTGTCTTGGTTTCCCAAAATGCTGGGACTATAGGTGTGACTCACCATGCCTGGCCTACATCCAGTTTAATTTATACTACAGTGTGGGTTTAGTCCTCAAACATGTTTTTGTTTTACATATAAAAATTTGAGATAAAAGAACATTTTTACATTGGTCAATAATGGTACATTTAAACAATGGACGACTATATCCATTAAAATCGTGTTGTGGAAGAATATTCAGTGACATGGAAAGATTGACTCAAGGGTGAGGGAAACGTGTCAAGAGTCTGTTAGGTACTAGACACTGTAAACTGGGTCTTGGCTGTGTTACTTGCTTACATCCTCCATCATGTGATCTTTTAGATAACAAAATCGAGATACATAGGGATAATGGGTGGGCCGATTGAAGAACAGAACTTGGGCCACACTTCCAGATGCCTGTGACTTTTCTGCATCTATTCAGATGTTAGGAATTGATTATGAAATCCATGGTGGTTTGATGCTCATGAACTCTCGTCTGTCTCTCCAGCATGTGTGTAAAGAATCCGTCTCTCCGGCATGTGTGTAAAGAATCCGTCTCTCCGGCATGTGTGTAAAGAATCCGTCTCTCCGGCATGTGTGTAAAGAATCCGTCTCTCCGGCATGTGTGTAAAGAGTCCGTCTCTCCGGCATGTGTGTAAAGAGTCCGTCTCTCCGGCATGTGTGTAAAGAGTCCGTCTCTCCGGCATGTGTGTAAAGAGTCCGTCTCTCCGGCATGTGTGTAAAGAGTCCGTCTCTCCGGCATGTGTGTAAAGAGTCCGTCTCTCCGGCATGTGTGTAAAGAGTCCGTCTCTCCGGCATGTGTGTAAAGAGTCCGTCTCTCCGGCATGTGTGTAAAGAATCCGTCTCTCCGGCATGTGTGTAAAGAATCCGTCTCTCCGGCATGTGTGTAAAGAATCCGTCTCTCCGGCATGTGTGTAAAGAATCTGTCTCTCCAGCATGTGTGTAAAGACTTCCAGAGGCACAGGACGTTGAGGATGAGCTCTCTTACTTCCATCTGGTCTCCATGTAACAAATCATATAACTGCACAATTATCCAAATGCAAATGAAGGAGTCCCTTGATGTTTGGATAACCACATTCATGCCTTGAGTTTGTTATTTTCTTGAAATTGCCCTTATCCGTCTCCTGTTTACCCATGGACAACACTACTTAAGGGCTGGCAATCTGCAACCCATGGCAGCTTGGCTTTGGGGTTCCTTCCAGTGTTTTGTTTTTGTTTTTAACCGAGAAGACAGGAAACAGGCATCTTTGTGTATATGGCTTGCCACAGCCCTTCGTAGATGGACATGGTGGAGGCTGTGTGGTCCCGGAGAACACTTCCTCTGTGAAGCATCAGGGAAGTTTCTGTTCATTGTGTCTTCACTCTCTCCAATTCACTTGGGGAGTGACAGGGATTATAACACAGTGAGCAGAGGATATTGGGGAATGTCATGCTTAATTTTCTTTTCTTTTTTTTTCTTAAATGACATTTAAAGCTAGAAGATAATCACAAAGGGTAAGTCTGATTTAAGACATTTCACACATGAAAGAAATCCTGCTTTCAATGCGTGTTATGTCACAGGAAAAACTCATTTAGAGTCAACATTCTGCACCTACTCCGAAATTTTAGCCTGAGGGTTTAAATATTACCTCGCTGCTCTCTAGGACTTTAATTTGAGCTAATTAGAAATGGAACGTACACTAAAACTAATTTAGGAAAGAAGCTGTTGATGTTCTGAAGAAAAACAGCTGTCAGAAATAAGATCATTAAAAAACCATAGTTGTATATGGTACAAAATGTAAAGGAATAGAAATGCTGGGAGAAAGCTTTTGTAGAATAACATTTTATCTTTCTTTGGACACTGGTCTAAGGCATGTGAAAGGGCATATTGATTCCCTTGGCACCTGGTATGCTCATTTATGGATGAAAAAGCCCAATGACATACTTTAGGTGAGGTTTAAGGCTTGATGGGAGGCATTGGTGCCATTAGAAGGACGGACACAAAGAGTTCTTAAGTAACGGCATCATGGGAAATGATAATTGCACACTCCTTTCTACTATGTCTTGGTTTCCCCAAGCATTTAGAAGTCACGGCTGGGTAGGAACAAATTTATCACGAGTCTGTCTGTGTGTTTGGGAATGCATATGCCTCACAGATGTGTCTGCAGGGGTCTGTGTGATAATGTTCATATATGTGATAGATGTGGACCCTGGGATCTGTATCTGTGTGGACCCTGGGATCTGTACATGTGTGTGAGTGACAGTGGACTAGGGTCCACTTTGCCCCCTTTTCTGCGTGGGAGTTGAAGGAAATGCCCCTTAATGGCAGTAGCATCCACTTGGGTATGTGCACCTTCTGGAGGACTGGGTGAGGTTGCCCTTCTTCCAGCCAAAGCCAGACCCTATGGTGTGGGACGTTCAGCGGGGAGCAACAGAATGCCATGGCTTGGTCCTCCCTGGGCTGTGGTCTGGATTTCACTCAGGAATGAAAGTCAGATATTGCCTGCTTCAATGCTGTAAACATAACTAAGGATAATTATGTAAGTAGACCATCTTTTCCTTGCAAGGTAGCGGTCTGCTGCATTGACAGAGGGTAGTATTTCTAGGACTTTTTCAGAGAGTAAAATGGTACTTTAAGGGATAATCTGCTATCTAAAGATGAATTTTAAATGTTGGAGGGGGTTGTGGGATTCGGGGAAGACAATAGAATAATTTGTGTCATGGTTAATTTAACAAAGAGTTTTTGTTTATAGAATCTGATCTTCGGTGGATTTTAACAACCCTCTTCTTCCTTGGCTTTTCAGATAAAGACGCAGAGCCTCAGAGAAGTTAAACGATTGATCCTATGTCAGGGGGTAGAGTCAAGACTCATACCTATGCCTTTTAACTTCAAGGTGAGTGCTTTTTCTTTATACAAAAGGGCTTCCAAAAGTTATATTTCTTTTTATCAATGACTAGATCTTGAAAGCCATACCTTTTCTGATGGCATTTATCCTGGGCTAATTGGTAGAGAGAGGGTGAACAGAAGAGAAGACATAGACACGCAGAGAAGAAAGTGACGTGAAAACAGAGGCAGAGATTGGAGTGAAGTGAACACAAGCTCGGAAATATGTGGAGGCAACAGAAACTGGAAGAGGCAAGGGAGGATCCTCCCCTAGAGCCTTTTGGTGAGGCAGACCCCCACTGACACCTTGATTTTGAACCTCTGGCCTCCAGAACTGTAAGGGAATAAATTTTAATTGCTTTTAGCCACCAAGTTTATGGCAATTTGTTATAGCAGCCTTGTGAAGCTCATACAAACTTTGTATTAGATTACAAACTTTGTATTCATTTCCTAGGACTCCCATAACAAATTACCACATATTTGGTGGTTTAAAATCACAGAAACTTATTCTCTCACAGTTCTGGAGGCCAGAAGTCAAAATCAAGGTATCAGCGTGGCCACACTCTGTAGATGCTCTAGGGAGAATCTGCTCCCTGCCTCTTCCAGCTTCTGGCAGCAGAATACATTCCTTGGCTTCCCGGGTGTGGCTGCATCTCTCCAATCTTTGCATCTGTCTTCATATCTCCTCTTCTTTGTGTCTATTCTAGTAAGTACAAAGTGCTGCATCTTCCGTGATGGAAGTGGCCCAAATTAACCAATCTACCACCAGGTAGCTGGCTGATCATTTGGGGAATGGTACCATAAGGAGACTCAGTGTTGGTCCCTGCTGCTGGTAGAGTAGGCACTCTGCAGTGGCCATAGCCAGGTCAGCCTTGGTGAGCGAATGTCCATGTTGTTGAGCCCGTGCATAGCCTTCATCCCTGCCATCACGGCCATGGTATTACAGCACTCTTGCATTGCTATAAAGAAATACCTGAGGCTGGGTAATTTACAAAGAAAAGAAGTTTCCTTAGCTCATGGTTCTGAAGGCTGTACAAGCCTGGTGCCGGCATCTCCTTGGCTTCTGGTGAGGCCTCAGGAGCTTCTACACATGGCGGATGACAAAGTGGGAGCAGGCATATCACACAGCAAGAGTGGGAGCAAGAGAACAAAAGAGAAGGTGCCACATACTTTTAAACAAGCAGATCTCATGTGAACTCAGAGCGAGAACACACTTATCATCGAGGACGTGGTGCTAACCCATTCATGAGGGACTCGCCCCCATGACCCAAACACCTCTCACTGGGCCCCACCGCTAACACTGAGGGTTACATTTCAATAGGAGATTTGGAGGAGACAAACATCTAAACCGTAACAGCCACTTGGCTCATGAGCCCATTGGACAATGACAGGAATGGCTGGGGGAAAGCCACTCATTGACATCCACAGAACTGGTCATCCTGTTATTAAAATCCTCCTCTGCCTAGGTCACCATTTGGTGAGTGTCCATAAGGGACACAAATATCTTCACAATTTTCCATGTCTTACCTCAGAAGCCCCATCACCCTCTCTTTCACATCTCCTCCAGTACTTATCCCCCAGATGATAGGACCATGTCCAGCAATACCTCTTCTCTCTGGTGTTGATGGGTTAATGAGCAGATCTCACATAGGTAAAATTTCCAGATATCTAGAATTTAATCTTCTGTTAATTCTCCAATTATAACTAAAGTATTTCAGGTTGAAACTTTATTCAAGTGTAATTACTCACTTTAACCTTCTTAAACAGAATGTATATTACCTTTCCAAAAATAACTGAAATTTAATAAGATTAAATTTCAAAAGAAATAATCATTTACATGTTTATTTCTGCATTTTTCTAAGTCCTTGCCCCAAAGTGGACATAATTTTATACTGTGATAGCATAAAATAATTTTGCATTTGACATTTTTGATTTGGCATTAAACTATTGTTTATGTTTCTTTCGCTACTGCTTAAGAAAATGTGGGTGGTTGTAATAAATAAACCTGAAATGTAGGCAATTTTTATTGCCTTAAAAACAATAGAATGTTATTTCTCACTCACACAATAGTCCAATGAGGATGTCCCTGGTGGGCAAAGACTCTTGTCTACCAAATGGGATGGGGACTCAGTTTCCTTCCCTCTTGTGACTCTGGCATTGCCTAGAGCCACATGATTACCTGTACTGAATCTGTAGAAAGAGAAATAAGCAGTGTAGAGATGATATGTCTGTTTTCTGATATCCTCAGCCTAGAAGAAACACACATTACTTCTGTTCTTATTCTCATACTAGTTTATCACCCATTGTCCAAATGCACCATGTGGCCACACCTAGATGCAAGGGTGGGTTGGAAAATGTAGCACCTGGCTGGGCAGTTGTTCCTCAGCATTGACTCTTTGCTATGGAAGGGCTTCCTAAGTTTTTGTGGACTGCTATCCCAGTCTCTCACCACTATACAATCTTCATAATTTTCCCTTTAAATGGCTGAGAGAAAATTTTGAACAAAAGCTACAAACATTTTTCAGATTCTTGATTCTCCAGACTTATTACTTGAGGGCAGTGACTAAATTATATTCAGTTCTATATCAGAAGGTTCTTCCATATTGCCGGTTTCATGGTAGATACTCAATAAAATGAGTTGAATGACTACATAAATTTTAGCAAGAGCATATGAAAAATAATTTATCATGACTTTGGGTAATACTATAGGTGTAATTATTGTCCTTTCTCTTTCCTGACTTGATTAATAGCACCACTATCCATTAAGTTATTAAAGGTAGAAAGCTGAGATTATTCTTGACTCCTTTTCTCACTGGTCCCGTATTAGTTATTTATTGCAGTGTAAGAAATTACCATGAAACTTAGTGGCTTAGTTGGGGCTTGATGGGGGCTGGAGGATCCACTGCAAGATGGCTCAGTCACTTGGCTGGCAAGGTGGTGCTGGCTGTTAGCCTCCCATCTGACCCTCCTCTTTCCGCTCCTGCCACTCTTCAAGGTATTTTTTCCAGAGCAGCCATTCATCATTCATTTATTTTTTCCCATTAATTAATTCAACAGATATTTATTGTATACTTACCGTATGCCAGATTTGTTTTAGGTTCTTGGAATATAGCAGTGAAAAAAAAAACAGTCCTTGGATCTTATATACAGTGGGGAAATAAACATATAATGTAGAAAATTAGATGGTAATATGTGTGAGCACATATATTTATTATTTCTCATCATTTCTGAGACAGGAGATGGGTATTCTGGCTTGGGGACTCACATGAGGTCACAGTTACATGTTGGTGTTGGTTTGGTCATATGAAGGCTTGGTGGGGGCTGGAGGATCCACTGTGAGATGGCTCAATCCCTTGGCTGGAAAGTTGGTGCTGGCTGTTGTTGGCAGGCCTTGCTTCCTCTTCACAGGGCTTCTTGAGTGTCTTCATGACATGGCGGCTGGCCTCTCCCAAAATAAGCTGTCCAAGAGAGCAGGGCAGAAGTGTCCATGCCATTTATGGCCTCACCATGGAAGTCACACACAATCACTTCTGCAATATATACTGATTACCCAGATCTGCATCGTTCAGTGTGGGAGGGGACCACAAAAAGGCACAAATGCCAAAAGACAAGGACCATTGGGGCCATTTTGGAGGCTATTTACCACAGCCCCTCTCTTCCATATTCCAGCCCACCTGCATATTCTGTTCATCCTCCTTCCAAAAATGTATCTCAAACCAAATGACTAATTTTCATTTCTGTTGGCTCTAGCCTAGTCCAAGACTCTATCAACACTTGACTTGAAGAGTCTCCCGTCTGATATTCCTCTTTCTGCTCTTGCCCCCCTTCAAGGTATTTCTCCCAGAGAAGCCATTCATCATGCATTCATTATTCTCCATTCATTAATTCAACAAATATTTATTGTACGCTTACCACATGCCAGATTTATTTTAGGTTCTTGGGATATAGCAGTGAAAAGTCCTTGGGCTTTACATACAGTGGGAAAATAAATAATATGGAAAATGTTAAAGGCAACATATGTGATCCAGAAAATTATAGCAGGGTGAAGGAAATAGGAAACAATAGAAAAGTTAGGGACTTCTGGCTATAGTATTATATAGGGCTGTCAAGGGTGCTATCTCTGATTAGCTTACATTGAAACAGAAACCCAAAAGACAGTAGAGGGCAGGTATGTTAATATCTGGGCAAGTATTCTAAGCAGAGGAAAAAGAAAATGCGAGGGCCCTGAGGCAGGATCATGTTTGGTATGTTTGAGGAATAGCTGTTCTGTTCCGTTGTGGCTGGAACAGAAGAAGGAGGGCAGGAGGGTGATGGAGAATGGTACATGATGGAGGTCAGATTATGTAGGGCCTTGTAGACTACAATGAAGACTTTGGCTTTGTTTTGGGTTGGTGGGGGACAAGGAAAGCTATTGGAATGTTTTAGTGACTTGATGTGACTTAATTTTTAATAGGAACATTTGGGCTGCTCAGCCCATGATGTTTAAAAATGCCATCAGGTCACTTCCACTGTTTAAAACCTTTCAATGGATTCTGGTTGTACTTAGAATAAAATCTAAGCTCCCTTAGCTATTATTATTATATTATTATTAAAATTGACATCCTTTATTCTCTATTACAGCAGTCTAATTCCTTCCTAATATGTACCTCACTAGTAACTATTATTATTATTGCTTATTTGTTTATAATCTGTCTCCTCTACTTGAAAATATGTAGCCTGTGGATCTTGTGGATTTCCATACTAAATCATCCCAAGGCCACTTTGCTTTTGAGCTCTGTGTGTGTGTGTGTGTGTGTGTGTGTGTGTGTGTGTGTGTGTGTGTGTTTTGATCTCTTCTGTAATTTTTTTTCCCCTGATCTCGCTGATTGTTATATTTGGTCAGTGACTGACCTCTAGCAATGATGGTGCCAGGGCAACTTTGTTGTTGAACTGTATGTTAAGGTTTGTTTTGGCTTGTTGGTTATATCAGTACTTATCAAATGAATTATCTGGGAAGAGAGGAGAGGATCTTATTAAAATACAGGTTCTTATTCAGTAGGCCTTGGGTGGGCCTTGAGGTTCTGCATTTCTTTCTTTCTCTTTCTTTCTTTTTCTTTCTATTTCTTTCTTTCTCTTTCTTTTTTCTTTCTCTTTCTTTCTTTTTCTTTTTTCTTTCTTTCTTTCTTTCTCTCTCTTTCTTTCTTTCCTTCCTTTCTTTCCTTCCTTTCTTTCTTTCTTTCTTTCCTTCCTTCCTTTCTTTCCTTCCTTCCTTCCTTCCCTTCCTTCCTTCCTTCCTTCCTTCCTTCCTTCCTTCCTTCCTTCCTTCAGACAGAGTCTCACTCTGTAGCCCAGGCTGGAGTGCCGTGGTGCCATCTTAGCTCACTGCAATCTCTGCCTCCCAGGTTCAAGCAATTCTCCCACCTCAGCCTCCGGAGTAGCTGGGACTACAGGCGTGCACCACCATGCTCAGCTAATTTTTGTATTTTTAGTAGAAATAGGTTTTCACCACATTGGCCAGGCTGGTCTCGAACTCTGGAGCTCAAGTGATCTGCTCACCTCAGCCTCCCAAAGTGCTGGGATTTCAGGTGGAGCCACCATGCCCAGCTGAAGTTCTGCATTTCTATCAAGCTTGCAGGTGATGCCCATGCTGCCAGCCCTTTGAGTAACAGGGGGGCTTTATTACCGAGCTTGGCTGAACATTGGAATCATCTGTGGAGCTTTAAAACTACTAATGCTGGGCTCTCAACCCCAGAGATTGCAATATCATCAGTCTAGAATGCAGTTTGAGTACTAGGATTTTGAAAAGCTTCATAAGTGATTCTATTTTGTAGAAATATTGAGAACTACTAGATTGGATGATATTGAATCCAATTTTAAAACAAGGTGTAGCAATAAATGTTCTTCAGCGCTGTGTTGCTGACTTTTTAGAAAGTCAGTTTTGTAGCTCTAGAAAGAATCTGGCTGCATCCATGGATGACCTCCAGATCTCTGCTTAGCATGACTGGGTAATTTCTCCAATGTCTCCAGCACATGCTGTCACTTAACAGCAGAAAGAGAATTCCTACTTTCAGGAGAAAAGTCATTCCTGAAGATTACAGTTAAAATATGCCTACAGATGATGAGGTTGTAGTAAATCAGTCCCCTTGCTCTCTGAGCTTGTTCTAAGTTACAGGAAGCAGAAGAAGCAGAGAAGCACTCCATTTCTTTTTTCTTGTAATCTCTAGCATGTTCACATGCATAGTTTCTGAGTCAGTAGCAAACTAAGAACTTCTTGTGTGATTCAAGCTAACCCCTCGATTATCAGAAGCAGATGTTTCAAACGACTGAAGATCAGTGAGGCATATCTTATTTACAGGTTAATAATTGGCTACTAGATGCAGGTGCACCAAATGGTCTTAGAGACATTAGATAGGAGAGACAATGTCAGTGCTCCCCCTACCCTGCCTCCCCTAATCTAAAGCCTACTCTGTTTCTTTTATCAAGTGATTGGCTGTATGTTAACAGAGCCTGGGGCACTTTCCTGTTGAAATGCCTTTAATCCCAAGCAACTGGATTGATTTTTTTTTTTTTTTTTTGGATGGTTTAGATTGGACGACTGATTATTGGACAGAATGGCATCTTGTCGACACCTGCGGTCTCCTGCATTATCAGGAAGATCAAGGCAGCTGGTGGAATCATTCTAACAGCCAGCCACTGCCCTGGAGGACCAGGGGGAGAGTTTGGAGTGAAGTTTAATGTTGCCAATGGAGGTATGTGGTTCAGTATATGCCTTAATAATCACGATTTCTTTCCTCTTATATTATTATAGTCTCACAGTGACCCTTTGATGATAGACAAGCAAGGTGCAGAGGACCTAGCTCAGAAAAATTTAGTGAGGTGCCCAAAGTGATCCAACAAAGAAGTGGCATGATGGGCTCATGAACCCATTTGGGTGGTCTCTTGGTCCCCTGTACTCTTCAGCATAAACTATTGAATAGTTGATGCTTATCTGATATGGAAGGACTCTGAATTTTAACATTAAAACATACCCTGAAGGTCGTTGTCTAAATGACAATGACCCTCATTTTACACATCAACAAATCAAAGGCCTGAGAGGCTGAGTTACTGCTGAAGGCCACAGGGTTGATCAGGGTCAGATTAATGATTTTTAGCCCAAATCCTGGGCTCTCTTTTTCCTACAGTGTTGACTTTCTCTCAAAATCATAGAATTGTTTCACTTTTTCTTATATTCACAGCAATTTATAGTTTGAGGGTCCTTAGTGGAGGGGGTGGGATATATGTATGGAGTAAATTTCTTTTAAAAATTGAACACACAAAAAAATAGGGAGAATAAGAAATAGATAACATGTACCCATTATCTTGTTTTTCTATTTTGCTTATCTTTTTTTTTCTGAAGAATTTTAAAGCAAATTATAGCACAAGAACATTTCACACCCAAATATTTTTGTATGCATCTCTTAAAAAGAAAGACACATTGCTGCATGACCGTGCTAACATACCTAACAATAATAACATTAATTCTCCAATATCACCTGAAAACTAATCTATAGTCAAATTTTTCAATAATCCCCAAAATATTATTATTTATAGCTGTTTTATTCAAATCAGGATACATCTAAGGATGCCATGCATTTGCTTGGCAAGTCTCTTAAATCTCTTTTAATCTAGAATGCTGAGTTTGCATGAATGTGGGTAGGAGCCAAATTTTAACCAGCAACAGTTACCATTATAAATTATTCCTCATCCCAGGCAAAGCAGTGCATTCTGAAGGGAAAACTTATTATCTATCCCTCCTTGTAGACGTTTTACACGTTATCCAAACAAGAAAGTGTATTCATGTTGAATATTTAAAAAACAATATTGTAACCACAAAGCAGAAAACTAAACCACCAAACCACAAAGGTAGACAACAATAGAGGAAGAAGAGAACAAATTATCTACAAAGTAACCAGAAAACAATTAGCAAAATGGCAGGAGTAAGTCTTTTACTATCAATAATAACCTTGCTGGTACATGGGTTAAACTGTCCAATCAAAAGATGTAGAATGGCTGAGTGGATCAACAACAAGATCCAACTAGATGCTGCCTACAAGAGACCCATTTTTAAACTTTAAGAATAGGCATATACTGAAAGTAAATGGATAGAAGGAGATATTCCATGAAAACAGACAGTTACCAAAAGAGAGCAGGGATGCCTATACTTATATCAGATAAAACAGACTTCCAGTAAAAAGCTGTTCCAAGAGACAAAGAAGGTCATGATTTAATGATAAAGAGGTCATCTTATCAAGAGGACATAACAATTGTAAACATATATGCATCCAAAATTGAAGCACTTAAATATGTAAAGCAAATATTAGTGGACATGAAGGAAGAAATATACAGCAATATAACACTAATAGGGGACTTCAGTACTCCACTTGCAACAATGGAGAGATCAACCAGACAAAAAATTAACAAGACAACACTAAATTTGAACTATACTTCAGACCAAATGGACCTACCAGACCTACATTCATCCAACAACAGCAGAATATACATTCTTCTCTAGCATACATAGAACATTCTCCAGGATAGACCATATGTTAGGCCACAAAATAAACCTTAACAAATTCAAAAAGATTGAAGTCACGTCTAGTATTGTTTCCAACCACAATGGTGTGAAGCTAAAAATCAATAACGGGAGGAATCTTGGAAAATTTACAAATATGTGGAAACTAAACAACATGCTTATGATGAACTAATGGGTCAAAGAAGAAATCAAGAGGGAAACTAAAAAATATTTTGAGATTAATGACAATGGAAACACAATGTATCAAAACCTACAGTATGCGGCAAAGTCAGTTCTAAGAGAGAAGTTTATAGCAATAAATGCCTAGATTAAAAAAGGAAAAAGATCTAAATAAGTAGACTAACACTATGCCCCAAGGAGCTAAAGAAAGAACAAACTAAACCCAAAGTGAGCAAAAGGAAGGAAATAATGAAGATCAGAACAGAAGCAAATAAAATGTAGTATAGAAAAACTATAGAAAATATAAATAAAATCAAAAGTTGGTTCTTTGAAAAAATAAAATCTACAAACTCCTAGCTAGATTCACTAAAAAAAGCAGACTCAAATAAATAAAATCAGAAATGAAAGTGGAGACATTGCAATAGATACCTCAGAAATAAAAATGGTCATAAGGGATTATTATGAACAATTTTATGCCAACAAATTGGAGGACCTAGAAGAAATGGATAACTTTGCTGCTACTCAGATACATTTTATTTCAAAAACATACACTAAGGTGTTGCTGTTGGATCTTTCCAAAAACATATTCACACAGAACTTTCAGTCACACTGAGCCATATTTGAACAATCTTTCAAGGTCAGCTCTGGCATAAGCTAACATTATACCATTTAACTCAGAAATTTCTGTAGTATTTGATTAATGGGTTTATGTTTGATATGTAATGTAATTTTCTAATGCTAAATCAAGTGGTAATTTTGTTGGTCAAGTTGATTTAGTGGCTTGGGAAGAAAGCTTTTAATGTTCCCCTAATTTTTCTTACCTTTGACATGATCCTTCACATGTCTTATTTTGCTTAGTGATTTTTCTTTTTTTTTTTTTTTTTGAGACAGGGTCTTACTCTACCACCCAGGCTTGAGTGCAGTGGTGCGATCACAGCTCATTGCAGCCTTGACCTCCCAGACTCAAGCTATTCTTCCACCTCAGCCTCCCAAGTAGCTGGTACTACGGGCACATGCCACCAAACTTGGCTAATTTTTGTATTTTTTGTAGAGACAGAGTTTTGCCAAATTCTCAGGCTGGTCTGGAATTTCTGGGCTCAAGTAATCCTGCCTTGGCCTCCCAACATGCTGATATTACAGACATAAGCCACAGTACCTGGCCAGTTTTCTTTTTTAAAAAATCTATTGGTTATTAATTTGAAGCCTTCCTTTTCATAACTGTGCTCCTTAATTGGGAGCAAACATGAATGGACCACAACTTAGCCAATTTTCTATATACGATCTTTGCCATCCTAATTTAAAGGAATATTAATTCTTTCTTTTCCTCTTTCATTCCACAAACCTGTATTGACTACATCTAAGTTCTAAATGGTGCACTGGATGTTGAAAAAGTTGATGATGAGCAAGAACAAAATTCCTCCTTTCAGGAGACTTACAGTTCAATATGGGAAATGTAATTTGTTAAAATATAAAAGTGCAATTGTGTTACATGCTGTACGAAGTACATGTTGACATGTGAGTATATAATAAATGGGCTGGAGGCCAGAGGATTGCCAAAGAGAATGGGCCTCCTGCTGAGATGAGATGAGACTCTCTCTCTCCACTCCAGAAAGATAGGCAATCACAGGCAGTGGTGCCCCTCTGATATTTATGTGGGATCTCCAAGGTGATGGAGGAGAGAGGCCTTTAGTTTGTATCAAAACCAGAAGAACTGTTTATCTTCTATCAGGTGACAACCCTTCATTCCTTTACTTAACACATTGATTAGCATCTGCTATGTGGCCATGTGCTAGGCAGGGCCACTTTCTGAGTCCTGCGAAGTCAGTTGCATAGTGTCCTGCACTTGAAAGTGCCCCGCATTCGGTTTAACACTCTGCTGTCACATTAATAACGATATCTTTACACTTCTGTTTCGTCAGCGAAGTCCTGTAGGACAAGGGGGCATGCACAGGAGCAGAGGAGCCACACGTGATGTGTGTGGCTGCCGTTCCCTGCCGCCCCATTCACATAATCTTCTCCATGCCCCTGGGGAGCCATGCTGTGGGATGTGCAGGAAACTCAGCATGCTGTGAGTAGAGGCAGGGTTGTTAGTCAGTGACTGAGTGAGCGGGGCACTAACCATCTGGAGAGGCCTCACTTTCCACTGAAACCAGAATGCGCTTGTACACAGAAAGAAGGCAATGACATTTGAAGAGACACAAATGACTGAGGAGCCCTGTTGTATCCTCTCTAATTGGAGTTACTTCCCTGTGCTAACCGACCCCTGTGTTGAGATGACATGAAAGGAAAGGGCAGGACACTATGGCCACAGTGCCCTGAGGGTGCCCAATCTCGTCTCAGAAGCTAAGCAGGGCCTGGCCTCATTAGTACTTGTATGGAACAAGGAAAGGGGAAGAGAGAGCAGCCTATAGCTCCTGTCCTTTCAGTCCTTCCTTAGTGTCCATGATCCCAAGGTAGAGAGTGTTGCTGGAGTGTGTGGGTGTCAGGAAGTGAGATAGAAAGAGCTGAGCTAGTTTTGTGCAGCGTATCTACTGGTTTAGCAAGAATGAAATACATACACATGGATGAGCTATGGAATGTGAATTGTGTAATTGTGTTGATTCTACATATGAGGTCAATGCTAATATTTTCATTTATACCTTGCGTCCTACAATATAAAAACAAATGGTAAAAAGTCACGATAATTTAAATTTATTTTTTATTTTATTTTATCTTATTTTTTTTAGATGGAGTCTCGCTCTGTCACCCAGGCTGGAGTGCAATGGCATAATCTTGTCTCACTGCAACCTCTGCCTCCCACGTTCAAGCCATTCTCCTGCCTCAGTCTCCCGAGTAGCTGGGATGACAGTCACCCGCCACCACGCCCAGCTAATTTTTTGTATTTTTAGGAGAGATGGGGTTTCACTATGTTGTCCAGGCTGGTCTCGAACTCCTGACCTAATGATCCGCCCACCTCAGCCTCTCAAAGTGCTGGGATTACATGCGTGAGCCATCGCACCCAGCCTTAAATTTGTATTTTAACTTAGCATGACATTAGATAGCAAATAAAAATACCATGACAAGTCAAGTGAGAGAGAACACAGAAGAAAGGAAAACGCCGTATCTTTGAGCCCCTTCAATGACGCTTCTTCCTGCTCTTTGAACAGAAGCGCTGCGTTTTCATTTTGCCCTGGGCCTCATGTTACGTAGCTGGTCCTGGTGTTAGGTACCCGGACGCACCACAAACGAAACAGATTCGTTCCCCGCAGAGCTTATTAGTCTAGTGAGAGAAACATAATTTGAATAGTCCCAGAAATACATCATTATAAGATAAGTCTATGAAAGAAGCGTAGAGCATTCCTAATCTTGTCTCTGAACAGGGCAGACTTCTTGGAGGAAGTGAAATTTGAACTGCGATGTGAAGAATGAGCAGGAGTTAGTGAGGTGAAGAAGAGAGAAGGAGTGTTGCAAACACAGGTCAGTCTGTGCAAAGGCCCTGAGACACAAGGAGCCTAGAACCACGGCTCGAAGACAACCATCTGGCTGGGGCATGGCTCGTCTTACAGATCACATTAAGGAACAAATAATTATGTTAAGAGTTATGGGCTGCCATTAAGGATTTGGATAAGAGAGTCTTACAATCACATCTGTGTTTTCTAAAGGCCTGACACTGATTGGTACATGGAGTACAGCCTGAAGGGAACAAGACTTGTTAGAAAGGAAGCTATTGACTGGGTGTGGTGGCTCGTGCCTATAATCCCAGCACTTTGGGAGGCTGAGGTGGGCAGATTACTTGAGGCCAGGAGTTCGAGATCAGCCTGGCCAACACGGTGAAACCCCGTCTCTACTAAAAATACAAAAATTAGCAGGTTGTGGTGGTGAGCACCTATAATCCCAGCTGCTTGGGAGGCTGAGGCAGGACAATTGCTTGAACCTGGGAGGCTGAGGTTGCAGTGAGCCCAGACTGCGCCACTGCACTCCAGCCTGGGTGACAGAGACTTCCTTTCCAAAATAAAAAAAAAAAAAAAGAAAGAAGAAAGAAAGAAAGGAGGCTATTGCAGTAATGCAAGTGAGAGACCATGGTGGCTTAGGCAATGGTGGAGATGGAGGAATTTGGGGGAATTGATTGGGTTCAAGAAATAGGCAGGAGGAAACACGATGGATTGGGTGGGAGTAGGGAAACAGATGAGAAGAGGTATCAGGAAAGCTGCCTAGGTTTCTGGTCTGTGCCACTGTGTGGATGATGAGAGAATGTGTCAGTGGTGGAGGCCAAGGTCTGAAAGTGGAGTGGGGAAGAGTGAGAGAGAAAATTGTAAGTTTACCTTTATGTTCAGCTGAGGTCATTTTGAAACATACAAGCAGCAGTATGAAGAATTCCATTGATATATTTGTCCGGAGCCCAGAGTGAGGTTTAAATAAGAAGAAATAAACTCGCTAGTAAAAATTGCAGACACACAAAAGGCTTGAACAGGCACTTCACAAAATAGATTATCCAAATGACCAATAAATACATAAGTACTCAACATCATTAGCCATTAGAAAAATGCAAGTTAAAACCACAATGAGATACCATTTCACACTAGAATGAATAAAATATTAAAAGACTGACAATGCTAAATATTCCCAGGATGCAGAACAACCAAAACCCTCATATATTATGGGGGACATGGAAAATTGTACAACTCCTTTGGAAAACAGGTAGTTTCTACAGAATTTCAATATATACATACCATACAACTCAGCCATTGCATTCCTATTTACCCAACAGATATAAAATCATTTGTCTACTGAAAAATTTGCAAAATAATGTTCATTGCGGCTGTAGCCATTATAACCCTCAAACGGAAACAACCCAATGTGCATGGATTGTGAATAGATGACAAATGGTGGTCCATCTATACAATGGAATATTGCTCTTCAACAGAAACAAACTACAGGTCCATGTAACAACATGATGATTGAAAGAAGTCAGATGTAAAAAAGTACATATGTATGATGCAATTTATACGAAACTCTAGGCAAAACTAATCCTTAGTGATGAAATCAGATCTGAGGTTGCCTGGGGCAGAGATGGGGGTAGCTGACTGCAAGGAGGTGTGGGGAGGGTTGTGAATTTTGGGGAGTGATGGAGCTGCTCTGTATCTCAATTGTGATGTGGTTACACAACTGTATGCATTTGTCAAAACTCACAGAACTACACTCTAAAACATATAAATTTTACTGCATGTAAATCTTACCTTAATTAAAAATTAAAAAAATTGAAGATGTGGATTTAGGTAAGATTCACGAAGGGATAAAGATAGAGTTGAGTTACAAGAGAATTGTTATCTCCATCTTGCATGGGAGAAAAATGAAGCTCAGAGAAGTGAAGTGGCTTCCCAAGATCACACAGCTACTAAGTAGCACAGCTGGGGCTCAAAACCAGAGCCATGTGATCAGATGGCCCATATTCTTTTTGTTCCCTCCCATCAACCAAGCCCAGGCCCATGGCTGAGCATGATGGCCAAGCAGGGAGGAGGGTCAGCTCCTCTTCAAGGAAGAAAACAGCATGCTGTTCTTTATATATGTAAATGATGTTCTGTTCCTCACCCATCACCAATCACACAGGTACTTAGGTTGCAAGGTGTGGGGACTGCCATGGTGATGATGGCTCTCCCCACCAGTCCTCAATGGGAATATCAGCAAGACGCCAGTCCACAGTAAGGGATTCTGTCTGGGCCCTCCAGACACCCAGAGGGCCACGATGAGATCCACTCCAGAGGAGTAATTGTACCCTGCCCCAAACTACCAGGGATCTTGACACTGACATAGCTCTTTATACTTTCCAACTCCAGAAGTATTAACTGGGAACAACTACATTTTCCAGCCCTGAGCTTGTGGACCAGCTCCAGATCTTGTGATCTGATCTCTCCCTATGACTGTTACAACTGCCTCAAGATGGCTTACTCTGCCTCCCGTCCCATCCCACTCCTAATCACTCCCCACACTGCTACAAGAGGGGCTTCCTTATACCTTATACAAAAGTTAACTCAGATAGATGAAATACTTAAATGTAAAACCCCAAACTATAAAAATCCTAGAAGAAAATCTAGGCAATACCATTCAGAACATAGGCATGGGCAAAGATTTTATGATGAAATTGCCAAAAGCAATTTCAACAAAAGCTAAAATTGACAAATGGGACATAATTACACTAGGTTGATAGGTGCAGCAAACCACCTTGGCACACATTTACCTATGTAACAAGCCTGCACATTCTGCACATGTATCCTAGAGCTTAAAATAAAATAAAATAAACCCAAGGAGGTAAAGACAAGAGGGAGAGAGGGGAAACAGAAACAAGGAAGGACAGTGCCAGAAGAGGAAGTCAGGCAGAAGAGGGAAGGAAGGGAGAGGAGGAGTGTACAGGAGAGCTGGACAGAGGAAGGCCTGGCGGGGCCACTCTGGTTCTCCGGCTCTTCTTTGCCTGGCCAACGCCCAGAGAACCCTGCTCCCCTGGGAGCCGGGACCACATCTGCCCTTCTGTGTGTCAGCCAGGGGCATCTGGCATCCGGCAAGTGGCAGCTCCCTCATCATCCTGTCTGATCCAAATTCAACCCACATTCAGCCAGGTGACCATGGTGGCTCCCCCCCAGGGTGGAGGTCTGTCCTGAGGCTGTCTGCACTTCCCAATGGAGCTGGCTTCGAACCCACTGCTCTTGCCTCTCTTTCCATTCCCTAGAAGGCTGGCTGCCCCTGGAGATGTTTCTGCACCAAGCCACTTTCTCCAGCTGGGGACTAGCATCAGGAGAACTCCTTTCTGTCTCCTAGGTCTGGAATGAAATGACGAGAGTGACCTTGCTCAAGTTGGACCACTCTGTATCCAGCCATCCTCATGTATAAAGAGGAGGAAAGGAGAGGCACTTCTGTTACTACCGACCAGTTACTAGGTGTGACATTGTGCAGGTCACTGCACACACTTAAAGCAACCAGATGTATATCCATAGTCATCGGTGTTTTATAGAACATAAGAATAGACTCACAGTCCATTCCCCTCCTGCAAGACTACATATTCTATCGTAAAGGATGTGTCAAGGAAGAGCGTGTTGGAGTTCTGACTCTGGAGGTCCGCCAGCCAGAAAATGGCCTCCAGCCTCCCAGTCTCTTCCTGCTCATCAGCATAACCATCCTCCATCCATGAATCCCCACTGCTCACTCATTTTCTCTGCTAGTACTTAGTGAGCACCTCCTATGACCCGGGGATACAGCAGTAAATAAAACAGGCAAACACATTGGAGAGAAAGAAAGCCTGGGAGGCTGAGGTAGGTGGATCGTTTGAGTCCAGGAGTTCAAGACCAGTCTGGGTAACGTGGTGAAACCCCGTATCTACAAAAAAAAAAAAAAAAAAAAAAAAAAAAAGACAATGTGGTGTGTGCCTGTAGTCCCAGCTACCTCGGAGGCTGAGACAGAAGAACCTCTTGACCTGGGGAGGCAGAGGTTGCAGTGAGCCGAGATCATGTCACCGCACTCCAGGCTGGGTGACAGAGAGAGAACCTGTGTCAAAAAAAAAAAAAAAGGAAGAAGGAAGAAGAAGAAAGGAAATATGGCATGTTGGGGATGGGGATGGAAGTGGGTTGCAATTTTTAAAAGGGTAGCCAGGGAAATGCTTACTGAGATTTTTAAGTACAAGTCTGAAGGAGGCAAGGGAGTGAGTCAAACATATACATGCAGGAAGGGCTCTCTAGGAGGAGAAAGCAGTGAGAGCAAAGGCTGGGAGCCAATGCAGGCCTGGTGGCTTCAAAGAACAGCAGAGGGCCAGCGTGGCTACGGCAGAGGGAGTCAGGGCAGTGTGCTAGGAAGTGAAGGCAGGGAGATGCAGGAGGTGTGGATTGTTGGGGCATCACAGGCTGTGTGACTCCCAATTGCTGTGTGACAAATTCCCACAAATCCAGCAGCTGCAAATACGACCCAATGTTCCCCAGCTTCTGCAGGTCAGGAGTTGGCACAGCCTAACTGGTTCTCTGTAAGGTGCCATCAGGGTGTCAGCCAGCACTGGGTTCTCATCTGGGGCTCAGCTGTGTGGATGGCTCTGCTTCCAAGCTCACGTGGCAGCATTCAGTTCCATGCAGGGTGCTGGACACAAGACCTCAGCTTCCTGGTGAGCATCGACTGGAGGGGGCTCTTAGCTCCTCGCAGCTGATCCCCTCCATGAGGCAGCTTGCAACATGGCAGCCTGCTTCTTCAAAGGCGTCAAGAGAGAGTCCCCAGAAAGACAGGTTATGATCTTAACATTTTATTTATTTATTTTTTGAGACAGAGTCTCGTTCTGTCACTGAGGCTGGAGTGCAGTGGCACGATCTTGGCTCACTGCCACCTCCACCTCCTGAGTTCAAGCAATTCTCCTGCTTCAGCCTCTTGAGTAGCTGTGATTACAGGCGTGCACCACTATGCCTGGCTAATTTTTGTATTTTTAGTAGAGGCGGGGTTTTGCCAGGTTGGCCAGCCTGGTCTCGAACTCCTGACCTCAGGTGATCCACCCACCTCAGCCTCCCAAAGTGTTGGGATTACAGGCACGAGCCACTGCATCTAGCCAGTGATCTTATACAATATGATCAGTACATGAATCACATATATACCACCTCCTTCATAAGCAATCCACAGGTTCTGCTTACAACCAGAGAAGGGGATTATTCAAGGGTGTGAATGGCAGAGGTGGGGGTTGTGGGGGTCACCTTAGTATCTGCCACCACAGCCTGTCCTCTGTCCCCAAGACTCATGTCCCTTGTGCATGCAAAACACATTCACCCCTCTTGAGATCCCTTCATGCTCACAGTCCCGAATCTCATCTAAATCGGGTTTAGGTGTAGAACAGATTTCCTTGGATGTTCCTCTGATCTGGAAAACTAAAGATACAAGCTATCTGCCCCCTACATATGCAACACACAATGGTGGGTAAAGCCCGAGACATTGCTGTTGAGAAAGAGGCAGCAGGGGAGGGATGAAGGAATGGTGGTTCTGAAATCCAGCTGGGCAGACGCTGGTGTTCCCTAAACAGGTTTTAAGATGTGGGAAGATTCCATGTCTCTTGGCTCTGCCTTCTGGGCTTCTGCCTCTGGGTCATCCTTCTTTTCTCACGAAAGATCCACGTGTTTGCAGCCAAGTAGTTTTATCAGCCTTCTTCTTGACAGCAGAGTTTGGGGGCTCTGACAGTCTTCTTTCATTTTGCACTCTGTCCCCTACAGACCAATCTGCCAGCACTGTGGGTGAAACAGCTTTCCCAAACCCTTTGCCTGTCCTCCGTGGGTTTCAGTGGGGCTCATAGTCGATTTGTCAAGAGCCATACCCATGAATCTTTTAGAGATAAACTCTACCTTTCTACCTTCAGCTCCTGCCAAGATGGCCCCCAGGGTAACTCACTGAAGCTTCCCAGGGGCCCTAAGGTTTGGTGGAGAGGTTCTGCATGGTACACCCTTATAATCTCTTGCAACAGACCTCTGTGTGACTCATTGCTACTCCCATCCTTTGATCTTTATGCATAATCACAAAAGACTGTACAGTTACACCCTATGCCACATGCTCAGAAGCCATTTGTTAATTTCAGCATCTTTTGCCATGTGGGGAGACTGACAATTTTCAAAATCATCAAGTCCTGATTCAATTTTAACAGTTTAAAAACCAGTCTCTTTCTCAATTTATCTCTCTTCTCTCACACTATATTATAAGCAGTAAGAAGAAACCAGGCAGCATCCTCAACATTTTACTTGGAAATCTCCTCAACTGCATACCCAATTTATCACTTACATGATGTGTTTTCCACGTAACTGCAGGCGACCACTTTTCTAAGCTTTCTGCTCCTACCTAACAAGGATCCCTGTCCTCCAGCTTCTAGTGCGAAAATCCTCACTGCCTTTGAGCAGTGGCGAGTCCTCCGAGCCCAGATATCTAGCAACAGTCTGCTCACCTTAGAGTCTGTCTGTCACCACCTGGGCCATTTCTAAGGGACCAGAGCTTTCCTCTGAGATGAGGCTTTGAGCTGAGGAGCCACATGATCTGACATGGTTAAGGATGCCTCTGGCTTCCCTGTTGAGAATAGACTGAAGGGGCAAAAATGGAAGCAGAAGAGCAGTTAGGAGGCTCCTGTCAAACCCACGTGGAAGGCAGGCTCTGGGCTGTGTCACTGGACTAACACTAACACCGTCCCCTTGCACTTCTGAGGGTCCCTGGAACTTCCCTAGGGGATGAGACTCCTGGCTAGCAGGACTCAGCCCCTCCCCTTCAACTTTACTCAGGACCTGGTCTCCCCTCCTTAAGGTCTCTGGAGCCCAACGCACACTTCAGCCCACTCTCACAGGCATTCTCTCTGTCCACAAAATATCACCGAAGAGTCTTCTGTGAGTGCAGCATGGTGTGAACACTGGGAGTACAAGGAGAAATAAGACACAGTTGCTGTGCTGGAGAAGCTTGTGCCCAGTGGTGGTGATACTGCCGGAGGTGAGACCACTATGCCAGCACAGGAACAAAGACGGCAGGGGCACAGGGCAATTCAGGGGTGCAGATCTGGGGGCATCCAAGAGGCTCCTAAGCCTCAGTATATAAACTGACAGGTCACAGCCTGCTCTAGGAAACACCTTCTTAAGGGTTGGAGTTATCTTTGTGCATCCCATCCCCACCCCACCAAGCCGCCCTTGGCCCTGCCCTCAGGAGCTTCTGCTTGGCCTTGCTAATTCCTCTCTTCTCCCTGAAGCTAGAGTGAGGTCCCTCTTGGCAGCCTTTGTATCTAGAGAGAGCCGTCCAATAGAAACATAAGGTGAGCAACATGCTTAATTTTAAAATTTCTAGTAGCTACATTAAACATTTTTAAGTGAAATTAACTTTAATAATACATTTACTTAACCCAATATATCCAAAAGATTATCATTTCAACATGCAATCCTATTTTAAAAATAACTAGTGAGGTACCTGACAAAAAAAAATCCCTTTTCATACTAAGTCCAGAAGATCTTTGTGTATTTTATACTCATAGGACATCTGAGTTTGGATGTTACCTTTTTATTGGAAATATGGGATCTGTACTTAGATTTCACTGAATTTACATTGAAAAGGTAGGTTCACATACCCAAGTTGTCTCACACGTACCTAAATGTTTTCTGGTAACTGGATGGAGTATCAGTTTTTATATTTATCTTTGCATTAGCTAAAAAACAAATTAATAGTTCAGGTCCTCAGCCGCACACAGGCAGTTTTCTCCACGGTCCAAATTGTTGCCCGAATTCACCCAGACCCCGCTGTCCTCCGCTTTTTCATGCAGACATTCAAACAACTGCCTCCCTTCCTCCTGGCACCCCTCCTGGCACCCCCATCCCATCGCCAGCAGCCTCCAAACCAGTTTCCCTCCTGTCCTCATCTCAGCCACCCATGACTCACACACACATCTGTCTCCCCTGGCCCACTTTTCACCTGGTCCTCATAATCTATGCATAAACATTAACGTACCACAGGTCAATCTGCATACTGATTACTTCTGCTCTGGTCAAATTCTTGCTTTCAGGATCAGGAGGCTTTCTCCCCACACCAAACTGGGCCTGAGGAAATAGTGTCTTGTCTTCCTGTCACCCCTCCCGTAGTTGCATGTCTAATGAGACAAGGGGTGTCTCAGGTGAAGCAGGACAGGGAGGATGCCAGCACTTGGGTGGTAGAGGTTTGAGGAGTGCCTGTTGGGGGATGTGTTGGGGAAGGAGGACTTTTCACATATGGCTCATTGTGTCGGGATGATTTCGTTGTTAAATAAGCACCTACAGGATGATTTCACATTCCATACTTCTAAGTTTTTATAATTTAAATTCTTTCCGCCAGGCTGGGTTTTTTTTTTTTTTCCAAACTTTAAATCTGTGGCTAGAATTGGTTTGATTTACCTAATCCTGCCCCTGAGATTTAGCCCCATCCCTGAGAGCCCCCTCAGAGCCACCCACAGCCAGGACACCTCTGCTGGCCTCCCCTTCCCCAGCCTTCCAACTTGTGGCAGGCCCCCGGCTCTGGCCTCCCCCTATATGGGAATGAGCCAGCTGCACCGCTGCTGACAGTGGCTGGGATAATCCTCCCTGAGCTGTTCCAAGGATTAGTCCTGCTGCCCTGTGCCCAGCTCCCACACAACGGGGTTTCGGGGCTGTGGACCCTGTGCCAGGAAAGGAAGGGCGCAGCTCCTGCAATGCGGAGCAGCCAGGGCAGTGGGCACCAGGCTTTAGCCTCCCTTTCTCACCCTACAGAGGGCAGGCCCTTCAGCTCCATTCTCCTCCAAGGCTGCAGAGGGGGCAGGAATTGGGGGTGACAGGAGAGCTGTAAGGTCTCCAGTGGGTCATTCTGGGCCCAGAGATGGGTGCTGAAGCTCCCACGCCTGCCTGTGAAAATGGAGTCCTCTCTCACCTGGGAGAGCCAGGTGCTGCCCCGAGAAGGATGCATTTATGGCTTCATGAAGTCTTTCCTGACCCCCGATGCTGCTGACTATAGGTAAGTCTGAGCAAATCTGGGGGAGCCTCATCTTGGCATGAGAAAGAGATGGCTTCTTCTAAGCCCACTGGCCGTGATCCCAGGATTATAACACATTCTGGCTCAAGTCCAGACTATTTGTAGAACACAGGAGATCCTCCATGAGAGGTAGTATAATATAGAGGATATGTGTGCTTACTAAGAGGCTGCCTGTCTGACCTTGGACAAGTTCTTTTTATTTATTTATTTATTTTTTATAGAGACAAAGTCTCACTATGTTGCTCAGGCTGGTCTTGAACTCCTGGCCTCAAGCGATCCTCCCACCTTAGCCTCCCAAAGAGTTGGGATTATAGACATGAGCCACTGCACCTGGCCGACCTTGGGCAAGTTCTTAAACCCTTCAAAGCCTCATTTTTCTCCAATCATAAAAGGGAAAGATGGTAATATTTTCCCCTCCAAATTCTTGTAAGTATTAAACATTGTATATGTATTTTGAACACGATTAAGCTCTAAACACTTGTTAGGAAGCAGGAGTAGCATTTGAAACAAACAGCTCTTTTCCCACAGGTCGGATGCCCTCACAGAATTGAGATTATGTACGTAAAACACCAGGTGCCTAACCCGGCACAGAGCAGGAGGGCTAAGCGTGACATCCAGCACGTGGTCAGTGGAATCCAGTATTCCTACCCACCTCTCTAGTCTCCCCTCCACCCCTCTCCCTTTCAGAGGCACCAAGCTGCTTGTGGTCTTGTCTATTCCCACTCCCTGCCTGACTGAACATTTTCTCCACCTCCTGATCATCAGCAGCAGAAACTGGCTGCTCTTCCTCCTGGGTAGACAGCCAGACTGTATTTCCCAGCTGCCCCTGCAGTGAGATGTGGCCATCGGAGCCAGCATTGGCCAATGGACTCTGCATGGGAGTGACGCATGCTGCCTCCAGGCTTGTCCCTAAAACCTCCCACGTGTCCTCCGCCTGCTCTTCCCACTTCCAAGGAGCACGGCAATTGTGGAAGACCCAGATTAGTGATGGCAGAACCATAGATGGGAGGAACCTGGGTCCCTGACTTAAAGTATCATGGATTTGGATGTTCCCTTAGTGAGAAATAAACTTCCATTGTGTTTAAGCCTTTATTTGTTTATAGTTGGTTACAGCAACTGCCTTCTTTTAATTAAAACACTCCTGCTGCTTCATGTTGCTGGAATGCTTGTAACCCTGCCCTGCTTCACCAGGGTAACTCCTACTTGGCCTTTAAGTTTATCTCTGCTGTCACACCGTCCAGAAAGCCTTCTCCCAGCACCACAACCCCTCCACCAAGGGTTAGGTGTCTCCAGCAGATGCTGCACAGCTGGCTGCCCTTTGCCCACCCTCCCCTTCTTTCTCATAGAATCCTAGGACTCCTATGTATCTAGAAGGAGTTGTGTGGTCCAGTGCTGGCCAAGAAGATGTGAGAGCAAGTCGCTGGGTGGAGATTCTTAGGAAAACTTCTTAAAAAGAATGAGACTCTGGGCTCCTTTCTGCCTTTTACCATTTTTGTGTATGCTTGCCTTCTTCCCACCTGGGACTCTGATGCAGCACCTGTGAATGGGCACACATATTACAGCTCTTAGGCTGAAACCCACGTTCTCAGGCAGAGGTCTCTTGTGGGCATTTAGTGCTATAAATGTCTCTTTACACACTGCTTTAAATGCGTCCCAGGTCTTAGGGTATATACCCAAAGGATTATAAATCGTGCTACTATAAAGACACATGCACATGTATGTTTATTGTGGCAGTATTCACAATAGCAAAGACTTTGAACCAACCCAAATGTCCATCAATGACAGACTGGATTAAGAGAATGTGGCACATATATACCATGGGATACTATGCAGCCATTAAAAAGGATGAGTTCATGTCCTTTGCAGGGACATGGATGAAGCTGGAAACCATCATTCTGAGCAAACTATCACAAAGACAGAAAACCAAACACTGCATGTTCTCACTCACAGGTGGGAATTGAACAATGAGAGCGCTTGGACATGGGGCAGAGAACATCATACACTGGGGCCTGTCAGTGGGTGGGGGGCTGGGGGAGGGATAGCATTAGAAGAAATACCTAATGTAAATGACAAGTTGATGGGTGCAGCAAACCAACATGGCACACGCATATCTATGTATCCAACCTGCACATTATGCACATGTACCCTAGAACTTAAGTATATAAAAAAAAAAAGAAAAAAAACTTTCACCTTTTTCCAAAGTGTTGGGATTATGGATGTGAGCAACCACATCTGGTCCTTTTTTTTTTTTTTAATGGAGGTGAAATTCACATAAGTTTGACCATTTTAAAGTGAACAATCAGTGGCATTCAGTACATTCACCATGTTGTGCCAACACTATCTCTATGTAGTTCCAAAACATTTTCATCAGCTCAAAATGAAACCTTGTACCCATGAAGCAGCCACTTCCCATTCTCCCCTCCCCTTAGCCCCTGGAAATCGGCTTTCTTTCTCCACAGATTTACATATTCTGTATATTTCCTATAAATGGAATTACACAATAGGTGACCTGTGTCTGGCTTCTTCCACTTAACCTAATGCTTTTGAGGTTCAGTCACATGGTGCCATGGATCAGCTCTGCCTTCCTTTTTATGACTAATACTCCACTGTATGTCCATATCACCATTTGTGTATTCACTCATTAATCTATGGACACAAGCCTCATTTTTAAGCACTTCAAATATGTTAACTCACTGAATCCTCACCACAAAGACAGATTCAGTTATTACATATTGATAGAGTGAAAACTGAGGCACAGGTAACATGCCTAGGATCACGTGGCTATGAAGCAGAAAGAGGACTCCAGCCGAGGCAGTCTAGTCCCAAAGTCCTTCCCTTCCTAGTAACCACTATGCTCTCCTGCCTCTCAGAGAACAACCCACATAGCACAACACGAGGGCTAAGCTGTCTGGTCTGTCTGGTGAAGCTTCAAATGCTGTTCATTTCAGATAAGGGGAGGTTCCTGGGCTGCAGAGGCTTCCTAGAGGAGGAAGACCATGTAAGGTCTAACTCAGGGCAGGTCAGGATGGTGTGAACTCACTCTGAACACAGTCACCGATGGGTGTTTATGAAAACTGGCTCTGGAACTCCCACAGGGAAGGTTCTTATCTTTGCGTGCACAACACAGAGCCCTCTGGGTAGACTTCTAGACCCAGGCCTCTTTCAAATACATTAGAAACCTCAGCAAGATAAACTATTTTCTGTCTGGCTGCATCTGTCTATCTGTTTAGAGAGCAGGACATTTCCATCCTCCTCTCTCCAGGCATCCTTGGAAGTCTTTCCCACAAGCAAGACATCTTGGTGAAATTTAATGCTGCAGAGGGAAATGGTTTTCAGGAGAGAGGAGTCTGTTCCCGGAACTGTAGCACAAAAGCTAGAGGCTGAGTAGGAACATCTTAAACTAAGTCCTCAGTCTTATTTCCAGTTTTCTTCCTGTAGATCGGGGCTTAGGACACCCTGTCACATTTTCTTCACTCCTCCACCAGGAATTCCTAAAGTCCATGCTCTTGGATCCTGGCAAATCGAGGAGGCTGGGGGATGTGGCAAGCTTCAGCAAGACTGCCTGGGACCAACCCTGCAGCCTTAATTTCCCAGGCCCACTCAGCCCAGCTGGCCAGCAAAGGCAGGCAGGGCTTCCGTGTCCACACATGAGAATGACCTGCAGCTGTTCTTTGTCCAGGCTGAGGTCCAGGATTCCCATTGCAGCTCCTAGGAAATCTTTAAAATTAGGTCGGGGATGAGGCTGTCAGTAGATTAGGTAGGGAACTTTTATGAAGTTGAGGGTGAACCATCTGGAGGGTGAACTGGCTGGTGTGATTTAGAACTGGGGGTGGTGCCTAGCAGTGCATTTGTGAGAAGACACAGCCAGGCTTGGTATATGATGTGGTGTGTGTGTATATTCACAGGCATCGTGGAGCATATACACTTTTTTTGTGTGTGTTGAAATAAACCTTACAGATTACAAAGTACTTTTTTTTTTCCCTGAGACAGGGTCTCTCTCTGTCGCCCAGCCTGGAGTGCAGTGGTACAATCATAGCTCACTGCAGCCTCAATCTCCCAAGCTCAAGTGATCCTCCCGCCTCAGCCTCCCATGTAGCTGGGACTACAGGTGTGTGACACCATGACTGGCTATTTTATTTTATTTTTGTAGAGATGGAATCTCACAATATTGCCCAGGCTGATCTCAAACTCTTGGGCTCAAGCAGTCCTCTCGCGTCAGCCTACCAAAGTGCTGGGATTACAGGCATGAGCCACCACGCCCAGCCAGATTACAAAATACTTTGACATCTTTTCTCTACAGCCCTCAAAAGGAGGCAGGGCAAGCACAATTAAATCCCATTACAAATGGGGTGACTGAAGCTCCATTCATGGCTTGCCCAGGGTCACACAAAGAATGAATAGCAGAGCCCTGAGCCTGTGTGCTTCCCTCTGTGCCAGGCTGCTTTACCCAGGCATGGGTGCACCTTGTGCATGGGACATTTCTCCTTTGTTGTGTCCTGAGTACCTTAAGCCACTCAGATATTGCTCAGGTGGAGTGAGGGGAAAATGTTTTCAGGTTGTATTAGTCAAAACAAAATACCACACACTGGGCGACTTTAAAATCATACATTTATCCCTCACAGTTCTGGAGGCTTGGAAGTCCAAGTTCAAGGTGGCAGCTGGACGGGTTCCTGGTGAGGGCTCTCTTCCTGGTTTGCAGACAGCCACCTTCTCTTCGCATCCTCACTTGGTGGGAAAAGACAGAGGAGAGAAAGAGAGAGAGAGAAATGAGATAGAGAGAGAGAGAGAAATGAGATAGAGATAGAGAGAGAGAGAGAGAGAGAGAGAGAGAGAGGGAGACAGAGAGACAATGCTCTCTTTTCTTACCAGATCTATAATGAGGGCCCCACCCCATGACCTCATCTAACCGTAATTACCTACCAAAGGCCCATCTCCACATACCATCACATTAGGGGTTAGGGTTTCAACATAAGAATTTGGAGAGGACATAAACATTCTGTCTACAACATGAGTGGAGATCCATCTCTTCCTTACCTCTGGTAAGGGGACCACACGCTGCAGCCAGTGAGACAGTGGCATGTTCTTGTTACAACTCAATCTAACTCCCCCAGAAGAGGAGGCAGGGAAGGCGGACAAAACTGGGAGAGGGAGAGAGTGTTAGGAAGAGAGTAGGGTGGCCAGAGGCAGCAAATAAAATATAAAATGCTTAATTTTGAATCTCAGATAAACAACCAATAATGTTTTTTAGCATAAGTATGTCCCAAACTAAGCTTGGGAAATATTTATGCTACGAAATTATTCGTTGTTTATCTAAAATTCAAACTAGCTGGGCATCCTGTCTTTTAATCTGGCAACCCTAAAAGGCAAGAGCCAAAAATGCCGGAGGGAAGCCAACGGATTCCAGGAGGGACAACTGCTGGACTTTGGACTGATGATGCTCTTTTTATATATTTAACTTTTTAAAAAAGCCTCTTTTCTTTCTTTTTACCAGCTTTTCACTAGCTTTTTAAAAATTGGGGTAAAACATACATAACCTAAAATTCACCGTCTAAACCATTTTTCAGCATACAGTTCAGTGGGATTAAGTAGATTCACACCGTTGTGCCGCCATCACTACCACTCATTTCCAGCACCTTTCCATCACCCCAGCCTGAAACTCTACCCATTGAACACGAGCTGCCCAACTCCGCCTTGCTTCCCCATTCCTGGCGACCACTGCTTCTGTCTCTGTGAATTCTGACTACTCTAGGCACTTCACAAAAGTGGACTCATACGATATCTGTAGTTTTGCGTCTGGCTTCTCTATTTAATTCTTAAAGGGGGGTGGGAACTAAACAGATCACAAGGGAGCTGCCCACAGAGGTAAAGACAAGGTCAGATAGGCTGAGAGACGCAGGAAAGCGGGTCAATGTGTAGGGCTGGAGGGCAGGGGCGGGCCCTGGGCCTGGGCTGGGGGTCCTGCCCCGGGGCGCACCCAGGGCGAGGGCTGCCCGGAGGAGCCGAGGCTGGCGGACAGCTTGGCCCTGAGCTTGAGGGGAAGGCAGCGATGGGACAAAGGACGGAGGTCTAGGAAGAGGGTCTGCAGAGCAGAAAGCACGGGTAGGGGCGGCCTGACGCTCGGAAGACAACGGATGGGAGCCGTGTGCACGTCGGGAGCTCGGAGTGAGCGTGAGTTCCGTGCCCAGGCCCGCGACTCGGTCCACCAGGACAGCGCTCCGGGTCGACGGGGTCCTGGAGCCGCGCTCGGGGAGGGCGCAGCGGAGGGTGAGCGGCGGCGTTAGGACCCGGAGGCGCGGGCGGAGGTGGCGGGGCTAGGACCCAGCGGCTCCGGCAGAGCGGAAGCGGCGGCGGGAGCTTCCGGGAGGGCGGCTCGCGGGTGAGGAGGCGTCCGGGGCCGCGGGAAGTAGGGTCGTGGGGGCCTGGCGGGGCGAAGTAGGGGACCCGGAGGGGCTGGAGGGAGGCGGGCGGGAGGCCCGGGACCGTTCCTGACCGAGAAGCCTGCGCCAAGCTGGTGTTCCGCGGCCGCTGCCCGGTGCCCGGCTCCACTGCGAACGCCGCCGCTGGGCCCCGACCGCCCGGGAGGCGTCTTGGGCTCGCCCCGGAGCTTCCTCCCTGGAGCCGCGCCCTGCACCCGGCCTTGCCCGGCCCTAGCAGGGAAGCCAAGGCTTGTGGGGCGCAGGGACCCGGGCTCTGCGGGGTCCCGGTTCCGCCTCCCCACTCCTGCGTCTTCCCGCCCCGGCCGGGTTCTGGGAAGCCTCGCGCGGCTCTTCCGCAGCTGCTGCCCGCCCGGATCTCCTGGTCCCTCGTAGGGGACCCCACTTCTCTGACACCGCGTTGGGTTCCCGGGGCCTACAGCGAGGCCTGTAACTCCGGGAGAGACCCTGGAGCGGGGTGTGGGAGAACGGTCTGGAGGAAGGGCTCCGAGCACTTCGAAAGTATAAACCGCGGTCCCAAAGAGGCGTGCTGTGTCTGCATTTTCCTGGGAGTGCACGGTTTACATTCTGTAAAGCAGTGCTGTCGACTAGAAATTTTGTGCGATACACATGTACAAGTTTTGTCACTTAAAAAGAATTTGAAAAAACTTCATAGATGCAAAAAAAAAAACCCACCATTATTAAAGAATACTTAGGCATTTGTGGAATGCATTGAAGAGTTAACAAAATGGATAGGCAGGAAATATCGCAGACCTAGAGTGAATTACAGTTACCCACTGTGGAACTGAGGAGCTAGGGTTTCTCATAAAACTCCCTGATAGGAGACGACTTTTGATAAAAATTTTTTTCCGCCAACAAAATCCCCTGTCTTCTCCACTAGTTATTGTCTGTCCACTAAATAAGAGGTGGTCCGTCACTTCTTCAGATGAGCAACTACAGGCTTTTCAAAAGATAATTGCTAATCAACCCCTTTGTGCCTGGGTTTTCTTATTTGTAAAAATAGATACTACTACCTAACTCCAAAGTGTGTGGTGAAGACAAACAACTGGGGTGATGTATACTAAAGTAACGAAAGTGTTGACCACACACTACGGGCTGGTTAGTGTTAGATTCCCTTGTTTTTCCCTCAGTATCAAAAACAGATCTAATTTAGGTTTACATAAAGACAAAGTATGAAGATAAGGTGACTTACAGTTGGTACTACTAACAAAATGGGCTAAGATTTGCATTATTGCATGAAAACAACAAAACATATCAATAAATAACAAAAAGCTTGGAATTCAGACAACAGATCAAGTCTGGGCTTGATCTCAAGCTAGTGTTTTGATGTTGAAAAAATGTTATTTGGTCTTTCTAACCCCATTTCCTTATGTAAAATTGGGGATGATAAATTCACTGATAATAAGAGTTAAATGAGATTCTTGAGGACTCAGAATGGTTCTAACGTGTAAGTATTAGCAGTCATACTGTAGCATAAGAAAATACCGTCTGCTGAAAGAGGAACAATAAAGATTATCTACATGGTCATCATTTAAAAGCTACCAGATATAGGAAGAAGGGGCCATAAAATGATAACGTTATGATGATTAATTTTGATGCTTAGGTCAGAGTCCATTCTAGGATATCTGCTGCCCAAAAACAGCAGAGACTCATTTCTTTGGAATCACAGGACGCTGAGTGAGAGGAAAGAAAAAGAAAAGAAATATTTAAGTCACATATGTGATTTCTAAAAGTAAAAAGAAACAGATGAAATTAGTAATATATTTTTAAAATCCAGTATATCCCAAGTATGGTTATTTTAGCATGTAATCAATATAAAATAATAAGATATTTTACATTCTTTTTTTCTAGTCTTTGAAATTTGGTGCATATTTTACACTTATGGCACATCTCAATTCAGACTATCCACATTTCAAGTGCTCAGTGGCTGCATGTGCCTGGTGGCTACCATATTGGACAGCACAGGTCTAAGGATTTCATTCCTGCCACAAGTCCAAACTCCTAGCTTTAATTTTGAGTGTTTTTAACAAACTGGCCTCTGTTTATCATTCTTTCTTCTAGTACTTCCCCAAGGATGATTGTACCCTCAGCACTCAAGACCGCTTGCGGTTTCCCTACACACTTTTTGTTCAAGCTGTTTCTTTTACCTGGAATGCTGTCTTTGCACCTTCTTCCTGGACCTGGTTCACTCTTGTTGCCTAGGCTGGAGTGCCATGGCGCGATCTTGGCACACTGCAACCTCCACCTCCCCGGTTCAAGTGATTCTCCTTCCTCAGCCTCCCGAGTAGCCGGGATTACAGGCATGCACCACCACGCCTGGCTAATTTTGTATTTTTAGTAGAGATGGAGTTTCACCATGTTGGTCAGACTGGTCTCGAACTCCCGACCTCAGGTGATCTGCCTGCCTTCGCCTCCCAAAGTGCTGGGATTACAGGCGTGAGCCGCTGCGCCCGGCCGAGAGGCACACATTCTGCTAAGAGCTTTTTCCTGACTCCCCTAACTCCAAGAGGGATTTGTCACTCCTTAGCTTTGTACTCATGACTGGAGTAGAATGAATTTAATTTGAGTTTAGTTGTTTTTGAGACTCTCCCTGGCTAGTGTAGTGTCTTATTCGTCTTTGTTGTGATCATGGCCTGCACCTAACAGATGATCAGTAGATGTTTGCAGACAGAAAGTAAACCACTCATCAGGTGTATTCAGTCCCGTTCTTGAACGGGCTTGCTGCCTCCTTTTTGAGGAGATCTGTGTATGTACTCTTCTTTCACGCATATGTGTGAGCAAACACACACACACTAACAAGAAATTCATCTGAAGATGTGCACAGGAAATATCTTGCATCTTTACCCCCTTTGTGATCTTACATATGGGAGAACTGAGGCACAGAAATAAGTTAGGACAGCCAGCAAACTTGCATCAGTATAAATACAAAGAAGGGAAGGGAGGAACATGCTTGAAAGGGGTGTGCTGGTCTCAGAGGGTTAGGTTTCTCAGTTGGCTGGGCATCAGCTGGCCATGCTTTAGTTATTTGATGGGAGGAAAAATAAGTGGGAGGTGAGGAGTAACTCCTGGGCTCTGATGAGTATTATAGGCAAGTACAGATCTGGAAAGCCTGTATGCAAAGGAGGAACTCACTGAAAAGTGCTGGCCTGAGGAGGGCAGAAGGGAGGGCTGGGGAAGCCAGCAGGGGGAGCAAAGGAGTAGGCTCCAGCTGGGTGAAGATGTTGGTGTGGTATGTTATGTAAAATATACAAATTATTATTGGGAATAACCACGTCTCAGCAGTGCGAGTTCTCAGTTTGAAGAATGGGAAATGGAAAGGATCAGATTCAGAGACGGCAACTTACTCAAGGTCACAGCATTTTAAACCCAAATGAAATCTCCTAGGCCCTTCATGCCACACTCATCCATCCCTACCTACTTGTGTTGCAACCAAGGGCCCCACTGTAGTGCCTAGGGGAGCAGGTCTAGGGCATAGTGCCAGGCCTGATTAATGTCTTCCTTACCATTTTCCAGCGAGGGGCTGTGATTAGGCCTATTTATAGGGGCCTGGTCCCTTAATATTCTGCCTGGTGCATCTCTTGCCAATCAAATCAGTGCTGTCTGCAGTGTGATTGCTGCTTTAGTGGCACCAGGGAGAGGAGTTAATTAAACCCAATATAAATAGACTCTGCCCTCACTGTGCAATTCCAGGAGTGTTTTTCCTTCCTGTCCTCTACCCCCACAGGCACCTCTTTCCTCTTGGCCCCCTAAGCTCTAGCCTGGGTGAGCAGGGCTGGATACTCCTATACCTAGAGTCACTAGCCACTGCCCAGTCTGTTTCAGGAGCAGGCCTCAAATTCCTCAGGGGTTAAAGTGGGAAGAACCCGTGTGTGCGCATTTTTTGTGCTTTTCCAGAACTGGGTACCATTTGGCAGTTGATCACGCAATCTCCCCCGCTACCCCATTTCTACCCCTTTGTTTCCAGCCTCTTCTTTCCTCTGCAACCAAGGTTTCTTGTTTATCCAAGGTGGGGAGCTGAACTGAGACAATGTATGGAAAGGGTGCCTGGCAGGTAGCAAGCACCTTGTAGGGGGTCAGAAATGTTGCACCTTCTCTGAACTCCTCCATTGACCCTACAGATTCCCCAGTCCCTGGCCCTGCCCTTTCCCTCATTCACTCAGCAGGCATCAGCAGAGTCCCATCTATGCGCTCCTGGCCTCTCAGCAAATGCTCTGTCCCCTACTCCCCTATCTGTGCAGGCTGAAGCTATGTGCATAGTTGGGATGAGGGCTGTGTTGTCTCAACACCACGCTGCCCTGTGGTGGGGGCGTGCCGGTGGTCGTGGGTGGCTCTGATGCTCCGGCTCCGACCCACAGGCACCATGACTCCTGTGAGGATGCAGCACTCCCTGGCAGGTCAGACCTATGCCGTGCCCCTCATCCAGCCAGACCTGCGGTGAGAGGAGGCCGTCCAGCAGATGGCAGATGCCCTGCAGTACCTGCAGAAGGTCTCTGGAGACATCTTCAGCAGGTGGGTGCTGCCACTCACCCCCACCTGATGAGAGGGCCATCCCTGTCCTGGGCAATCCCAGCAACACACCCTCTGGGAGCAGCCCCCTTGGGGAATCCCGGTCCTGGGGAACCCATCTGGCTTCCCTGTGTGGGAGGGGCTGAAGTGAGAGCCCAACTTGGAAGCTTTTACTCCTGGGAGTCCGAGAGCTCACTCCCTTCCACCCCACTTAGCCTCCTGGTTTCCTGTGGTGGCTCTGCTCTCACAACTCATGCTTTTCCTCCCATTGGAGGGCCTATTCCTTCACGTTTTCCTGCAGCCAACAAATATTTACCCAGTAGTGCTCGTGTGCAAGGCAGTGTGGGAATCTCTATATATCCAGCCACGGATAAGGCAACATACCTCTCCACCTGGAGCGCACATTCTGGCAGGAGAGAAAGACCTAAATAAGCAATAGATGATTAGTTCTTCAATAACAGTTGTGACAAGGTCTATTGATAATATTTTGTAATCACTAATATTCATATAAACCGTGCACCACCATTGATTTGAGTGCATTAACTCACACTTCATGAGCAGGCACTGCCGTCATCTCATTTTATAGATGAGGAAACTGAGGCACAGAAAGGCTGAGAGACCTGGCCTAGTGACAGAGCCAGGATTCAAAGCCATAGATCATGGTCCTGGGTTATGTAGGTTATTACTGCATCTGTTCAGGGGAGATGGGGTACTGTGAGGCTCGTCATGGGAAGCCTGGCTTGGTCTCAGGTCAGGGAAGGCAGATGTGAGGAAATGACATTTATGGTAAAGTCTGAGGGTTGAGTGGGTAGGTTGGGAAGAACATTCCAGAAAGAAGCACATGAACTACAGCCTGGAGGTGGAGGACCTAAAAGGAAGCCAGCATGGCTGGAGCACGGAGTGGCCATTGAGGGAGGCGAGCTGGAGGGCTGCAGCTTCTTGTATTGGCAGTGCTGACCTCGCACAGTCCTTGGGCTCCAGTGACTTCACTCAGTGTTTATCTAACATGAGTGAGTGAATGGTGTTTGCTGTTTTTTTGGCAAAGGTCCCAGGGGTTGTCGGGTACACAGGTCCTGTCTTTGGCCATAAGCAAACTGAAATGAGGCTTGGTCTCCTTCCCAGGATTCCACACCATGCCTCACATGGTAGACCCCAGCGGGAAGTATGTGACTGCCTGACTCAGGTGCCTCTCGTGGTCCAAGCCATCCCTGCCCTGTCCCTTCCCTGGTTGTTGCCAGACCTGGAGCCCCTGCTCCTTCGCTTTGCAGCCTCCTCTTCTGTCACCAACTGGGAACCCACTTCTTCCTGAAAGTCCTCCCCCACGGACTCACCGGCTTGCCCCAAGCTTGTCAAGAATGTCCCAGTAACCAGGGGACACACACTGAAGTGACTGAGGGGTTACCTTGGAGTTGATGCCTTGGCTCAGATCCAGCTCCCCTGTTTTCTTCCTCTGTAACCTTGGGCAACCCAACCCCTCTAAGCCTCGGTGTTCTCATTTGTGAAGTTGTGGTAATAATGGTAGCTTCCTGGTAGAATTATTGTAAATATTAAATTAATCAAAACATGCAAAGGAATGGAACAGTGCCTGGCACCTAGGAAGCCTTCAGGAAATGCTATCTCTTCCCTGTTGATAATCTTGACCCGTACACTGCCTTTGGTTGCCATTCATGAACCTGCCACCAATAGTAACAAAGTGCTGGATGCACCTTTTGTGCTTATCTTTGTGCTAAATGTGCCCGAGGGAAGCCTAGGGAAGAGGATGCAGGTCTTTAAGAGCCATCAGCTCCAGATTATGGCCACCCCATGTCCAGCACTTAGAATGGAGGCCAAAACCATTCCCTCGGAAATTGTGTTTCCTTGCCAAGATGGGGACTGCGTGGTTGCCCTTCTCTGAGGGCAGCGCTGGATTTTTGGCGTCTTTCCTTTCCTGTCCTGGTACTTGGCACCTTGTAGACAGTTGCATGTCCCCTGCCCAGGGATGGGATGAGGAGAGGGCAGGAAGGCATTTCCTGGGTAGTGGAGTGCTGCGTTCATTGAGTGTGGGTTCTCCAAGCTGCTGGCACAGCGCAGGGAGGGCCAGATGCCTCTCAGGAGCCTTGGGCCTGAGTCCTGGCTCCCTCACTCCTGGGTTCCAGGTCACTGCATCTGTCTCTCCACCATGTGCTCCACCTCGTGCTGGACCTTAAGAGATACCAATTATGTGGCTGCCACTGTGTCCTAGAGGCTGGAATGGGAACACATAGGGCGAGATTGATTGTTAATTGCTAGCATGAACCGCGTGGGCTTCTCAGGGTCTAGAGTGGAGAGAAATCGGTAAGAATTGGTGGCACGCCTGTCAGAACTCCCCAGACCAAGCTAAGCAGAAATTAACCAATCAGTAGAGCAGCCTTCGGAGTAAGGGCTAAAATGATGTCCTCAGGGCCTGGTTTTGCTTTCCTTCCATGTCAGTTTGCTTCTTTGGGTCTGGCTGCATTCCCAGACAGGCCATGCTGTCGTGGTAGCAAGGTGACATGACACAGGGTCAGGTCCAGCAGGAAAGAATGCTCTCCTGTGTCCCCACTTCCTCCAGAAGCCACACTCACCCATCCCACCTGGCTTGGTCCTCATGTCTATCCCAGAATCCATTACTGGGGCCAGGGGACTATGACACAACCACTTGGCTTAGACTGAGGAGCTCTGTGGGCAGCCCCACCTGAAGCTCTGGGACTAAGCCTGCGAGAGAGATGGATTCCCCAAGGGAAATGGGGCCATTGCTTGAGTAAAAAGGAAATAGTTGCTGAAGAGGAAAACCACGTGCTTACTCCACACAGGGCAGACTCCTGGAAGAGGGGGGCAGGGTAGGGAGGTGGATATGCAGGTTGCCCTGGTGGGGTCTGGAAATGGGGGCCGCAGGCTTGGAGGGAGGCCTCAGTGTGGCTTGGAACGTGGTGTATGGTGGTCTGCCGCGAAGGCCGGCCTGCACAGGGGTGGGAGGGGGGTGCTTCTGCATGGGAAGCACAGACAGCGCTGCCTCTCCCTTGCACTCAGCTCTCGGGGCATGAGAGGCTGACTTTCCGTGAGCCTGTGGGCCAGGCCTCTTTGAATGGGGCTGAGGGAGCTTTGCCCTGGTTCCTTTGTGTCCCCACGGTGCCACGGGAGGCTCCCTGGCAGGGTGTGGGGCAAGGCAGTGAGTGAAGAGTTGGGATGAGTGAGTTAGGGCCCACGGATTACTCAAGACAGGACTTCACGTTGATTCAGGAGTGTTAGGGAGCTGTGATTGGATTTTGAGCAGGGCAGGGATGGGACAGAAGAGTTTGGGGAAGGTTCCTCAGGCATCCGTCACGGA
This sequence comes from Homo sapiens, assembly GCF_000001405.40. Taxonomy (NCBI): domain Eukaryota; kingdom Metazoa; phylum Chordata; class Mammalia; order Primates; family Hominidae; genus Homo; species Homo sapiens. The sequence continues at coordinate 113,592,026 of NC_000002.12, forward strand.
AGGGATAAGAAGGGAGAGAGAGTGGATGCCGGGGACACCCAGAAGCTGTTATTGTAGTCAGGATGTGACAGGGGTGAGGCTACAGACAGGGGACTTGCAAGCAGGGAGGGCAGGGTGAGACATTCAGAGGAAACGACGACAGGAAATGGTGACAGATAGGGAATGAGGATGAAGGGAAGGGAGAGCCAGTGACGACTGGCAGTGGAGTGGGGAGCACCGCCACCTCTCCTCCTCCACTTGCCCCTCCTGTGGCACTGGACAAGTTAGTGGGCTTTTCGTTGTCCATGGGCTTTTTTGGTGGGGATGTGACCAGCTTTGAACCCTTCCCCTTAAACATGCTCCTCCTGCACGGAAGAGACAGGGGCAGGGGAGAGACTCTCTCCCCACCACCCAGCTCAGGCCCCAGCACAGCCCGGCTTCTGGCCTCACTGGCGTCTGTGCCCAGTGACGCAGGCAGGTGAGCTCCTGGCAAATTAGCATTGCAGGCTGTGCTCTCTCCTCCTGCTCTGCTGCAGCTGGGAGTGTGCAGAGACTGGAGGGGATGACAGTCACCCCTCTGTTTTCTGTGGTGGCTCTGTTTTCTGTGGTGCTGGATGCACCTCTGTTTTCTGTGTTGGCTCCCAGAGAGTGCACGGTCCCTGCTGATTGAAAGAAGGATGAAGGGCAGAAGAGGGGCGGGGAGCTGTGTGCCCTAAGATCTCATTGCCTTTTTATGCCGATTAACATGCTTTTAGCCCCTACTGAGCTTATAGTTAACAGAAGTTTCCAGGTCTTTCTTCACCTGAACTGTGTCTAAAGCAAGTTCCCTCCACCTTCTGTATTTATACGCTTGATTTTTAAAACCTAAATGGGCTTCACATTTATTCCTTGTAAATTTCATCTTGGTGATTGCAGTCTACCCTCTGGCCTTTAAAAATTGTCTGAGCCTTGATTCGATCATGAAACCAGCTTACCCTTCCCCTGTGTGCTGGCCCCAGTTTTCTAACCAGGTGTTGAATGAACTGCCAGATCCCTCCGTGCAAGGCTGGAATCAGTCCATTGTTCAACTGTGCCCTTTGGGGCTGTGGTTCATTTGGCTCTGATTTTTCCTATATGTTCTCTCCTCCAACCCCCATAGCTCCATCTTGTCTACAAGATTTTGTTAGAAGCCGTCAAAATCCTGCTGACTCGAGATGCACTGTGCTGCATGTTTTCCCCGGGCACAGCAGGCTAATAATCCTGTTACAAAGAGAAATGCTGTACATTTCGAGCAGTGCTGGCCCCTGGGACTCACCGTGGCCTTTTCTAAGTGCTTACAGACTCTGTTTAATAATCCATTCCAGAAATTTTCCAGGGCTCATTGTTGAGCTTGGTGTTCGCAACTTTGAGTGATCAGCCCTTCTCCTTTGTGGGAGCACCAGGACAGAGCAGCCTTTGTCCCTCCCCAGTCTCAGTTCCCTCCCATTGCCCCTGTGGACCTCGAATGCAGAGCTTATGCACCTACTGAAGGTCGTGTCAGCACCCAAGGCAGAATGAGGCTGTCCTGGGAACTAGGGTAAATTAAAACAGCTTGTGCTGGAGGACCCTTTACAGCAGATGAAGGCCTCTCCCCAGCCAGAAAAGATGGAGCACACGCTGGGTGGTGGCCCCGCTTCCTCACTGAAAGGAGATGGTGCTCTTCTTTTTTCTTTCTGAATTGTGGCCACCTTCATACCAGTCTGTCATGGAACACTTAAGCCGCTTGAGTGCCTGCTGGTACTCCCAGCCCTGCCATGCCTGAGCCCCCTGCACACAAGGAGCCAGGAGTAATCAGGGCAGACCCATTAGGGCACGGGGACTTCTGGATTGTGAAATTGGCTCTCTGGGGGCCAAGGCCTTCTAACGTTGGTGGAAGTGGCTTTGGCTTATTGGGTCGGATTCTAGGCCATTCATTCCAACCTTTAGAGACATCCCAGCTTTCCCTAGCCCAGAGTCTGCAGCCCCTCCACCATCCCACATCCTCCCCCTCCCTTTCCTCATGAACCCCAGTCGCGCCTCTGCCTTCTCAAACCCCTCCACCATCCCACACCCTCCTCCTGCCCTTCCTCATGAACCCCAGTCGCGCCTCTGCCTTCTCATCCCTGCGCACCACACAGGCTCGCTCGTGCCCGGTGAGTGCTGAGGCTGCTCTGCACATGGAGTGTGGCCCTGTGGGCAAGGGCTGGGCTCTTGGAGGTAGGGGAGCTACAGGGGCGACTGGGAGGAGGATGTCGTGTTACACACGCATCAGAGTTAACTTTGCAGTGAGAGCGGCCTTGCTGCGGCCAAAGAACATGGAAAAGCATGAGTGGGGTGATGTGTGCCTTAAAGCATCAGACACTTGGGCCTCGGGCATCAGGAGCCAGCCACAGGGATGTCTGGGGAAATGGCGTTCCATGAGATGCAAGCACACAAGAATGCACTTGGCACATCTGGGGAACAGCAGGCAGCTGATATCACTGGGCCCACCCTGCACCAGGGAGGATGGAAGCAGGTGAGGAGCTAGACCACACTGAGGCGGTGGTCGGGACTCAGGGTTTGCTCAGTGAGCCGTTCACTATGTGCAGGGGCAGTTCCCCGTCTGAATTTAGGTGACGACACTCAGGTCCAGCCTTGCCAGTCTCAGCCTCCGGTCTCCGTTCCCCCTCTGCAGAGGCCACTTTGTCTGCTGCACGTGATCATGAGGGGCTGTGAAGTGCTTGCCCCATCAGTAGCCATGTGTGCATGTGTAAATACCATCCTCTGTGTGCCCTGGAGGCTGTCCTTCAGATAGCATGTACAGGTGGCAGCATAGGGCCTGTCCCTACTGAGAGTGCAGGGAACTCAGCACCGTCAACTCCTCGACCCTGCAGGTCAGATTATCCTTGTAGAGGCCCCCTGGATGGCACCAAGATCGGCCCTGGCAAGCAGGTGACCCTGACTTCAGAGCCCTTGCCTGAGGGCCTGGCCTGGCAGCTCTGCTGTTAGAAGCAGGAGGTGTGCAGGGGGTGGGGAGCAGCCCAGCCTCTGTGATCTTCTCCATGGCAGGATCTCCCAGCAGGTAGAGCAGAGCCGGAGCCAGGTGCAGGCCATTGGAGAGAAGGTCTCCTTGGCCCAGGCCAAGATTGAGAAGATCAAGGGCAGCAAGAAGGCCATCAAGGTAGTCCCCATGCCCCTGTGTCCTGAGGCTACTGGGCAGTCCCTCCATTTCCCCGTGCCTCTGAGGCTGCCCAGTCTCTGCCCTGCTGCCCACCTGTACCTTGGGCTTTCTTCTCGCCCAGGCTCCCAACTCCACCCTCTTCCTGCCAAGCAATCCTAGCCCTCTGAGCCTCTTGGGGCCCCCTCAGACTTGTCCCTGTGTCCACAGGTGTTCTCCAGTGCCAAGTACCCTGCTCCAGAGCGCCTGCAGGAATATGGCTCCATCTTCACGGGCGCCCAGGACCCTGGCCTGCAGAGACGCCCCCGCCACAGGATCCAGAGCAAGCACCGCCCCCTGGACGAGCGGGCCCTGCAGGTCTGCTGGCTGCGCACATAACTTAGCCTGTCACACACCAGGAGGACTGGATGCTGGGGAGGAGCCGGGGCCACCATAGGGTTCTGTCCCCCAGAGGAGGCTGACTGGGATGGGGTGGCAGCTGATTAGGCCCAGCACCAAATATTCACCATCCCTTGGCCATCCTGGCCCTCCCAGGAGAAGCTGAAGGACTTTCCTGTGTGCGTGAGCACCAAGCCGGAGCCCGAGGACGATGCAGAAGAGGGACTTGGGGGTCTTCCCAGCAACATCAGCTCTGTCAGCTCCTTGCTGCTCTTCAACACCACCTAGAACCTGTATGGCCAGAAGGCAGGGCCGAGGGGTGTGGGCGGGAGGCCCGGCCTGGCTTAGTGGGGACCCAGGGCATCAGACACAGGTACAGCACATGGGCCAGGAGCCAGGGGGTGACTGGGGTGGCTCGGCTCGGGAGGCTTGGGACCCCAAGTGCACGCTGTGCCCCTGATGATGTGGGAGAGGAACATGGGCTCAGGACAGCGGGTGTCAGCTTGCCTGACCCCCATGTCACCTCTGTAGGTACAAGAAGTATGTCTTCCTGGACCCCCTGGCTGGTGCTGTAACAAAGACCCATGTGATGCTGGGGGCAGAGACAGAGGAGAAGCTGTTTGATGCCCCCTTGTCCATCAGCAAGAGAGAGCAGCTGGAACAGCAGGTGGGAGGGGTGGGACAGAGGTGGAGACAGGTGCAGTGGCCCAGGGCCTTGCCAGAGCTCCTCTCCAGTCAAGGCTGTTGGGCCCCTTATTCCACCCATGGGAGGTGCACACAAGGTCTTGTTGGCTGCCCCTGCAGGTCCCTGTCACCTCTCACATGTCCCTGCCTAATCTTGCAGGTCCCTGAGAACTACTTCTATGTGCCAGACCTGGGCCAGGTGCCTGAGATTGATGTTCCATCCTACCTGCCTGACCTGCCCGGCATTGCCAACGACCTCATGTACATTGCCGACCTGGGCCCCGGCATTGCCCCCTCTGCCCCTGGCACCATTCCAGAACTGCCCACCTTCCACACTGAGGTAGCCGAGCCTCTCAAGGTAGGTGAGCTGGGTTCTGGGATGGGAGCTGGGCCGGGGACCTCCCTGCTCACACACCTTCTTCCCTAGACACCCCACACTTTGTGTTTCAGACCTACAAGATGGGGTACTAACACCACCCCCACCGCCCCCACCACCACCCCCAGCTCCTGAGGTGCTGGCCAGTGCACCCCCACTCCCACCCTCAACCGCGGCCCCTGTAGGCCAAGGCGCCAGGCAGGACGACAGCAGCAGCAGCGCGTCTCCTTCAGGTGGGAGCAGCTCTTTGAGGCCACCTGATTTCTGGCGTGCTCAGTGCACTCGGGTGGATTTTCTGTGGGTTTGTTAAGTGGTCAGAAATTCTCAATTTTTTGAATAGTTTCCATTTCAAATATCTTGTTCTACTTGGTTCATAAAATAGTGGCTTTCAAACTGTAGAGCTCTGGACTTCTCACTTCTAGGGCAGAGGGAGCCTGAACAAGTGAGGCTCTGGGTTCCTCATTCCTAATTAAACCAATGGAAAGAAGGGGTCTAATAACAAACTACAGCAACACATTTTTCATTTCAGCTTCACTGCTGTATCTCCCAGTGTAACCCTAGCATCCAGAAGTGGCACAAAACCCCTCTGCTGGCTCATGTGTGCAACTGAGACTGTCAGAGCATGGCTAGCTCAGGGGTCCAGCTCTGCAGGGTGGGGGCTAGAGAGGAAGCAGGGAGTATCTGCACACAGGATGCCCGCGCTCAGGTGGTTGCGGAAGTCAGTGCCCAGGCCCCACACAGTCTTCAAAGGTCTGGCCTCCCCAGCGTGGGGCTCCTCGTTTGAGGGGAGGTGACTTCCCTCCCAGCAGGCTCTTGGACACAGTAAGCTTCCCCAGCCCTGCCTGAGCAGCCTTTCCTCCTTGCCCTGTTCCCCACCTCCCGGCTCCAGTCCAGGGAGCTCCCAGGGAAGTGGTCGACCCCTCCGGTGGCCGGGCCACTCTGCTAGAGTCCATCCGCCAAGCTGGGGGCATCGGCAAGGCCAAGCTGCGCAGCATGAAGGAGCGAAAGCTGGAGAAGAAGAAGCAGAAGGAGCAGGAGCAAGGTGAGCGGGCCCTGGAGCCTGCGGTCGGAGGGCCTTGGGCAAGATCGCCTCCTCCCCTCCAGCCCTGAGTCCACCGGGTGCTTTCTGCCCAACCCCTGCTCTTGCCAGCTGGCCCCTGCTTCCCCTAGGGCACATGCTGGAAGCCCTGGGCTGCCACCAGAGGTCCTCAGCCCTCCTGCCTGGGCTATGGCTCCTTCCTGGTTTGGGAGCCATAGTGGAGCTTTCCTCTCTAAGCTCACCCAGCTCAAACTGTGACAGGAGAATCTTCTTCGACTGCCAAGAGCGGTCCAAGGCAATGGTCAGCCACTGCAGCCTCCTGAGATATTTTTAGAGACTGGACCTGAGGCCTCTGGAGGCTACTGATGATGCCTGCTGTGAACGCAGACACTGGTGTGATGCGATGCCTGCGCCTGCAGCGGCAGTGCCCTGGGCACTATGGTTTTGAGCTTGTACCCAGCGCTGCTTTTGCCTTGCTCTGTGACCCCAGGCAAGCTGCCTCACCTCTCTGGGCCAGTTTCCCCATCGTACAGTGGTGCTGCACACCCTGGCCCTGTCCCCGAGGTGGCTGGGAGGTGGCTCCTCAAACAGCCGCTTTCTCATCAGTGCCCAGTGCTGGGTCAGGGATCGACTGAGGCTCTGAGCTAACTGGGAAACACAGTGGCCTTGGAGGGCTGGGGAGTGTCATGGGGGTGGGGACAGGGAGCCACCGGTCGCATGTGACTGAACTCTTCACCCCAGTCTGTGACTTTCCCGTTGCAGTGAGAGCCACGAGCCAAGGTGGGCACTTGATGTCGGATCTCTTCAACAAGCTGGTCATGAGGCGCAAGGGTAGGAGGCAGGGCCGCTGCCCGCCCTGGGCCGGCACATTGTAATTCTGTCCTGCCTTTTTCTTCCTGTATTTAAGTCTCCGGGGGCTGGGGGAACCAGGGTTTCCCACCAACCACCCTCACTCAGCCTTTTCCCTCCAGGCATCTCTGGGAAAGGACCTGGGGCTGGTGAGGGGCCCGGAGGAGCCTTTGCCCGTGTGTCAGACTCCATCCCTCCTCTGCCGCCACCGCAGCAGCCACAGGCAGAGGAGGACGAGGATGACTGGGAATCCTAGGGGGCTCCATGACACCTTCCCCCCCAGACCCAGACTTGGGCCGTTGCTCTGACATGGACACAGCCAGGACAAGCTGCTCAGACCTGCTTCCCTGGGAGGGGGTGACGGAACCAGCACTGTGTGGAGACCAGCTTCAAGGAGCGGAAGGCTGGCTTGAGGCCACACAGCTGGGGCGGGGACTTCTGTCTGCCTGTACTTCATGGGGGGACGGCTCCACCCAGCCTGCGCCACTGTGTTCTTCTCTTAAGAGGCTTCCAGAGAAAACGGCACACCAATCAATAAAGAACTGAGCAGAAACCAACAGTGTGCTTTTAATAAAGGACCTCTAGCTGTGCAGGATGCAAACGTCTCGGGGTCAGTGACTGCCTCCTGCCCCTGTTGGTCCCTAGGCAGTGGGGGCAGAAGCTCCCAGCTGACCTGTTTCTCTGGGATGAGAGGGAGGAGAGAAGGGCAGTTAGCAGGGGCAGCTGTTGCAGATGGGAGGAATAGTCTCCCACAAAAAAGGTTTCAGTGACAGACACGGGGTCTCTAAAAATAGTCATGCTGAGAGCCTAATGGCCCTTGGCACAATTGCTGGTGTTGGGGTAGAAGATGTCTTGGAGTTTGCTCAAGTGGTTGAGAGGGAGGGAGGTGCCATCGACTTGGAGGAACTGGCACCAAGCCAGGGAGATAGACATCCAGGCAAGGCTGTGGGGCAGGTTAGGGAGCAAGGCTGCAGGAGTGACTCAGGAAGAAGGTGGGGGAGGTGACAAGCCCCCAGGCAGGGGCCCTGTGGCCATGGGGATCTTTTTAAATTGAGACTAGGGGGTGAATAGTCCAGGGCAGCTAACTTTAGTTATTATAGAAAGGGCAGTAGCAGATGGGTCTGCTCCGTCTCGCTTCTAAGAAGGTGGGCAGGACAAATGGCAGCCTCCTGCAGAGGCCTAGTGAGAAGCCTGGCCCTCGGCCACACAGGATGGAAGACAGATTGGGTTCCACAGAGGGGAGCTGCCCTGGGAAGATCTCACGGATGGCCAGGACCCACCATTTCTTTGGGATTCCCGTTTTCTCCAACGGGCACTAATGCCTGTGCCTGGGTCCTGGCAACACTCTGGACTCCACACTCTCCTGGGTTTCACCTTTGTAGCAGGATCCCTGCAGACCAGGCCCATGACAAACACCGTCTCCAGCGGGCAGAGCAAAGGAAGGGCACAGCGCCAGGCAGTGGTGCAGCTGCCTGTCAGGATGAGGCCTACTTCTAGTGAAACTGGGCAGACAAAAGGCAGTGAGAAATGTGATCTCGGGGTGGTGGAGGCTCTAGGGAAAGGAAAAGGCAGGAGTGAACTTCCACACAGCAGCAATGGCAGAACCAAAGGTGGCTTTGACCTCCACGAGGGCTCAGATCCAGGCCAACAGCTTGTCCAGGACAGGGTGCCGGGTGTATCACTGGTCCAGGAGCACTATGCTGGCAGAATCCCTTTGGTGCCTGATGGCCCTGCCTTCGTGGGAACAGAGGCTAAGGCTTTGAGTTACAGCTGCCTCCCCAACAGTGCATCCCCTTCTCCCTCCTCAGCCTCAGGTAGGAGACAGGGCAGGCAACCCCCTTTCCTCTTCTCCCCTTCTCCAGCCCCTGTCTGTCCACCCAGCTGGAGGCAGCCAGGCTTGCCTATGGACTGGTTGACAGCCTTCATGCAGAGGTTCTCCACCAGAGCCTTTCTTGGGGGCCCCTGGCCTGGGCTCTGAGCTGGGAGTGAAGGGGATGACCCATGCGGACTGTTTGCTGCTTGTAGCTTTCCCTGGGAAAGACTCTGCCAGGCCTTGGAGCCAGACCAGGAGGCTTTATAAGGCCACCGCAAGCAGCAGGGCTCCAGATGACATCACAGGGAAGATCAAGAGGGTGTGGAGGGGCATCGAAGCCTCTCCAGGAGACAGGAGACGCTGGTCCAGTAGAGCCCTAGGGGCGACGCCACTCCCACTCACTGTCTACTCTCCTCTCACCTCTGCAACACTGGGGACACTCACAAGAGTGTGATCCAAGTCGGCCGTCGTCTTCTGCAGCTCTGGAGACCTGATGCTAGGGAAGGGCATGCCTGGCATCACCACACACCTGGGGGGAGACAGGAGCCTGGGGCCGGTGGGCCCACACATCACCAGCTGCTCCGTTCTACCATTTCTTCAGCCCTCTTGGCTGTGCCTGCAGCTCTGCCCCTCCCCTCTCTGCACCTACCACCCAGAGAGGGCTTGTTGAGCTCAGAGATCCCACCTAGGCCAATCCACTGGGTTCTGCGGCAGCGATGGCCTGCCTGATCTTCCACCTGCTCTCCCAGGGCCAAAGCCAGACCTGCTGAGCCCCTCCCTCCAGCCGGCTGGTCTGAGCAGTCACAGCCCGGCTTTGGGCTCCGATGGCAGCAGACGGCAGGTAGGGGTCCAGCTGCTGGAGCGAGGGCCGGCCACCTATCACAGCCAAGGAGATGAGCACAAGCACTACTTACTGGCCTAGGTTGTCAGAGAAGTTGATGCTCTCACTCATCTTTCCTCCAATCTTTCCCCTATGCCTGGTTGTGGTATTAAGTTACATGCAGACAACAGGGGCCAGAAGATGAACAATGGCCCATCCCACTCTAGGCATGGCTCCTCTCCACAGGAAAACTCCACTCCAGTGCTCAGCTTGCACCCTGGCACAGGCCAGCAGTTGCTGGAAGTCAGACACCTGCAGATCAAGACCACAGCATCAAGACCCTGTGACCTCTCAAAGGACCGGTGGAAAGGACACGGGAAGTCTGGGCTAAGAGACAGCAAATACACATGAACAGAAAGAAGAGGTCAAAGAAAAGGCTGACGGCAAGTTAACAAAAAGAAAAATGGTGAATGATACCCGGTGCTGGCAATCTCGTTTAAACTACATGCAGGAACAGCAAAGGAAATCCGGCAATTTGCGCAGTCATTCTCAACACCGGCCATGCAGCAAAATCATCAGTGGAAATTTAAAAAAATACACATGGCCAGGCCCCAGCCCAAATCACTAATAAGAATCTCCAGGGCTTCACCTGTTAGACTGGCAAAAATCCAAAAGTAAACACTTTGTGGAGAAACAGGCATTCCTAGACATTGCCGGTGGGATACAGAACAGTACAATTCTGATGGTAATCAGTTAACAAATTAAACATATTTATTTTATACTTTTAAACCCAGGAATCCCATATTTAGGAGTCTACTGAGACCAAACAGCATATGCTCCGGGTGTTTCCCTATAATCCGCCACTACTGTTGGAGCAAGAGGGCCCGGCAGTGTCCCCAGCTGCCAGCAGGCGGGCGTGCTGCCACTACACCTTGAGCAAGAGGACCCTGCAATGTCCCTAGCTGCCAGCAGGCGGCGTGCCACCACTATACAGTAAGCAAGAGGGCCCTGCAGTGCCCCGGCGCCAGCAGGGGGCGCTGGCGACCACTGTAAGCAAGAGAGCCCTGCGCCTCTCTGCGCCGGCGCCGGCGCGGCGCGCCTCTCTGCGCCGGCGCGGCGCGGGGTGCCTTTGCGACGGCGGAGTTGCGTTCTCCTCAGCACAGACCCGGAGAGCACCGCGAGGGCGGACCTGCGTTGTCCTCTGCACAGATTTCAGTGGTACTGCGAAGGCGGAGCAGAGTTCTCCTCAGGTCAGACCCGGGCGGGCGGGCGGGCTGAGGATACCGCGAGGGCGGAGCTGCGTTCTGCTCAGCACAGACCTGGGGGTCACCGTAAAGGTGGAGCAGCATTCCCCTAAGCACAGAGGTTGGGGCCACTGCCTGGCTTTGTGACAACTCGGGGCGCATCAACGGTGAATAAAATCTTTCCCGGTTGCAGCCGTGAATAATCAAGGTTAGAGACCAGTTAGAGCGGTTCAGTGCGGAAAACGGGAAAGAAAAAGCCCCTCTGAATCCTGGGCAGCGAGATTCTCCCAAAGCAAGGCGAGGGGCTGCATTGCAGGGTGAGGGTGAGGGTTAGGGTTTGGGTTGGGTTTGGGGTTGGGGTTGGGGTAGGGGTGGGGTTGGGGTTGGGGTTGGGGTTAGGGGTAGGGGTAGGGGTAGGGGTAGGGTCAGGGTCAGGGTCAGGGTTAGGGTTTTAGGGTTAGGATTTTAGGGTTAGGGTAAGGGTTAAGGGTTGGGGTTGGGGTTAGGGTTAGGGGTTAGGGTTGGGGTTGGGGTTGGGGTTGGGGTTGGGGTTGGGGTTAGGGTTAGCTAAACCTAACCCTAACCCCTAACCCCAACCCCAACCCCAACCCTACCCCTACCCCTACCCCTAACCCCAACCCCCACCCTTAACCCTTAACCCTTACCCTAACCCTAACCCAAACCCTAACCCTACCCTAACCCTAACCCAACCCTAACCCTAACCCTACCCTAACCCTAACACCCTAAAACCGTGACCCTGACCTTGACCCTGACCCTTAACCCTTAACCCTAACCATAACCCTAAACCCTAACCCTAAACCCTAACCCTAAACCCTAACCCTAACACTACCCTACCCTAACCCCAACCCCTAACCCCTAACCCTAACCCTACCCCTAACCCCAACCCCAGCCCCAACCCTTACCCTAACCCTACCCTAACCCTTAACCCTAACCCCTAACCCTAACCCCTAACCCTAACCCTACCCCAACCCCAAACCCAACCCTAACCCAACCCTAACCCCTAACCCTAACCCCTACCCTAACCCCTAGCCCTAGCCCTAGCCCTAACCCTAACCCTCGCCCTAACCCTCACCCTAACCCTCACCCTCACCCTAACCCAACGTCTGTGCTGAGAAGAATGCTGCTCCGCCTTTAAGGTGCCCCCCAGGTCTGTGCTGAACAGAACGCAGCTCCGCCGTCGCAGTGCCCTCAGCCCGCCCGCCCGGGTCTGACCTGAGAAGAACTCTGCTCCGCCTTCGCAATAGCCCCGAAGTCTGTGCAGAGGAGAACGCAGCTCCGCCCTCGCGATGCTCTCCGGCTGTGTGCTAAAGAGAACGCAACTCCGCCCTCGCAAAGGCGGCGCGCCGGCGGAGGCGCGGAGAGGCGCAGGCGCGCCGAGGCGCAGGCGCGGAGAGGCGCAGGCGCGCCGAGGCGCAGGCGCGGAGAGGCGCGGCGCTCTTGGGGAGACGCGGCGCAGGGCATAGACGTACGCCGGCGCCTCCCCGGAGGGGAGGGGTCGCTGGGCGGGCGGGAGTGAGGCGCGGCGCCGGCGCAGAGACGCACGTCGCTGGGCTGAGGGTGGCGGGGAGTGTTGCAGTCGTACATTCGCGCGCCGCCGGGCGGGGAGCGCGGGGGTGGCGCGGTGCAGGCGCAGAGACACACGTACCCGGCGGCGCAGAGACGAGTGGAACCTGAGTAATCTGAAAAGCCCGTTTCGGGCGCCCGCTGCTTGCAGCCGGGCACTACAGGACCAGCTTGCCCACGGTGCTCTGCCATTGCGCCCCCTACTGGCGACTAGGACAACTACAGGGCCCTCTTGCTTACAGTGCTGTCCAGCGCCCCCTGCTGGCGCCGGGGCACGGCAGGGCTCTCTTGCTCGCAGTATAGTGGTGGCATGCCGCCTGCTGGCAGCTAGGAACATTGCAGGGCCCTCTTCCTCACATTGTAGTGGCAGCACACCCGCCTGCTGGCAGCTGGGCACACTGCCGGGCCCTCTTGCTCGCATTGTCGTGGCTGCACGCCACATGCAGGCACATGGGGACTACGCAGGGCCCTCTTGCTCCCGGTGTGACGGCTGGCGTCCCATATTGGCCACCTCCTGCACCACTTAAAGTCAGAGCGCCAGTTATTAATCCCCATCAGTTCTGTAAATTAAAACTGAAAAGGAGCTATTACTGCGGAGAGCTGATGTCCCAGTTATTAACTTGGAAGACAGCTTTTCACCAAGAGGCAGTACAAAGATGGAAGATAACTTCATTGAAAAGAAATACAGTGTAAAGAGCTTATTGTACAAAAATAGGGAGGAGTAGGCTGATACTGCATGAAAACAGCCTAAGAGTCCTGTGCAGGGATTTTTATTTTGGACTTCTTCACATTCCTACCTCTGTCTCAAGTCTCCGCCTGTTTTCTTTGGTTTTCCTGCTACTGCCTTAGGTCCCCGACTTGCCCCACTTAGCCTTGTGGGACCTCCTCACTTGATTGAGGTACATGTGTGGTGATCAATCCGAATCCACTCTGGCACCAGCCTCCTTCCCACCATACCAGGCAGGCTGACAGCGGTCACGTTTGTATCTACTGCAGCTGCCTCTTTTGAATGTCTTTCTCTGCCTTAATCTGTACTTATGGTGCCAGGTTTCTCTTAAGAATGTCCCCTTTGTCCTTCTTATCAGCATGTAGCTAGCAATATTCTGACATTTTTATTGCAGAATGAATGATGATTGGGGCTTCTTTTTTTTTTTTTTTTTTGAGACGGAGTCTCACTCTGTCACCCAGGCCAGACTGCGGACTGCAGTGGCGCAATCTCGGCTCACTGCAAGCTCCGCTTCCCGGGTTCACGCCATTCTCCTGCCTCAGCCTCCCGAGTAGCTGGGACTACAGGCGCCCGCCACCGCGCCAGCTAATTTTTTGTATTTTTAGTAGAGACGGGGTTTCACCTTGTTAGCCAGGATGGTCTCGATCTCCTGACCTCATGATCCACCCGCCTCGGCCTCCCACAGTGCTGGGATTACAGGCGTGAGCCACCGCGCCCATCCGATTGGGGCATCTTAAGAGAAGTTCTAGGGTGTTTCTGCGTAGGTACCTCTTCTCCCTCCTAACCACAATTGACAAGTGCCCATCCACTCCAGCACTAGAGATGCTACTAATATGTGCATTTTTGGTGGTCCCTCCAGGTGAGCCTTCACAGACTTTCCCTTTTCCAGGAGCTCCCCCTCCTGTTCATGTCTAGCTAGCTATCTACTCTAACAGAGCCCACTATCCTGTGTCTTTCCCAAAAATAGTGAGGGAATGATTAATTGGAAACCATAAGAAATGATATGCATGTAGATGAAAACTTTACAACTTACACAAATAATCACTCAAAATCATCCTTACACTAAAAATGCAAAACTATACAATTTCTAGAAGAAACTATAGAGGAAAAGCTATGTGCCTTTGCGTTTCGTAATGAATTTTAACAAATGACACAGAAGGTTGATATACACAGAAGAAATGACAATGTGGATTTCTTAATATTTACAGTTTATACTCTGGAAGAGACCTTGTTAAGAGAACAAAAAGACAAGCCACATGTTGAAGAAAATATTTGCAAAATACAGATCTGAGAATTTGTATTCAAAATATATAAAAAATTGTTAAAACTAAACAATAAGTTAAACAACCCAATTAAAAATGCACACAGATCTGAACAGACACTTCACCAAAGAAGATCTACAGATGGCAAGTACACTTACAAAAAGATGCTCAACATACTAGAGAACTGAAAACCACAAAAAGATAGCACAGCTGGTCTATATCTCTTAGAACTGCTAAGCTCTTTAACAAATGACAAATTGCTGGAGGAAAACCAAGAACTCTTTTCATTGCCAGTGGAACACAGTGTATAAGACCAAACTATGCCACCCCGAAATATAATGGTAGGAAACCAGAATATGCAACCCCAAAATATGTCCCTTTGGCTTAAGAATTATTCCAAGCTAATTATTTTGAAAAAAAATGCTAACAAAGGAAGTTGTGAAAATAGAGAAGTTACTTGTGTAAGGAAAATTTACATCTATAAAGGAAATCACCATTTAAAAGCTACCTCTCTCGACGCCAAGAAGAGAAGGATAACTAAATCACTGAAGAGTCTTATCAATGGAGAATGCGTGGACTTAAGTCTGTATAACGCACCTTACCCTTGTCTAATGTGCTTTTGCTGGTTAGCTCCCCACTACTGCACCTCAAATCTTCTTTCTTTAAGTTGAAGATAGTATTTATGCTTGAATTGAAAGCCACCTGTTGGAGATTTACTCATTTTTCCCTGAGTATCTCCCATGTAACCATAAGATATACATGTTTTTAAACTTTTCTGTTTTTCTCATTTTAATCTGTCAGTTTTTACAGAGCGTTCCATCTAAGAATTCCAAAAACAGAAAATTATTTTTCCTCCCCTATTACAAGTTGTGCATTTTTTTCCAAAGCTAAACAAGTCTCACCTTACAATCCAAAAATAACATTCCTAAGTATTTTGACAACTACTTTGATGTTATTTCCCATCAAAAGCTACCATGCAGTTATTTACAGAAGCCCTATTCATAATGACCAAAGGAAAAAAAAGGAATCAGAAAGTCTTACAATAGATGACTGTGTGGGAATCCACTCAGACATCAAAAGTTGTTATAAAGATTATTTAAATGAAAACATTTGAGATACTGAAGATGAAGAAATCTTACCAGAACTTACTTTATCCAATTAAAGCAGAGCTCCCAGAAAAATACAGCTGCCATTAACCCCATCCAAGGAGTTTCTTGCAAATTCAGCTGCCATGAAGACAGCGTACTCTTTCGCATTAGCATTGATAAATGAAAATGAAATTCTAAGCTCCCAACTGACTGAACAGACCCACTCTTGGCTGAGGGGACCCCAGAGTAACTTTCAAAACTGAGTTCTCAGCTTTGCTAGGATGGGATGATGGGGTTAAGATACACATCGTTATACCCCCTCCTTTGCTAACCATGATGAGGCTTTCTTCCCTAAGGATTTAACAGAAACCAGCCCTTTCAAAGCCTCCACCACTGATATCAACCTCTCCTTTCTTGCCTGATAAGAGACCACCCACGATGGAGAGGTTCTGGCCAGCGTACAGAGGATGCACAGAGCGAGTTTTCATGTCCTCTGCTTCACCTTTTAATGTCAGAGGGCTGAAAACTCCACCCTGGGATCATGCTAACACTGCCATTTTTTGTACATGGGACCCATGAAGAAGCAAGAAACTCAATTGTGCGTGCATGCATTTCTCCTTCCATAAATATTCATGACTCCTCCTAGAGCTTATTAAATAAATCTATTTGGCCATTCCACTCAGCATAAATTGCTATTTCCTTTACCTCCTCCTTGAAGCGTCTGTTTCTGGCTTCTGGCTGGAGGCTATGCTTCCCAGCCTGTCAGAAGGACAACCCTGCAGGCTACAACCCTTTATAGATAATAAATCTCTCACTGGGTGGGTGGCTCATGCCTGTAATCCCAGCACTTTGGGAGGCCGAGGTGGGTGGATCACCTGAGGTCAGGAGTTTCAGACCAGCCTGGCCAACATGATGAAACCCTGTCGCTACCAAAACTGCAAAAAATTAGCCAGGTGTGGTGGTGGGCATCTGTAATCCCAGCTAATCAGGAGGCTGAGGCAGGAGAATCGCTTGAACCCAGGAGGCGGAGGTTGCAGTGAACCAAGATCATGCCATTGCACTCCAGCCTGGGCAACAAGAGTGAAACTCTGTCTCAAAAAAAAATAAAAATAAGCATAGAAATGAAGAAATGTCTCCTTTCCAAATTTATGAACCTCATCATTTTTCCGTTGACAGCATTAAAAGGTTCAAAAAGACCTTTCCATACTCTCCCACAGAAGCCCTAGAAATTGTCATTTTGTTAATCATTCTGGATGCCTGAGAACTTGTAATCCAATGAGTAGAAAGTTTGGTACCCCATTTATGGCTGTCAACCTGCCAGTTCTCAGGAGTTTGTATAAGCCTAAATCTGAAAGGATCTCATCCCATTAGGACCCTTGTCTCCTTTTCTGTTGCCTTTGCCCACTGGCTATGGCAACAGGGGTCTTTCTTTCTCCTTGGCTATCTTTGGATATGGGGGCTCCGTCTTCTGTGCCACCTTAGGGAATGCCTTTTGCAGGCATGGCTAAGTCATTAAAAAGCCTACAGTTTCAGTAACATTTTGAGTGAGCACTCTCTGAAGCTGCGTTGGAATCTCAGGCTTCTTTGTCTGGAAGATAACTCTTGGGCTACAAGTTTCTTATCCTAGCTTTGGTTTTGAGGCCTCTCTGTTCTCCTCTTGGGTTGGAAGTTATTCCTGGCTTTTTGTTTCAAGGGGTCTCTGTGATCTTGATCTTGCTGCTTTCATGGGAACTTCTCAGTTCACTGAATTCTCCCTTCTCAAACCTCTGCTGACTATGTGTTCCACCAATATGGAACTAATTCTACTTCTTTTCCTGTTTGCATGACTTTACTAAGAATTATTTACAACTTTAATGGCTCCTTTGAGAAAATTTTTATCTTCCAAATTGCCTCCTTTTAGACCTTTCCTTTCCCAGTTGAGTCTCTCAACTCCCTATAATCACTGAAACTTCAGGCACCCCACTCCATGCCTTGGAGGCTCTCAATGTGCTCAAGAATCTGCAAAAGCAAACACCTGGGGCTGAAGAATAAAATAGAAAAAAAATTATTTCTCAGCCTCCATAAGATTCTATGTCAAAAAAAAGAAAATCTTTAAAATCTCCAAAAATATTGGTGAGAAAAAAGCCTTAGCCCTCATATGAAGAAGAAAAAACTTGTTCCATTTTCCAGATACATAGTTATAATACAAATATAAAATGGGGCAAAGACAAAAACCAAGTCTTCTATATAAACTAGTGAATTTTGTAGTTATTGTAATCACATTAGTCAGGGGTCTCCAGAAAGGCAGAATCAATAGGATATATGTAGACAGATGAGAGAAGATTCATTAGGGGAACTGGTTCACATAATTATGGAGGCTGAGAAGTTCCACAATAGCCTGTCTCCAAGTTGGAGAACCAGGAAAGCTGGTAGCATGGCTCACTCCAGATACAAAGGACTCAGAATCAGGGAAGCCAATGGTGTAACTCTGATTGTGAGGCCAAAGGTCTGAGACCCTGAAGTTCTGATGTCAAGGGCAGGAGAAGAAGGATGTTTCCATTTCAGAAGGAGATAATTCACCTTTCCTCTTCCTTGTTATTCTATCTGGGCTCTCAACCAATTGGATGCTGCCTGTATTCATCCATTTTTATACAGCTATGAAGAAATACCTGAGTCTGAGCAATTTATAAAGAACAAAGGGGTTTAATGGGCTGACAGTTCCACATGGCTGCAGGGGCCTCACAATCATGGCAGAAGGGGAAGCAAAGCTATCCCTCTTCACATGGCAGCAACAAGAAGTGCTGAGCCAAAGGGGAAAAGCCCCTTATAAAACCATCAGATCATGAGAACTCACTCACTGTCATGAGAACATCATGGCAGTAACCACCACCACGATTCAGTCACCTCCCATTGGGTCCCTCCCACGACATGTAGGTATTACAGGAACTACAATTCAAGATGAGATCTGGGTGGGGACACAGCCAAACCATATCAGTGCCCATCCACATTGGGTCATGGTTATCTCAGTGTCTTCCAGAAACGCCCTCATAGATATGCCCAGAAATCGTGTTTGACCAGCTGTGTGTGTCTCTCAATCCAGTCAAGTAGACGTCTACAATTAACCATCAGAATATTTATGCCTGATTCATGGCTGAAATCGTGTTTGACCAGCTATGTGTGTCTCTCAATCCAGTCAAGTAGACGTCTACAATTAACCATCAGAATATTTATGCCTGATTCATGGCTGAAATCGTGTTTGACCAGCTATGTGTGTCTTTCAATCCAGTCAAGTAGATGTCTACAATTAACCATCAGAATATTTATGCCTGATTCATGGCTGAAATCGTGTTTGACCAGCTATGTGTGTCTTTCAATCCAGTCAAGTAGATGTCTACAATTAACCATCAGAATATTTATGCCTGATTCATGGCTGAAATCGTGTTTGACCAGCTATGTGTGTCTCTCAATCCAATCAAGTAGATGCCTAAAGTTAACCGTCAGAATATTTATGCCTGATTCATGGCTGAAATCGTGTTTGACCAGCTATGTGTGTCTCTCAATCCAGTCAAGTAGATGTCTAAAGTTAACCATCAGAATATTTATGCCTGATTCATGGCTGAAATCGTGTTTGACCAGCTATGTGTGTCTCTCAATCCAATCAAGTAGATGCCTAAAGTTAACCGTCAGAATATTTATGCCTGATTCATGGCTGAAATCGTGTTTGACCAGCTATGTGTGTCTCTCAATCCAGTCAAGTAGATGTCTAAAATTAACCGTCAGAATATTTATGCCTGATTCATGGCTGAAATTGTGTTTGACCAGCTATGTGTGTCTCTCAATCCACTCAAGTAGATGTCTAAAATTAACCATCAGAATATTTATGCCTGATTCATGGCTGAAATCGTGTTTGACCAGCTATGTGTGTCTCTCAATCCGATCAAGTAGATGTCTAAAATTAACCGTCAAAATATTTATGCCTGATTCATGGCTGAAATTGTGTTTGACCAGCTATGTGTGTCTCTTAATCCACTCAAGTAGATGTCTAAAATTAACCATCAGAATATTTATGGCTGATTCATGGCTGAAATCATGTTTGACCAGCTATGTGTGTCTCTTAATCCAGTCAAGTAGATGTCTAAAATTAACCATCAGAATATTTATGCCTGATTCATGGCTGAAATCGTGTTTGACCACTATGTGTGTCTCTCAATCCGATCAAGTAGATGTCTGAAATTAACCATCAGAATATTTATGCCTGATTCATGGCTGAAATTTCAGGATGAAAGCTATGAAATCTCTATTTGTGTTTGTGTATCTAATAATGTATGTTATGTATATGTGATATTTTCTTAACTCCAGAGAGCATTGCAAAATTCATTTATGAAATCCTCTAAAAGTGCTCTATTCTAACTTGGCTTGGAAAAAAATAAGCATTTATAAATAAATATTCACCAAACTCCTAGAAATATAGGAACTGATCAAATGTTTCTTAAGTTAACATGATTTGGATAAAACTTAGTTAAATAAGATTAATATAGTATTTTTGGTGTAATAAAACAACTATATCTTCAAAATTATCATTATTGAATATAAAACAAGCATAAATTCCTATTCTGCTTGAGTTCTAGTCAAATAAGCTAATATTATACTTACTAGAAACGTAAAATCTTAAAGCTTATAGATTTGATTCTAATTAAGTTGTCATTCTTATGAAAAACATTATTTTTTTATGCTGAAAAGATACACATATATTTAGAGTTAGCCAGCTGGACTCAGTTTAGGTGATCCCAATTTTGTTACAACATCGAAAGCATCATAATCAGGAGCAAGTCGAACATATGCCTTCTTCTCTTTATCAGGACAAATCAGGGTGGTGACCTTGGCCACATCACTGTCATAGAGCTTCTTCACAGCCTGTCTGATCTGGTGCTTGTTGGCTTTAACATCCACAGTGAACACAAGCGTGTTGTTTTCTTCTATCTTCTTCACGGCCGACTCAGTGGTCAGCGGAAACTTGATGATAGCATAGTGGCCAAGCTTGTTTCTCCTGGGGGTGCTCTTCTGAGGCTATCTGGGCTGCCTCCGGAGTCACAGTGTCTTGGGCCGCCTGAAGGTGAGTGACATGCGGATCCTCTTTTTTGCGTGTGGCTGCGGACACCTTTCAACACTGCCTTCTTGGCCTTTAAAGCCTTCGCTTTGGCTTCGGCTTTAGGAGGAGCAGGAGCTTCCTTCGCTTTCGGTGCCATCTTGTGAAAAGCGAAAAACATTATTTCAAAAATAATTTGTTTACAGTAAATCTGCCTAAGAATAGTTTCCAAAGTACTTTTGGTAATTTTTAACCTTAAAGTTAATTTAATTAAAAGATTTGCATTAAATATCTAGACCATTTATAAATAAGATACAATACTAAAACATTAATTACTGAACATAAATAATTCAAGTTTATATACTTTTGGCTTCCTATTTTTACAGAGAGACTAAAGATATTTTGGCCCGTTAATAAACATGTTTTTTTCTGCCACACTGAGGAATTGTATTATGAGGAAACACATCCCTCTAGATGTTGGGAGATGGTATATTCATACATTTTCTAACCTACTATAGAATGCTAATATATGACAGTTTATAACTGTCTACTTCCTAGTTTTCTCTGGAAAATAAAAGATTACTAAGTATTAAAATTATAATCAATATATGTAAATAAAACTACTAGAAATAATAGAATAACTAGAAACAACTCTATGCAAAGCATGCAAGAAAAGTAGGGCATGTTTCGCAAGTAAAGTAGGTTGCATTTTTTATAAGGAAAACCATACAGAAGATACAAATAAAAAGAGATACCTAACCTTCCCTGTGTTATATTTGTATGGGTAAAATGTTATGTTTTCAGAAATTATATAAAATTCCTGGAAGTTTGTCAATGTCCTCCTTATCCATGCTATGTGCCACTATAGAGTAATGAGTCATAATTCCAATTATTACTTTAAATGTTGTGGCAGGCACAGTGGCTCATGCCTATAATCCCAGCACTTTAGGAGGCTGAGGCGGGTGGATCACAAGGTCAGGACATCCAGACCATCCTGGCTAACCCGGTGAATCTCCATCTCTATTAAAAATATAAAAAATTAGCCGGGCGTGATGGCAGGCACCTGTAGTCCCAGCTACTCGGGAGGCTGAGGCAGGAGAATGGCGTGAACCCAGGAGACAGAGCTTGCAGTGAGCCGAGATCGCACCGCTGCACTCCAGCCTGGGCGACAGAGCAAGACTCTGTCTCTAAATAAATAAATAAATAAATGTTGTCTGCCACAGAAAAAATCGAATATCCTTGTCAGTTGTGGTATAACGAACTCTCATCAGATCTTTCATCACAGCCATTTCATACTTTTTGTCATTTAGATATTATTTCCCCCTGATGCTTTCCTGAAAGCTCCTGCAATCAACTACAGGTCAGAATGTTCGTCTCCAAGACAGGACTCCCTCTGAGACTCACAGAAAAGACTATGACAGGTACTCTGGTTATAGGCTTCTGATGATATTGCTTAAATAACTTTAAGACCATACACTTGACTCAGTTAAGGTCTCCAGAAGTCCGGTTGGGAACCTGATGGGTTCATGACACTGCTAACTCAAGATCCACAAGACTGGAATTGATTACATGGCACTGAATGAACTGATGAAAATTGATTATAATTGTATAGCTTTTTGGAGCATTGCTGGTTAATATTCTAGTTTCTGGATTTAAGAAATCTCTTTCTCTTACTCTAACTGTAACTTACAACAATTTAGTAGATTATACTTTTGTAAACAGAAATGAAGCGTTTATCTTTTTTTCTTGCCTGATTTTTCCAGAATTTTGAAATCCTTACTGAATACTCTTATTTCCACGATGATATAGTTGTTAGCAAAAGTCCAATAAGAATCTATTCACCTTATAACAGGACATAATTGGAAATTTTGGTTATATTATCAAGGTTTTTACTGGAATATCATATTTAGGAAGTGTACCTAAGATCAGTTATGACCAGCAATTTTAAGGAAGTAAGGTTGACTTTTATGGAGACAATGCTTACAAAGCACTGTGGAAAACTTTGAGGAAAGTTCTTCCTCAAAGATTATAAAGTCACAACTACCCACTATTTTTATATGTATGTGTGTGTGTGTGTGTGTGTGTGTGTGTGTGTGTGTTCCAAATCACTTGTCCTAGCTTGCTCCAGCATGCCTGGACAGAACTAGACAAGCCCCAGCCCATAGTGCATGCCATTCCTTATTTGGAGATGCTTCCTTAACTATCCCTGGGCAACTTCCTTTTCTTTCTTTCTTCTATTCCCCTTACCTAATTAAGAAAGTTTTAAACTAACAGCCAATCGGGTAAAGTGTAAAATGGGAGGTCCTATTCCAGCCAATGGAAACTGGACACAGCAGTAGGGTAAACACGTCAGGTTATAAGTAACTCTGTCTCCTTTGTTTGGTGTGCTCTTGTAGCTGGACAGCTATTGAGTAGCACCCTTTGTGCAGAAAAATAAAGCTCGCCTTGCTAAGAGATCATTTGTTCCCATGTTAGTTCTTTTTTTTTGAGGGGGGAACATAAAAAACTTCATTCCCAACAGCACTCTGAGAAAACCCAGCCTGATACCTAGATTACAGGGTTCACAGCCTTATAGGTTAGTAAGGAAGGTCATTTCCTGATAGGCCCAGGAATTTAGGGATATTTTGGGGCCTCAAGAAGAGAGGAATTCACACAAAGCTATAAGGACTGCAGCTGAAATTTGACAGTATGTTCTTGGCTTGGCTTTTAGCCTGAATAAGGCCTTTAAAAGTCAAATCTGAGATTCTGTATGAAAACTTCCAGCAAAGAAACCTGAAAGCACCTACGTGGTCATCTCCTGTTCTTGCTGCACTTACGTAAATAATCAAGCAAAATCTAACAAAACTAGACTTATTTTTAAAACAAGAATAGTCTTACTTTGATTATGATCAAAAATGATGGTTACTACAGAGAGAAATTTTATCTTTCAAAGGAAAAGTATAACACAGCCGGGCATGGTGGCACATGCCTATAATTACAGCCCTTTGGAAGGCCAGGAGTTCAACATCAGCCTGGGCAACATGGTGAAACCCCGTCTCTACCAAAAATACAAAAATTAGATGGGCATGACGGCATGTGCCTGTAGTCCCAGGTAATCAGGAGGCTGAGGAGGGAGGATCGTTTGCACCCAGGAGGTAGAGGTTGCAGTGAGCTGAGATTGCACCTTTGCACTCCAGCCTGGGCGACAGAGCCAGACCCTGTCTCAAAAAAAATTTTTTTAAAGGAAAACTATAGCCATTGTGAGTTATCAGATTCTAGTCTTGTTTCTTGTTTCTGGGCTATTTTTACCTCTTTGTAAACTGGATCCTGCCATCTGATGAATTTTGTCCCACAGTGATACTTGGGGAACAAGAAGCCAAGTATTGTCTCTCCTACTAATGTATCTATTGTCAGTTAATTTGAAGGTCTCCAACCCTGGAACAAAGTTAGAAGAGGAAGGTTCTGCTCCCCAAAATGCATAACCAAATTGTGCTACATTCATGTAATGGAATACTATTTAGCCATAGAAAGGAACAAGATATCAACACACACAAAGACATGAGTGAATCTTGCATGCACATTGCTAAGTGGAAGAAGACAGTCTGAGGAGGATACACACAGTGTGACCTCATTTAATGAGACACTGGAGAAGGCAAACTACACAGATGGGAAGCCATTGGCTCCATGGGGTGGGGGTTTGAGGCATTCCATATGATACTTTAATAGTGGGATATCTGTCACAATGCATTTGTCGAAATATGCAGAATTTTACAGCCAAGTGGTTAAAGCAAACTCTATTCAAATTAAATCAAATTACTCAGGATGTGGAGTATCCCAGGACAGAATACATCATGTGAAAAAGAATTTATGCTACAAATTACTATGGTTTGGATGTGGTTTGTCCCCACAAAAACTCATGTTGAAATTTGACTCCCACTGTGTCAGTGTGGGGCGGTGGGGCCTAGTGGACGGTGTTTGGGTCATGGGGACGGATCCCTCATGAATAGATTAATGTCCTCCATGGGGGTGAGTGAGTTCTGTTCTCACAGGAATAGATAATTCCTGCAGGAGTAGGTAATTAAAAAGAGTCTGGCTTCCTTGGCTTCCCTCTTGCTTTCACTTCTGCTATGTGATCTCTGGTGCACCCCTTGCTCCCCTTCCACTTTCCACCATGAGGTGAAAAAGACTGAGGCCCTGCCAGATGCAACTGCCCAATCTCAGACATTCCAGCCACCAGTATTGTGAACCAAATGAAACTTTTTTACTTATAAATTACGCAGCCTCAGGTATTCTGTTACAGAAGCACAAAATGGACTAAGACACAAATCTAGGTAAAAACTTTGAAAATGAATAGAATCTGTAGGCTGAAGGCACATGAACTATACTTCATTATTGGATTCCATTTTATAAAGTTCTTTCCAACAGAAGCAATTGTGAACAATTGTAAAACCACAGTGTCTGTATCTGGAATAAAACAATGACTTACATAAGTCGCAGATGGTGGGAACCAGGTTTCTTACTGTTGAAGTGGGAGGTTACAAATTAGCAAGGCGAGAAGGCTAGAATGATTCATGTGATAGTAGATCAGAGGTGGAGACATCAACGTAAACTTATGTTTAGTTTAATATAGACACACACAGTTCTACATAGAAAACTTTATAATTAGGTGTGTATAGGTAGGTTAGACACACACATATACTTCCTAGCATTGCCAATGAGGGAGAAGATACAATGTGTTCATTCAGCAGCCAGATGTAAGTTTTCCTACCATTCTGAAAGGAATCAGGCTCTTTGAAGAAATGTCTGATACTAGAACTGGGACAGTAAATATAGGAACCAGGATAATCTGGAAGTATCAGAAAGTAAGTACTAAAAAAATTAAAACATATCAAAGAAAAATAAGAGCCAATAAAAACAGCTACTGATGGCCAACACAGGAATGAATTGTGCAACATAATACTGTAGTGTTGAATAATAACTAAAGCTTAAAGTAATTATCTAGGTGTCTGTATTTGTATACCTCGGTGAATAAGCAAATGGAGTTGCATAGAAATCTCCTTTGCAAAAGAATTCCAAATAATTGATGTAGACACTCAGCCATCAAGAAGGTGGAGCCAACTCCTTACGGAGTGAGGCTCTGCATAGTGACTTGCTCCAAAAGAACACATGCAGTATGGACAAGGAGGAGAAATAACCTCACAGTGGAGAAACCTGACAAACATTAGCTCTTCCAAATGATCCAAGTGAACATCAAAGGTGACAGTTCACCTTGAGAACATGAAGTGACAATGGGGGACATTCTACAACATTCCTGACCAATCCTCCTCAGTGCTATGAAGGTCATCATGAGATGGAAAGCCTGACACACTGTCACAGCCAGGAAGAGCCCACGTGATGTCTACATGTCATGCGGGATCCTGGATGGGATCCTGGGTCAGAGTAAGATAGAACTAAGGGAATCCAAATGAAATATGAACTTCAGTTAATAATAGTCTATCAGTATTGGTTCATTAACTGTGACAAATTATGTAAGATATTAATAAGCCATGTGAGACACACTGATAGAAGATGTTAATAAGAGAGGAAACTAGGTTGCGGCTACATGGGAAATCTCTGCTTTTTTTTGACAATTTCTGTGTAAGTAAAAAAGATGATGTAAAATAAAACTTTATTTAAAACACTGTTTTTTTTGAACACTTCCTTGTTTAATTATTTATACCATGAATTACTAGTAATTGACACTGTTAACTAGTCCTGTTTTTTTAAATAAGAGTATTTATGACACAAAAAATTAAACAGTGCAGACTGATACATAAATCAAATGTTCTTTACATGTTTTCTGTTGCAGTAGTAACACATATGTGTAAACTTAATTATCACGTTTTTCTTGTGCTGTGGTTGTGTCCTGAGTTCATTCTCTAAAATGCTGTTCACTTTAGACCAGGAAAAATATTAACCATACAGACTCTGTTTTAATTCATAGCTAAATATTTTCAAAAGAGTGACTTTGTAAAAATATGTTCCAATGGCAAATTGATTCATTGTGATGGGATCACTTATTCCAAAGACTTCCTGTCTTTATTTTGTTGCCATGCCTACCTTTTAGCCATGATACAACAGAATCAAATATTGGCCACTGGGAAAAAATATTCAAAGCAAGAAAGAATGTGAACAGAACTTATGACCATGATGATTCAATGTTTTACCACAATGCTTTCTAAAACAGAAGAGTGTAAAAGGATATTCAAAGTCAATTTCCTCAGCGAGGCTTTGCAGAAAATGAGGAAACTACAGAAACAAAAATAGCAGGACATTCTACGGGTGATTTTAAATGTTGCTATGTTTTATGGGAAAAAAATACTTTACCTTTTAAAGAATCACAAAGAATTATTGGAAACCCAAACTCTGGAATGTTTGCAAATTTAGTTGAGCTTCTATGTAATTATGTCTATATAGGTAGCCAGGAAGTTGATGATTTTTTAAAAATCTGTGCCTTATTTGTGTGATAAAATACACAATGAATAATTAATGCTCATAGGAAAACCTTATGAAGGGAAAATAAATCTTGGGGACCCAAAATCACTAAGCTAAAGGGAAAAGTCAAGCTGGGAACTGCTTAGGGTAAACCCGCCTCCCATTGTATCCAAAGTCACCCATCTGCTCACCGAGATAAATGCATACCTGATTGCCTCATTTGGAGAGGGTAATCAGCAATGCAAAAGAATGAAACCATTTGTCTCTTACCTACCTATGACCTGGAAGCCCCCTGTCTGGCCTTCTCACCTTTCTGGACTGAACCAATGTACATCTTACACGTATTGATTGATGTCTCATGTCTCCCTAAAGTGTATAAAACCAAGCTGTGCCCCGACCACCTTGGGCCCATGTTGTCAGGACCTCCTGGGGAGGCGTCACGGGCGCACATCCTCAAGATTGGCAAAATAAACTTTCTAAAAAATCTGAGAGCTGTCTCAGATTTTCAGGGTTCACACATGTAATGTAGGATGTCAATGTTTATAAAACAGACATTATTCTATCTACTATTAGAAATATGCTGCCAATTAACCTTACACTTTCTCAACAAAATAAAAAATGTTGATGAGGTACAAATAATATATCTAAGCTTAAATAGTGTTACAAGTTTTAATATGCCTATTTTTCAATTTTTCAATACTATTTTTACTAATTTAACACTTTAAGTGAATAACTAAAACATGAATAAGTGTTTACAAGGGGTGCACATGTTTCCTCCAGCCTCTGCCTATCCCCAGCTTTCATCCCAACTGTCTTGATGGTGGCTCTAAGCATTTCTCCTTTCTCTATGCCAAGATCTCTCCCAGAAACAAACCCAAATCTTACTATATGTTATGGCACGCTATGATGATGAGCAGCGATGAGCAGCCGAAGCCTCAAGGAAGGGATGCTTTTGTAAAACAAGACTTGTAGAATATAACGTGTGAAAGTAAAGCCCATGGCAGAGCTCCCTCCTCAGCACACGGGGAGCAGACAGGAAGCTTTTGCCTCACCTTCCTCAATGGCCTGCAGCCACGTCTCCCAGGTCAGTCTTAAGGACAACGAAACTCTGGTCTTCACTGTGGACATGCCACACTACCAGGTGCTCCAAAGCCATGGTGACCCATCCGCGGGTGGGTCCTGAGAACAAAGCTCTGGTTCTAATCCTAACCCTAACCCTGTCCCAAGACTTTGAGCCTGAACCTAAATCCTGATCCCTACCCTGGTCCTTAATTCTGACCCTTACTTTAACCCTGACTTTGATCTTGACCCTGACCATGACCCCATCTCTAACCATACTTCCGGCCCCGACTCTGACCCAGATCCTAATCCTATGCCTAACCCTATTATTATCTTTACAATCTATCTCTACTCTTACCCTCTAGTGCTAAATAGCTGTACCCAAAAGCACTTTTAAATTATTTCTTTTCTTGAATTCTCTATGGACATCCTAAAGGAGATGTCAATATGTATTGCATTCCCTCTGAGTGGTATGGCTTCAGATATGAAGTTCTAATACTTTGCAAGACATAAAAAGTTTGGAGGGTAACAGCACTGGGTTGTTAGGGATGTATGTTGGCATTCATGATAGTCATTGGTGCTGTTCTCCAAATATTTTCAGTTCATTTTTTATGAATGCATTCTGACTGTTCCATCCCACCTACTTAAATTTTCCCATGGCCACATGACTTTTTTTTTTTTTTTTTTTTTTTTTTTTTTTTTTTTTGCCAATGGAGGTGAGAAGAAATAACGTGACTTTTTCAGGAGAAATCTCCAAGAAACAGCGTTCTATTCCGCATGCTTTTTTCTCTTTTCTATAGCAATGGGGATCTTATTGATGGTCCCTCCTTCCTTCTGGATTCCTGTGTTAGGATGACACAGCACAGAGCTACCTCTCACCTGACCAGTCATGAGATGTAAATAAATGAGGAAGAAGATTTTTGAGCCACTGAAATTTGGAGGTTGTTTGTCACCACAGTTTAAGCTAGCCCCCACTGACTGATGCACGGCTGAAGAATGAGTCCGAACTGGCTCTGGACAAGACATGTGAAGAGCGCTCCAGGCTGAGTAAAATTCAAGGGTTGCCTCAAAGATAGCAGTGAGCACGATATGTTATTGGGGTGGGTGTGGGATAAATAAGGTATATCAGGTGAGAATAATAAGAAACTCAACTTTAAAAGACGGCGCTGATTTGCACTGTGGAGAGATTCAAATGCCCTGCTTAGCATTTGAGATTGTGATGGATGAACAAACTAATTAAGAGCCCAAAATGAAAGCTGGGGATAAATATCTGAAAGTGTCTAATATCCCAATTTTTCATCCTAGAATGGGCAGAGTCCTTGACCCCATTCTAGGGAGACTTCCAAAAGAAAAAAGACCTGCATTTCTTCAACAACCCACACTGAGGGACTTTCCTGCACTTTTGTGACCTGTGGCTAACACTCCTCACCTTTCATTCTGTCATCAGTGTTTTGGGGAAGCACCTTTAACTCTCTGTGATTTACAGGTTATTAAGTGGCCCTTACAATTCCCTCCAGAGATGGAAAAGACATGTTGATGGTGCCTGAGCTCACAGCAGCAAGCAGGCGTGTGTGCTCAGCAGCCACGTGGCTCATCTGCTAGGAGCTTGCTAAACACAATGTTCTACAACATTGCTTAACGCAAGGTGAGACGCTCCTGACTCAGAGGGTTTAATTGCTCACCTACTTCTTTTTCTGCCCTCTTGGGCTTCTGAAATGAAAAGAACCCTGGGGTGATACAGTGAGTCAAAGGGGTGCCAGCCGCATCACAGCATAATAGATTCCTAAAAAATCCCTGGCCTAAGATGACAGCCTTGGCTGGATAAGTTTGAATGTGCTGATAGTGGATATGGTAGAATGAAGGTGGTTGAAATGTTCATATTAAAGAACTTCCACCCAGATTGCAAGAAAAGAGAGAGGAATGGAGATGGCAGCACGAGCCCCTACAATAAAAGCAGATGTTTTGAGATCAGTTATATTTCTTCTGACAAAAATTAAAGACAGAAACCAAAGTTTAGCCTGAGGCTACAATTAATTGGGCAATAAGCCAGAGGCACATATGGCATAGACAGATTTAAACATTTCTCCCTTATATTAATACAAACACTAAAATTACAAATACATGGATTCCAAATAAAACAAATATTTTAAAATTTAATGAATAAACACTGGGGTCTACAGTAGTATTTGAAGGAGATCTCACAAACAGGTTTGGTTTTTGAAGGTTAGAACTGGTCGTCTAGAGAATTCATTTCATTCCAGAGAAATAAAGAGAGGAATTTCTTGGGTTCCTTCAGGAATGCATCTAGCTTTGCCTCATCTTTGTTTGAACTATGGATACGGCAGAAGAAAACATGAGGATTTCACAGATTTAAGGTGCAAAAAGTCACTGGGTTCTCTAAGAAGACTGGGATTCTTCTGCTGGAAAAATAAGTTTGTTGAGAAAAAATGAGTTGGAGGAGGCTGTTATTGAAGTGAAGCAGAATTGTTTTTACTAATCTGCTTATTACCCACTCTGTAGTGTGGAAACAAATTATTCATGCACAAGGTCCTCTTACTGTTCCTAGAATGCAGTGGAAAGAGAACAGATTAGTTTTCCTCCCTCAGAACACAACCCCTAGAAACATCCTACCTCAGATGAGATATTGCCTAATTATTTTCAAAAAACAGTAAAACATCATGGATGTAAATGTTTGCTGCAAAATAAATACGTGCTAGAAACAGAAGCATCTGGGTCACAGCTATATTAGAGCTACCTGTGTTCCCCTGTCACTGACATTAAAACAAAAATGTCCAATACGATCCTTCACAGTGTGGGAGAGGGGAAGATGAAGGATGGAAAGGCCAGGCATAAAAGGATTTCAGAATTTCCGTCCATAAGGAAGTGGCTTTGTGCACTGTCTGTTACTGCGTGCAAGGTGAAATTTGAAGAATGAAAACATGCAGTAACAAGGGCTCCTTTGTCCAACTCACCTCTCCAGATACCAAGTTTCAGACATGTTGCATTTTAATTGAAAGGTTGATATAATTTTTTTTAAAGAACACTTGCGGTGTTTGAAGTGACAAAGGCTGCTGTGACAAAAAAGCAGGGAAAGGGAATTTTTTTTTAAAAAAGCAAACAACAACAACAAAAACCCCAGAGAAAAGCAAACAACAAACAAACAAAAAACAGAGGAAGAAGTCAAACACCCTGGGCTGTGACTACTTCCAGGAAGGGGCTACAAGAGGCAGTTGGAAATTCTATTTGCTTTGCAACTGTGGGTTTTCTGGCCTGCTTCCTTTCTAAAGTATATTACTCTGCTTTTGGTTCATGAAGTTATCCATTTCTGTTTTCTGGAACAGCTATGTATTTTCTTTATCTATCATCTATCTATCTGTTTACCATCTATCTTTTCTACCTTTCGCTATCAAGAGCTTGGGTCAAGCAGGATAGAATTCCAGTGTATGTTCACTCTACCATTTAAAACAAGAGCTCTTGTGGGCATTCTCCATCACATCATAAACCTGAGCTTTCTAAAACAGAGTGTGGCAAACTACCATGCATGGACCATGTCTGACACAGTCTGCGTTTGTAAGTAAAGTTGTAATGGGACACAGCCAATACATGTGTTACATAATGTCTCTGGCTACTTTCACGGTATAATGGAAGAGCAGAGTCATTGAGAGAGAGACCATATGGCTTGGAAAACTTGAAATATTTAACACTTAGCCCCTTGCAGAAAATATTTGCTGACTCTTGTTTTAAAAGATCTCTGTTTAGAATGCTACCTATTGCCTTCTGGATAGAATCGCAACTCTTTACCACAATCGACACAGCTTCAGCCCTGCTTCTATATCCAGCCTCATCTGTTTCTGCTCCTCCTCCTTATTTTCCTTCTGGACATGCTGATGGATTGTCAGCTTCCCAGATGTGCGAGAATCTCTCCTCCCTTCCCAACATTCTCACAATCTCCCTCTGCCTCTCAAGAACTTCCTGTCCCATCTCTCATGACAAATCCTTTCTTCATTCTTTAAGATGCAGCCCCTTGGCTCTTTCCTTAAGGATGTCTGTCTGGCTCTATTTTGGGTGACGTGCTCCTTCTGCATCTCCCAGAGCCAGCCGGTGTGTGTCAGCTACAACATTTCTTTGCATCTCTGTGTCGTATATCACCAAATCTGCCTAAGCTTGCATGAGTCACTGCATGACAACTTCAGACTCCACCAGCATTGTCCCCACTAACCACAAGGCTTAGACATTCGTCCAGTATGCTCGGGGTTGTGGGGTGGTAGCAGTAACCAGCTGGTGACCATCATTTCTTACATCAGAATCAAATCTGTAGATCTCTGCCATTCATAAGTATTTGGAGTTTAAAATTAGCATAAAGATTTTCCTTAAAATAAGAACAAATGGCTTGAGTAGGCTTTTGGAACGTAGGATGTTTCCACTGGTTCATGTCTGTGTTCAGTATTCCCACATGAATCTAAACACGACTCTGCTCTTAGTAGCTGTGTGACCCTGGGACAGTCACTCAGTCTCCCTCAGCTAAATTTTGTTGTGTGAGTAATGAGGAGAGAGTTGTGATTTGTATTTAGTGAATAATAACAAACAAAAGGCATTTAGCTTTCTGGAACATGGTATGTAGTAGAACCTCATGAAAATACTAGCTGTTGATAAAACTAGACTGAAAAAAGCTTTCAAAGTCAACAACAGTATGAGGCAGTGAAGGACGTAGAGGAGAAGCTGCTGCTGCAGCCTGTAGCTCCTGGAAGCCCGTTTTGTCCATGATTTAGCAGGAACTCATTACCTTTCCATGAGGACACTGCCCACAGAAACCAAGGCCATTCTTTGAAGACAAACATGTCTTAATAGCCTTTACATTATGTAATAGTGTAATACAAATAATAATTTATTATTAGTAATAATGTGAAATTATTTACAGTACCATAACCCTAACCATAACCCCTAATCCTAACCCTAACCCTAACCCCTAACCCCTAACCCTAACCCCTAACCCCTAACCCCAACCCCTAACCCTAAACCCTAACCCCTAACCCTAACCCCTGACCTTGACCCTAACCCTAACCCCTAACCATGACTCTGACCCTGACCCTAACTCTGACCCTACCCTAACCCTAACCCCTAACCCTCACCCCCCACCCTCACCATCACCCTAACCCAACCCTAACCCAACGACTGTAAGCCGTTTACAGGAAACTCAAGCCAAAACACTACTTGTTTCCAACGTTTTGTTTGCAGAGGATTTACAAATTACACTCCAAAACAAGATAGCCACAGAGCATACTACTTCTCCTCTGAAGTCGCTCTGAGGGCCTCCGCATCAGTCCTAGAATTGGAAGATTGGTGGACAAGAACTGGGATGTTGATGGGGCACTGAATATTTGCTGGACACCAACCTCCTGTTACCTAACCTTACAGAGGGCCCAGATCTCACCTGCCCAAATCAGACATTTTAACACACACACCTCTCAACAGCAGGACTTACACACACAAAACTCTGAGGTAAAGAAAGGATTGTCTCAACTCCTTGGTGTCTCAACGAACTAAAACACTGCCTAGCGCAGGTGCACCATCAACCTTATTCACTAAATACACCTCTGTATATATTCTTCATCTTTGATTGTGGAAATGATATAATCAACATAAAAATGTTTTATAGATTGGACTAAAGACCTTTGAGGTCTCTTCACAGGATCCTATCTGGCGGACCCCCAAATCTGCCAACACAGAGGTCA
This sequence comes from Homo sapiens, assembly GCF_000001405.40. Taxonomy (NCBI): domain Eukaryota; kingdom Metazoa; phylum Chordata; class Mammalia; order Primates; family Hominidae; genus Homo; species Homo sapiens. Next base: position 113,625,332 of record NC_000002.12, read on the forward strand.
TCCGTAAACATGTGCAGGACAGAGGCCAGACAAAACCATCTCTCTCAGCCTCAAAGTGGCCTGGCAGTCACATGTGGGGTCTGGCCTGTGTGAGGAAGTCAGGCTTTCGGCTCCAGGCACCCTACTGCACCGCAAAACCAAGTTCTGCCTAACAAACAAAAAACAGCCTGCTCACTCTCCCTAATATCCCAGGTGGTAACCTAAGAGCATTATGCTAGACACCCCTCCTCCTCCACCCTCCATGTCCAAGCTATCACCAAGGTCCTAGCAATCTTACCTCCTAAATGTCTCCCAAATCCACTTCTCTCCCTTCAATGTCCAGGCCACCAGCATGACTTCTGCATGTGTGTAGCAGCCTCCGCGCAGGACGTAAAGATGCAAATCTAGTCGTAGGCTCTCTGAAAGGAAAATTTTGGGGACCCAAAATTACTAAGCTAAAGGAAAAGTCAAGCTGGGAACTGCTCAGGGCAAACCTGCCTCCCTTTCTATTCCAAGTCACCTATCTCCTCACTAAGATAGGTGCATATCTGATTCCCTGCTTTGGAGAGGCTAATCAGAAACTCAAAACAATGCAACCTTTGTCTCTCACCTACCTGTGACCTTGGAAGCCCCCTCCCTGCTTCCAGTTGTCCCCACCTTTCTGGATGGAAGCAACGTACTTCTTACATATATTGATTGATGTCTCATGTCTCCCTAAAACCAAGCTGTGCCCTGACCACCTTGGGCACATGTCGTCAAGACCTCCTGAGGCTGTGTCACGGGTGCACGTCTTTCTAAATTACCTGAAACCATCTCAGATAGGGTTCACACATCCCTTTCCCGAACCCTCCCAGGAGCCCCTCGTGGGCGCCCAGGTCCTGCCTGCTGTTGTGGCCCAGGCTCACCTGGAGCAACTCGACTCTTCGTTACAGCCTCGTGAACCTTTCAGTTCCTAAAGCTGTCTAGCCTGTGAAAGGAAAATGAATCTGGGGGCCCCAAAATCACTAAGCTAAAGGGAAAAAAGCTGGGAACTGCTTAGGGCAAACCTGCCTCCCCATCTATTCAAAGTCACCCCTCTGCTCACTGAGATAGGTTAATATGTGATAGCCTCCTTTGCGGAGGCTATTCAGAAACCCGAAAGAATACAACAGTTTGTCTCTCACCTACCTGTGACCTGGAAGCCCCCTCCCTGCTTCGAGTTGTCCCGCCTTTCCCGAGGGAACCAACGTTCATCTTACATATATTGATGTCTCCTGTCTCCCTAAAATGTATAAAAGCAAGCTGTGTCCCGACCACCTTTGGCACATGTCAAGACCTCCTGAGGCTGTGTCACGGGCGTGCGTCCTCAACCTTGGCAAAATAAACTTTCTAAATTGACTGAGACCGTCTCACATATTCGAGGTTCACAAGCCCATGCATGGGGACGTCCCCTGGGGTAGCGCCCCTCCTCCACTGAGCTCACTCGCTTCCTCCTTGTGTGTTTTCTTCAGAAGAAATTTCACAGCTACTTGGTCCACACCTGTCTGCCCCACAGGAACCTCTCTTCTCCACAGGCACATGGGCGGCGTACCTGCTGGGCTGTGTGGAGAGGACCGGGTTCCTCTCCTGATTCCTGCTCAGTTAATAACGAATGTCGACAAGTCGAGAAAATTGCTCAAATTTACCCCATCAAAGAATTAAAAACTGGTGAAAGCTTGACCTGCGCCCCCCACCCCTGACGTGCTCACCGCTCCACTCCCTCTAGGCGGGCGGCACCCGCTGAAGCCTCAGTACCACACCCACAGCCAGGAGCCCCAGTCCCGCACTCGGCCGCATGCGCACTCCCTGCGGCCCTCCCGCCAGGCGCCGCGCTGGGCAGCCAGCGCCCCGGCGGGGTCCTTCAGGCCTTCGGCCGGGCAGCCTCCCTCGGGGTCCTTGCGCGGTTGCGTAGCAGCTGCGAGGACGCGGGGCGAGCCGGAAGTGGAGTGCGCTGCGGTGCGAGCTGGGCCGGCGGGGTGGTTCGAGAGCGCGCAGAGTCCAGACTGGCGGCAGGGCCCGAGGGGCCGACCCGCAGCGTCCCTGGTCTCTCCAGCCCTCACTCGGAACCGCACGTGAGGGCAAATCCGCCCCGGTGGCTGGCTTAGCACGCGGGGACAGCCCCTCCGAGGCCTCCCTAGCGGTGTGGGCGAGAGGGCGTCCGGGTCGGGGGAAGCACGGAAAGGTGGCTTCGCGAGGCTGTTGTGGGGGGCGGGACGGGCAGCCTGGCGATGCCTGGACATGGTTGGTGGCCAAAAACATTTATCGAAAGATAGCATACCCACTTAGATGGCGAGGACATCGACAAGCAAGTCTTCGCCCGTAAGCGGTGGCTCACGCCTATAGTCCAGGGATGCCGAGGAGGGAGGATCGCTTGAGTCCAGGAGTTGGAGGCTGCAGTGAGCCGTGATCGCGCCACTGCACTCCAGCCTGGGCGACAGAGTGAGACCCTATCTCTAAACAAAAGAAAGAACGTCTTCAAGCATGGAGCCATGAAGCTGGATTTGGCTTTCTGTCGCTCTCTCTACAGGGTACAGGTGAAAGGGGGCAGACCCCTCATCATGCTTTCCAGGCATCTGCCACTTCCCAGGAATTGTCTCCCTGGATAAACAAGGCGAAGTCCCTGGCTGTGCAGAAGCAGTAGCTGTGTGGTGGCACAGTCAGGAAAACTCGGGGGCCCTGTTGGTATTTTCTACCCCTGACCCGTGTGCATACTTCTGTCGTAGCTCTCACCACAGTAGACTCTGCTATCATTGTGTCTTCCATCCTCTGAACCCTGTGCAAGGTCTGCTCATGGTGAATGCCCAGTAAGGCTCACCTATTGCTGCTATCTCATCATCATATCATTTCTATGTGCCCCCCTAGCTAAGAGTCTGGACTGTGGTTACATTCTCAGGAATGTCTGCAAAGTCATATTTAGGTGTGAGGAGAGTAAAACAGAGCTAGACATAATGTTGCACACAGCCTTTGGCACTGGATGCCTGGTGAATGTCTTGTGCAAATGGGTAACGTGAGGAGCAGCATTTGGGGTGCGCAGGACTTAACTATTTGTGTATAACATATTACTGATGCCTGTGTGTCATCCTCTGCTACTCCAAGTCTAGTAGCCAATTGCATACCATATCTCAGTCTGGCACTGAGGGAAGCAGTCTGGATGGAGGTACAGCTGGAGATTTGGTTGAGGGGACTTATCTCTGACAACAGCCTCTTGTTGATCTTCCCAGACAGTGACAATACCCTCCCCTCCCTTGGGCTGGACCCCTCTCTACAGCTAGGAGCCAATGGCAGAAGACAAAACCAAACCGAGTGAGTTGGACCAAGGGAAGTATGATGCTGATGACAACGTGAAGATCATCTGCCTGGGAGACAGCGCAGTGGGCAAATCCAAGTATGTTGGGAGATTAGGGAATAAATACCAGCCCCAGAGAGGGTCCAGGTCATTTAAAAAGTCCTCCAGAGGCAGAGGAGCATGGCTTCTTGGGGCTGGTGAAGGAGCAGTCTTGGCTGGAGCCCAGATGTTCATGGGGGAACGAGGGGAATCACATGACCCGTTGTGTGTGTCGGGTGGAGGGGGCAGGTCATAAGGACTGAGGAATTTGAATGTTTCCTCTGAGCCCTGAGAGAACGTGTGGAGCAACTGAGGACATTGTATGTGGTTTGTGGGCTGAGGGATGGCAAGGGCGGGGAGTGGGAATGGAAAGACAAAAGTGACTATGCCACCGTGACAGATTGGGTAAAGGTGGTAAAGATGCTTTCTTGGAGGGACTCTCTGAAATAGAGAAAACTGGGTAGAACTGACGATTGACTATAATCATTGTGAAGACTGGCTTCTTCTTGTAATGAATTTCGGTGCCTACATGCCACCTGGAGAGGTGAAGGGAGGCTCTGCCGTGCTGCCAGCTTGTCTCCATGAGACGTCCTAGTTCTCACGCCTAGGACTGCTGAGGGCACATGTCCATTTCCGCCTTCATAGCATGACGGTACACTTGCCCCTGCCCAGAGAAGTGGTCACGTTTATCTCCCAAGTACTCCAGGCCCACCTTGGTTTCTACCTTCATTTTTATAGTCAAGTCCTTTGACTCAGGTAGCTGTGAATAATTCTCTGGGGGCTTTGCTGGTTTTTAGGCCATCTCCATGAATTTGAATTCTCTGTCTCTCTCTCTCTCTCTCTTCCCCACCACACAATCACACACTGCAGCTCTGGTTTAGAATTTTTTTTTTTTTTTTGAGACGGAGTCTCGCTCTGTCCCCCAGGCTGGAGTGCAGTGACGTGATCTCGGCTCACTGCAAGCTCCGCCTCCCGGGTTCACACCATTCTCCTGCCACAGCCTTGCGAGTAGCTAGGACTACAGGCGCCCGCCACCACACCCAGCTAATTTTATTTTTGTATTTTTAGTAGAGACGGGGCTTCACCTTGTTAGCCAGGATGGTCTTGATCTCCTGACCTCGTGATCCGCCCACCTCAGCCTCCGAAAGTGCTGGGATTATAGGCATGAGCCACCGCGCCCGGCCTCTGGTTTAGTATTTTATAGTTACTTTGACCATCCTCAACAGCACGCCTGTACAGTAAAAGTGAGGGTAGGTGTTGTAGTTTGGGAAGGTTACCCAATAAATAATACCCCCTTTATCCCCACTCAAGTTTAAAACAACAAAGAATAGAAATGGCAGGCAGGTGTAGAGCAAATTGCCACTTTAATAACAAACAGAGCTTTCGGAGAATGTATCTTGGTATACCCAGCTCCCAAGTTCAATGCTAGTCTCTTTATATGCCTCATTTCAAACAGTAACAAAAAATAAGAATCCAAGTAGTTAACTTGACGTCAAAGATTACCATAACATTGGCCTCCACAGACACAACAATTAGAAAACAAGCCAGTCTTCATCCACTAGCAGTATCTCAGGCAAAAGGTTGTCCCAGATACAAAGACCATGATGGAAACAGTGCATCTGAGGGAAGGTGAGTGCATGAGAACACTGTGGTTCAGTTTTGATTGGACTCAAGAACTACTGCCAATTTTCAGTATCTCTAACCTATGAATCTAAACTCGGTTGGGCTAAAACACCCATTAAGAGGTTGACACATCAGGCTGTGGTGAGCTATGATTGTGCCACTGCACTCTAGCCTAGTGACAGAGCAAGACCCTGTCTCAAAAAAAAAAGTTAACACTTGTGTTCATCATATCTGAAGGGCGTCAGTTGTACACGGCCTCATTTCTAGATAGCAATGTTGTGGCAGTGCGGCCTTCTTGCAGAGTTCAGAAATTTACCACGGTAGCAGCCCCAGTCACCAGGCTTTCTTTAAGGTGCCTTTTTTTTTTTTTCTCATGCAGCATGTTCATGCTTCTTGATTCCACTCAGGGCTCTGTTGGTGGGCTCTGATGACAGCTCCCCTACCCCCTGTGAACAGGTGACCTCAGACCTGGGCACTGCCTCCTGTGGAAGGCTTTTCCTTTGCTCCTGCACATGCCACCTTCCTGAGCTGCCATTACAGGTGTGAGCCACTGCACCCGACCAGATTTCTTTTGACCCCAGGTGATCATACTGCTTAATAACAAGACATGGTGTTTTTTTGTTTTTTTGGTTTTTTTTTGAGACAGAGTCTTGCTCTGTCACCCAGGCTGGAGTACAGTGGGGCAATCTCGGCTCACTGCAACCTCCGCCTCCCAGGTTCAAGCAATTCTCATGCCTCAGCCTCCTGAGTAGCTGGGATTACAGGCATGCGCCACCATGCCTAGCTAATTTTTTTGTATTTTTAGCAGAGGTTTTGCCATGTTGGCCAGGTTGGTCTGGAATTCCTAACCTCAAGTGATCTGTCTGCCTTGGCCTCCCAAAGCGCTGGGATTACAGGTGTGAGCCACCGCACCCAGCCAACAAGACGTGGCTTTCTGATTCCATCTTTAAGAGTAGTTAGGTCCAGATGTGTTGTCTTTTTTCTTTGATAGCTGTCTAACTTGGCCTTTAGGGTCTTCCATTACCGTTAATGATTGCCTATCATCGTTGTGCAAAGAGGGCAAAGGCACACCCCCCCCACCCAAAACTAAGGCCACATGGTGTGAGTACAGACTAGAGTGATGGGGGAAACTTACAAGCAGAAAGGTCACACCATGTGACTCCCTGGGTCCCAAGCTCTCATTATCCTGAGGGAGTTGTGCTTAGGCCACCAGTGACCAGTGCCTACTCTAAATATTTTTGGGAAAAGAAGACAGGGAACATCTGTGTATGTGACAGTGACAGAGGCAGCTTCCTAGAGCCTCCGGAGGTAGGCCTGCTCTGTTTTTGAGCTCAGGCCTGCCGAGCTGGTTCTCTGCTAAGCTGCAGAACGTTGGGAGGGAATGAGTCTCTGGGGCCTCTTTTTCCCTCCTTCATCCTGTCTTCCAGAGGCAACTTTTCCTTAAGAAAATCCCTCTGTGCCTGTGTTTTTATTCTTTCACTGCTTCTGCTTGGATGAGGCAAGTTTATGGATCTCTCCTCTTCCTCCTGCACTTTCTGAGCATGTGCCCTCTCAAGACAGTGTTCTGAGCTTGAGTCTTTTTCATTGACCATCTTAACCTCTGGCCACGGTAATTTCTTTGTGTAATTTTCTACGTGATCTAAGAAGATGATGTGTTTTCTTTATAGTAAGGGTGCTGTTTCTTTATAGTTATAAATAAAATCTATCCTCCTTTTACAATTCAAGCTGCAGTTTAAATATCAGAAGTATAAAATCATGGTTAGAGTGTATTACACTGACAGGCAAGCAGTGACCCTTCAAAACGTGAGGGAAAAAAGGTTGCAATGTCAAGAGAGTGGTCAGGGAAGGCCTAGTTGTAAAGGTAACATTGGGTCAAAGACTTGAAAAAAGCAAGGAGTAAGCCTTGCAGATATCTGGCAGGAGCATTTCAACAACAAAAGGAGGAAATGGCCAGTGGCTAGAACAGAGGGAGAGAAAAGAAATGGGAGAGTTTGAACTGAAAGAAATGGGGGACCACTGGATGGTTTTGCAGAGAGGAGTGACCAAGTCTGCCTAATTTTTTCACAGGATAACTGACCACATTCAGAATAGATGGTCCTCTCAATAACCAATAGATTAAGCAGATTCTCCTGTCTCAGCCTCCTGAGTAGCTGGGATTACAGGCGTGTGTCGCCACACCTGGCTAATTTTTTGTATCTTTAGTGGAGACAAGGGCTTCACCATGTTGGCCAGGCTGCTCTCGGCCTCCCAAAGTGCTGGGATTACAGGCGTGAGCCACCGCGCCCGACCGGGAAATGGCTTTTGAACGGAAGGCGCAGCTTTGGCCTGGCCTCTGTTTCCCTTTGCATAACACAAGGGTAATTGCATGTGCAGAACTGTGCTCTGGTGGAAATAACAGATTTGAGAGCTTCACGTGGGCTGGTGTGTGTACTCATAGTGACATGAGCTGTTTTGTTATGACGGGTTGGTAATGCTGATACCCAATTTCCAGACTTGACCCGGAAGCTGTGTGGCTGTGGAGTGAAAGGGGGAAGGGAAGCCACAGGTGGCTTCCAGGTTGTCAGCCTTAGGGTGAAAAAGTCTGGGACAAGGGAGAGATGGAGACGCCATCTGACCACCTTGCCTGTTCTGCTTACAGACTCATGGAGAGATTTCTCATGGATGGCTTGTATCCTTCAAGGTTTGAAGTACTCCTTGTTCCTGTGGGTCTTCCCACGCTCATGTATCAGTGTCCCACTGCCCACCCCTTTGTACCAGCAGCCCAGGAACAGGAAGGAGGATTGGGTAAGTGAACGCACAGGTTTTGTTCTGCACTTGTTTCTTGCCGATTGACCCACATGGCATTGCACAATCAGTGCTGTATATTTTGGACCTTACTCATATTTGGATTGTTTTATATTAAGAGGGCAGTAGAATGGCAAACAGCAAATGGTTTGGATCTAATGCCTGGATTCAAACCCCACCTCCTCCTCCTCAGTAGCTTCTGATACTGGCCAAGTCATTTAACCTCTCTAACCTCAAAGCTTGGGCCCCCTACTATTGAAAAAAATCTCTGATATGAATGAACTTTGTAAAATAGGAGCTGCCAGCCCCACCTTTCTCCCATGAATTGTTATATTACATAGGTTTGGAGTGAGTTCCTCCCCGCAACTGGGAGATTTTTAAACAGCTTCCCAAGTGGATCCACTGAGAACCACAGGTGAGAGGAGCCCCTGGAGCCTGCTGCTGCCTGTCCTAGGCTCGGCACCCCAAGGCTCAGTTGCCTTAAGATCTGAGTATGTGTTACTCCACCTTGTACCAAGTGCTCCTGCACACCCAGCCCACCTGCGTCATTTGGCTCTGCTTTTTACACTGTCCAGCTTCTTGCAGCCTCGGAAGGTGTTAATCCCCAGAGTTTAACCCTTTTTCTCAGGGTTTCACACATAGACAGACTCCAAATTGATTGACAGCTTGTCAACTGTATGGCTTGTGGGAGCTTCTGTCCCTGGAATGGTCATGTTGCTACCTAGGGTTAGGGTTTCCTTTCTAGCCTGCGAAAGCTCCATCCATGATTGAGTTGGGGTATCCACTTTTGCATTTTCCAACTGCATGATGCCTTTTATGACACTTGTCTGTAAAATCCTGTTCTGTGTTTTACCTCAGACTTCGATGGCCAGGACACACTCTCATCTCCTCCCACCCCTCACCCTTCCATGGAGCTTGTACCAGTGGTATGTGAAGCTGATCCTCTGTCTGCAACATTCATTTGATTTAAAATCTCAATAACTCCAAAGAGAAGAGGAGGGAGAGGATCCATTTCATCAAACCAAACACCCCTGCTCCCCACTCCTTCCTTACCTCCCCTTTTATTGATTTTGCTCCTTAACCTGAGTGCAGTCAGCCACAGCAGCTGTCCACGTACGCCCTGACCCTGTACAAGCACACAGCCACGGTAGATGGCAAGACCATCCTTGTGGGTAAGTGGCACAGGGCCAAGACATGCTGACCCTCAGGAAAGAGGAAATGGGAGACGAGGGGAGGTGAGGCAAGGTTCATAAGGAGAGAGTCCAGAGGGAGAAAATGAGACCCCAGGCAGGGACAAGGGGTGCTAGAGAGAACCCAGAGAGCCAGGAGCCAGGAGGGTGGAAGGGGGCACGCAGGGGCCAAGTCCCAGCCCTCTGACCTGGCGTCCAGGCCAGCACCTGTGCAGGACAGGGTTCAGGAAAGGAGAAGTCAGGGGGCTGTACCCACCTCAGGGAAGAAGAACATAAGAGGCCTTCGACGAGGCAGTAGTTTTCCTAGCTTCAGGGGTTCTTACTCAGCCAGTTTGAAAAAATAAATGTGGTCAGAACATTATCTCCCACATCGGGCTGCGACCTTCCATCGGGTCATAATCTTCTCCTTGGCCGGGCACACAGCCTGCCTGACTCTGTCTACCGTCTGTGGTCATCGCACGTGAGAAGTTGGAATAGTTTGGAACTTAGAGGACCCTGCGTGTCACGTGGGAAACGGGGAACTGTCTTCTCCCTCCTTGGGCTTCCAGTGTGTTGTCCTTCCTCCTGGCCCCTGACCCACTGTCTTCCCATACACACAGGTGAAGACACACCTCTCACATCACACTCAGGTGCACTGTGTCTTGAAGACACACGTGTGGGGCTGTATAGTCTCTGTTTCTCCCTGTGCTCCCCATGTACACTCACACATGTGCTGTGGTTTGTGCCGCATGTGTGTTGTATCTTAGTGACTTGCACAGAAATGCACCAGGCATGTAGGTCTGTCTGTGTTCACATTGCAGACTTTTGGGACACGGCAGGCCAGGAGCGGTTCCAGAGCATGCATGCCTCCTACTACCACAAGGCCCATGCCTGCATCATGGTACGAGACGGTGGGGAGGTGGACAAAGGCACTGGGCAAGTCTGGCCTGAGGGGTGAGGGGCCTAGCAGCCCTGGGCCCTTGTAACCAAGTCTGGGTGTTGTGGGAGGGGGGCTTAGGGTCACCCGGGGATGTTTCAAACCACACCTGCTCCCCAGAGCTTCTTAGTGAGAAGGTGCCAGGTGAGCTCTCTGTAGGCGGGGATGGGTGGAGAAAAGGTGGAACAGCAAGCTCAGGGCTTCAACATCAGGTGTAGCATCCAAGAGGCAAACATGCCTGAAACAGGGCCACAGTCCCTCTGATGGACCTAACCTGTCAGACAAGCTCCCAAGGCCTCCCTCCACTGTTGCCTGCTGCCTTTCCCTAGGGGGCACATGCTGGGACTGAGTAGATGCTGCGGGTCCCAGAGAACCTTCTCTCTCAGGCCAGCCCCTCGCCTCCCCCCGAGCCTCCCATTGTGTTGCCCGGGACGCAGTCCTCACGGCTCCACCCTGGTGACCCGGGTGTGGTGAAGCAGTCGCTCCAACAGAAAAATGCAGCCGAGGAAACGGCTGAGAAAGGAGAAAGGAGCTCTGTAAACCTGTGTCCTATAGAAGTTCCTACCCGTGAATTCCCTGGCTGCGTTCTCAGGCCACCACTTTTAAATGCTGAAAAGGAGCATGTTTTTCTTTTGGGTCACTTAAAAAACATTTTCATGGCTGGGCACGGTGGCTCATGCCTGTAATCCCAGCACTTTGGGAGGCCAAGATGGGTGGATCACCTGAGGTCAGCAGTTTGAGACCAGCGTGGCCAACATGGTGAAATCCCGTCTCTACTAAAAATACAAAAAATTAGCCGGGCATGGTGGCGGGTGCCTGTAATCCCAGCTACTTGGGAGGCTGAGGCAGGAGAATCATTTGAACCCAGGAGGCAGAGGTTGCAGTGAGCCGAGATCACACCATTGCACTCCAGCCTGGGCAACAAGAGCAAAACTCCATCTAAAAAAAACCCACATTTTCATGAATATCAGCCATCAACAATGCAGAAAGTAATAGACTAGTCTTCTGAATTATTAACCCTAGCAATTGTCACCAAGTGAAAACCTCGGTCACTAAAACTTCTTGGAATAGCATTCAAGGTCTTGCTTTAACACAAAACCCCAAAACTTGGCGGTACAAAACAACCATTTTCTGATGGATCGGGAATCCATGTCTGAAGTCTCAGCTAAGAAGACTCCAAGGCTGGGTTCCAGGCTGGAACTGCCTGGGGCATCTCCCCACACACACACTGGTACTTGGCTGGACCACCAGCAGGTTCTACTCCCCGTGTTTCTTCACAGTTTGTCAGTTGGGCTGATTTGGGTTTGCTCACAGAGTATCAGCCAAGATCCCAAGATCAAGTATCCAAAGAGAACCCGGTGGGACTTATATTTCCTTTTATGGCCTAGCCCTGGAATATGTGGCATCTCTCTGTCCATAGTCACAGAGGGAAGAAACAGATGGCATCTCTCAGTGGGGAACCAGAATCATATGGTTAAAAGAACACATGGGATGGACAGGTTGCCACCATTGTTGGCATACATTAATAAAGTCTGCCATGGGCCGGGTGCGGTGGCTCACGCCTGTAATCCCAGCACTTTGGGTGGCCGAGGCGGGCGGATCACGAGGTCAGGAGATCGAGACCATCCTGGCTAACACAGTGAAACCCCGTCTCTACTAAAAATACAAAAAAATTAGCCGGGCGTGGTAGCGGGCGCCTGTAGTCCCAGCTACTCGGGAGGCTGAGGCAGGAGAATGGCGTGAACCCAGGAGGCGGAGCTTGCAGTGAGCCGAGATCGCGCCACTGCACTCCAGCCTGGGCAACAGAGCGAGACTCTGTCTCAAAAAAAATAAAAAAATAAAAAAATAAAGTCTGCCATGGCACCCCATAGCATTTAGACACCCACCTTTCTAGCCCTACCTCCCACTTAGTGATTGTCTGTAAATACGCACGGCCTTACCTTGGCACTGAGAGAGATGCATGGCTGAGTAGGTGTCATCTCATCTGTAAGAAGCAATAGCAGAGGGGATGCAGAAGGAGCTGCTCTGTTCTGCTCATTGTCACCTGCTCCTCTGCACACCTTCCTTCATGCTCTTCCCTCAGCCTCTCCCCAGCTCACACCCCTTTATTTGAAACTCTGCTCATTTTTCAGGCCCTGCTTCAATGCCACCACCTCCGTGCAGCCTCCTCTGATGTTTGTCATTAGCTTAGCTCTTCCGTGTGTGCTCCTGCACCACTGATCCCTTCCACAACATGGACTGTCTGTGATGCACGTGTGCAGGATGCTGGGAATGCCCAGGTGGAAAGACACACGTGCTGCCCCCAGGAACTGACTGACTGGTAGGCACAGTACAGATACCAGTGGTGAGGACAGTGAGGATTCTTCCCTTCTGACCCTTTGCAGATGGTAAAGGAAGGAACTCGTCACCTAATTCCCCCGACTGCCCGTTAAGAACAAAATCCCTTGAAAAATTCCAAAAGCTTTAACTCTGATAACTGTTAAGGTACTAAACAAGAGGATAATGGGGCAAGGAAAATGGGGGCAGTGTAGTGCAGAAGTCTGACCCTCAAGAGCAGAGGAGCTTGGTCCTAGCCAGTTTGGTTTCAGGCCTACAGTGGCATTTGGTATTTTGAGCTCACCTCTCTTTTTCTCTTGGAGTGACTGCTTCCTGCATCTGCTGCATCTCCGTGGGCTCCCCTCAGACCCTCTTCTGAAGGCCTGGGGTGTCTCTCCTGCCACCATGCCTGTGTCTGCAGGTGCCTGCCACCAGCCCCAGTCTGCTGCACGGGCCCTGGCAAGTAGAAAGCACTTGCCTTCTGACCACACGGGGAGCTGAGGGTCAGAGACGGAACCAGGGCTCGACCCTCCACCTTGAAACCTTGAGATGGGGATGCTCCTCATTCTAGCCAGTTCCTCCTCAGCTCTCAAAACAAGGAACAGATGCTCAGGAAACCAGATCTGGACAAAAGTCATCTGAGCCTGGTGTGAGGCAGATTCCAGAAGTTTAGTTACAGACATCCTTTATAAGGAGACTTCATCGGGAATTCAAGACAACCTGGTGATTCATTGAAATTTGCCTGTGAAAGAGAATCTACATAGACTTCCTGCCACCTCTTGAGATGTGACAGTTGCTGACCCTCCCGCCACCACACAGGGCGAGCCCCTAGCCCTGAGCTTGAACCATGTTGCTTGCACAAATAGCTGGGTGATTTAGAAGTGAGGTCAGCTGTGCCAGCAGTTACAGGGTGGTGGTTGTCTGTAACTTTAATCCACTGACTGTTGTACTAGGGCAGTTTGGGCTAGACACTTTGGAGGAGCTCCTGTGAAGGGCATGAAGGCTCACTGTAGCAGCAGCTCAGTTGTCTTTCAGAGTTCTGCCCTTAGAGCTGGTTTGCAGTGCTCATCCTTCTTGCTGATATTTTAAAATAGGTAGAAACAGGCTGGGCGCGGTGACTCATGCCTTTAATCCCAGTACTTTGGGAGGCCTAGGTGGGCAGATCACCTGAGGTCAGGAGTTCGAGACCAGCCTGACCAACATGTTGAAACCCCGTCTCTACTAGAAATACAAAAATTAGCCAGGCGTGGTGGCGCGCACCTGTAATCCAGCTACTCAGGAGGCTGAGACAGGAGAATCGTTTGAAGACAGGAGAATCGTTTGAACCCAGGAGGTGGAGGTTGCAGTGGCAGTGAGCCAAGATACCGCCACTGCACTCTAGCCTGGGCAACAGAGCAAGACTCCATCTCAAAATAAATAAATAAATAAAAATAAAATAGGTAAAAACAAATTATAAAGTAATACAATTATGAACTGCAAATAATAAAACATAAAAATTACTTTAAAAAAATTTAAAGAGGCCGGGCACAGTGGCTTATGCCTGTAATCCCAGAAATTTGGGAGGCCGAGGCAGGAGGATCACTTGAGCCCGGGAGTCCAAGACCAGCCTCGTTAATATAATGAGAGCTTATCATCTCTACAAAAAATAAACAAAATTAGCCAGGCATGGTGGCATGTGCCTGTAGTTCCAGCTACTCAGGAGGCTGAGGTAGGAGGATCACTGGAGCCCAGGGGGTGGAGGAGCAGTAAGCCAAGATTCTGCCACTGCACTCCAGCCTGGCTGACAGAGTAAGACCCTATCTCAAAAAACAAAAAGCAGAAAGAACAAAGAAGTAAACAAAAGCTTAAAAGTAAATCAGCCAGGTGCAGTAGCTCATGCCTGTAATCCCAGTACTTTGGGAGGCCTAGGCAGGCAGATTACTGCAGGTCAAGAGTTTGAGACCAGCCTGGCCAACATGATGAAACCCTGTCTCTACTAAAACTACAAAAATTAGCCAGGCATGGTGGTGCGCACCTGTAATCCCAGCTACTCCGGAGGCTGAGACAAGAGAATCGCTTGAACCTAGGAAGTGGAGGTTGCAGTGGCAGTGAGCCAAGATAGCGCCACTGCACTCCAGCCTGGGCAACAGAGCAAGACTCCATATATGGAGATCCCTTGAGATCAAGAGTTCGAGACCAGCCTGGCCAACACGGCAAAACCCTGTCTCTACTAAAAATAAAAAAATTAGCCAGGCATGGTGGCGCACACCTGTAGTCCCAGCTACTGAGGAGGCTGAGACAAGAGAATCACTTGAACACAGAAGGCAAAGGTTGCAGTGAGCTGAGATTATGCCACCACACTCCAGCCTGGGTAACAGAGTGAGACTCCGTCTAAAAAAAAAAAAAAATCGGGCAGTTGTGATGGCTAACACCTGTAACCCCAGCACCTTTAGAGGCCCAGGTGGGAGGATCCCTTCAGGCCAAGAGTTTGAGATGAGCCTGGGTAACATAGGGAGAGCCTGCCTCTACAAAAAAAAAAATAATAAAAAAATAAAAATTAATGCGTGCGTGCTACTTGGGAGGCTGAGGTAGGAGGATTCCTTGAGCCCAGGAGTTTTGAGGTTACAGTGAGCTGTGATTGAGCCACTGCATTCTAGCCTGGGTGACAGTGAAACCCTGTCTCTAAAAAGTAAATAAATAAAAGTAAATAGTAACTAAAGTAAAACTCTAGAAACATTTACAGTTACTACAGAGGAACTTTAAAACAGTTTAAGCAATAAATACAAGAGGACTAAAAAACACAAAAGTTTTTACAATTTCTAACAGACTGCATCAATTGGCAAATTGATTCCATTTATGATTGTTAAAATAGGTGAATAAGATTAGATGACAAGATAACAAAAAAGGAATACGTTATTTATTTGTTTATTTCAGACAGAGTTTTGCTCTTGTTGCCCAGGCTGGAGTGCAATGGCATGATCTGGGCTCACTGCAACCTCTGTCTCCCTAGTTCAAGCAATTCTCCTGCCTCAGCCTCCCAAGTAGCTGAGATTACCGGCATGCGCCACCACGCCCAGCTAATTTTTTGCATTTTTAGTAGAGACGGAATTTCACCATGTTGGCCAGGCTGGTCTCAAACTCCTGACCTCAGGTGATTGACCCGCCTCAACCTCCCAAAGTGCTGGGATTACAGGTGTGAGCCACTGCACTGGGCCAAGAATAAGATTTTTAAAAACATTTTCGCATCTGGAGGCTCCAGGGGGCTTCCCTGAGAAACGGCAGCCTCTGCGGTCAGAGAGGCTGCAATTCAGAGCGTTCCCACAAACAGCACCATGTGCTCATGCTTACCTGCTTGGGTGTGTGAGTCACCTGGAGATGGGGTGCAGAAACATTGACATACCTGAGCTATCTTTCTTCCTCTGCCCTTTGCAGGTGTTTGATATACAGAGGAAAGTCACCTATAGGAACCTGAGCACCTGGTATACAGAGCTTCGGGAGTTCAGGCCAGAGATCCCATGCATCGTGGTGGCCAATAAAATTGATGGTGGGGCCATCCCTGCACCTGGGTGTTAGCAATTCACTGGGGACCTGCCCTCATACATTTCCTCCTCCATTCCCCGGGCAGGCAACCTTCAGTGATTGGTCCTCCCTCCCACGATAAGATACAACCCTTGGTTGGTTGCTTGCATTCTTCCCACCTTATAAAGAAGCCAGCTAAGCCGACCTGCCCTCTTTCCAAGACACAGATCCCTATTAACTGAGCTCTTTCTAGGACATGTTTCCCAATCATCCCTGCCTATCCCACTTTCTGGAATGAAGGCCTCCAGTGGCCCCCCCTCCAAACCTTCTTCCCTTCCCTTGACAGACCAATGTCCTACCTTCTCTCTACAGCAGACATAAACGTGACCCAAAAAAGCTTCAATTTTGCCAAGAAGTTCTCCCTGCCCCTGTATTTCGTCTCGGCTGCTGATGGTACCAATGTTGTGAAGGTGTGGTTGACTGCAGAGGTAGCTAGCAAGGTCAGGGCGCTAGGTGGTAAAGGGAAGCTGTGAAGAGAAGGGCTTACTGCAGGTGTGATGGAGAGAACTGGGACAGTGCATGGGCCTGGGTGGCAGGGAGGGGAGGAGCTGATGGGCCTGGACTTGATGAGGCAGAAGTCCATTGACCATACATAGGTCAGGGTGACGGGGAGAGGCAAATGGAGGGGTAAGGTTGCTGATTTTAGGAATGGAGTATTGTGTAGTCTCACAGTGGGGCCAGTGGGGTGGACTGGGCAGAGTCCAAGGCACTCTCATCCACCATCTCTACCTCACCCCCAGCTCTTCAATGATGCAATTCGATTAGCTGTGTCTTACAAACAGAACTCCCAGGACTTCATGGATGAGATTTTTCAGGAGCTCGAGGTAGGTCAGGTCCACATTTCGGGTGGGATGGAAGAAACGGCTCCTCTTCAGGGATAGGGACTACAACCCAGTAGAGTGACTCTTGCCTAAGTTTGCCCCACTAAATGTATCAGAGCTGCGGTTGAGCAAATGCAGGGCCAGGCCTCACCTGCGACCTTGTTCACAGAACTTCAGCTTGGAGCAGGAAGAGGAGGACGTGCCAGACCAGGAACAGAGCAGCAGCATCGAGACCCCATCAGAGGAGGTGGCCTCTCCCCACAGCTGAGGGGCTGGGGCTAGGGGTGGGTGGAGCCCTTTTAAAATACCCTTCCCTTCAACAACTCTCCAGCTCTGAATGGAGAAACTCTCTAGGCCATCCCCTCTTCTACCTCCTGCAACCCACCCATCCTATTAGCCTCCCACATTCAAGGCCCGTGATACAGGGATGAGGTCAGCACCAGCAAACTCTGGACTGGTGGAAGAATTCCCCACCAGATCTCCTTGAAGCAGAATTAGGGATCAGCATCATTAACACCTTCCCCACCCCCTCCCCCCAGGCAGACAGTGAAGAGAATCAGAAAACATGATTATGTGTCACTTTAATACAGGAAATTTAGGTGTTTTTTGGTGTTTTTGTTTTTGTTTTCTTTCCAAAGCTCACCTCGGGGACAATTCCTTGGGCTTCTCCTGAGGTAATGATTACCCCCCCACCCACAGCTGAGTCTGTGAGGCCCCATCCTTTCCCTACGTTTTCTCCCATCTTTTTTCCTCTTCAATCTCCCAGTCATCTGGTTTGTTTGTTTCTTTGTTCGTCCTGAGACGGAGTCTCGCTCTGTCGCCAGGCTGGAGTGCAGTGGCGCAGTCTCGGCTCGCTGCAACCTCTGACTCCCTGGTTCAAACGATTCTCCTGCCTCAGCCTCCCGAGTGGCTGGCATCACCACGCCCAGCTAATTTTTGTATTTTTAGTAGAGACGGGGTTTCACCATGTTGCCCAGGATGGTCTCGATCTCCTCACCTCGTGATCCGCCCGCCTCGGCCTCCCAAAGTGCTGGGATTACAGGCATGAGCCACCGCGCCCGGCCCCAATCATCTGTTTTTAAACAATCGTTTTTGAGCAGATAGCTATTCATTCCAGATTTCCGTGTACCCACTCTGTTTCAGGAGCTCTTCTAGGTAAAGCTGAGATCACAGGAACAGCAGGTGACAGGCCTAGCTATAGTTAGGAATACACAAGCGGTAAAATCGAGTCCTTACAGCCATACCACAAGGTACGTCCATTTGGACTACAAGAAGAGCTTCCTTTAAAGTTCCTATTTCAGCATAAAGAGGCTGTCCTTTTTTTTTAGGAATAGTTTGGACCTTGTGCCTCCTGTGGGAGGCTGAGGACTGCAAGAGGAGAGCTAGCAGATATGCCTGTTCACCCCTCTCTGGTACTTGTGGCTTGCTAGTATGTTTTTATGATAATCTCGGGCATTGTTTGCATTGTGTTTATTAATAGGGTTTTGTTTTTATTGTTTCCTTTTTTACAGTAAAGGCTGAATGACATAAACATTGAGTAAATGTATGTGCTTTGTGGCTCTGAAGTGTGTACTGAGCAAAAAGACAAAAGAATCTGCAAATCATCACCCTTATCAATGAAGGGTAGCTGCCTTGACCTGTTGCAGGGTAGCCCATGTTTACTCTCAATTCACTATATTGGAGGCCATTTCAGTGGAATTTAGTGTTTTCAAAAGAATTCAATTACCTATTAATTTGGGAGCTCAAGAACAAGTACATTTCCCCTTGAAATCAGCAATACTTAGATGTTCAACGTAAGATGTTTGACCTGACCAGGGGTTCCCAGGAACGTATACCCTGATGAGGTAGAACTTAAAAAAATGTAGTTACTGTAAATAACTACTAAGTACTTTAAAAAAAATACAACAGCCTTACTGAGATAGAATTTGCAGACTATAAAGTTCACCATCGTGTTGGTTTTATGGGACTATTCTGTATCAGGTTCCTTAGAAGCTGACCCTGAGAAGGCCGTGGTTCAAATGACTTAATTAGGGTCATTCTCAGAAGAGTGAGGGGGGCAGGAGACAAGAAGCTCAGCAAGGTTGTGGTCTCAGCTGGAGGCCGGCTTCACCACCCCACCCCGTCCCAGGGAAGCTCTGGAGGGCAAATTGCCCTCCAGAGTTAGTCCTACCTCAAGACCAGGGGCCTTTTGTGCCCTTCAGCCAAGGGTGTGAGGTGGAAGGGGGCCTTCTGTTTCAGTAAGGTCAGTTCTCTGGGGAAAAGGGTAACTGTGCGCTTCCAACTCAAAGCAATTGGAGGATGAATGTTTAGGCAGGGTGCCAGCAACATCCACAAGCCACCCATGTGTACATTGCTCAGATCCACCTGCTTCTTAAAGTTCATTCCATCCAGGTAGAGCTGCTCCATGTTTCTAACTGGTCACCAGTCCTGGGGGAATGTACAAGAGAAGGGTCAATGGGAAAGGACAAACCATAGCCCCTGCTATTGTAGTTGGACCCCATGCAGAGACTGATACTTGTCACCTCTCATTCTCTGGCTAGCACTTTTGCTGGTCTAGGTTGTTTGCCTGGGGGGTTGATCCTGCTCCTCTTGCCTAATGGGGTATGAGCCCCTGCTTACTATGCCTTTATGAGGCGGTGGTTGTTAACACTTACATAGTTATATCTAAACATGCAAGTACCAAGAGACAGCATGAATCATCTGAGTACCAAATACAGTGCTCCTTCCTATTATTATCTGGCAACATCCTTTCTTCCTAATGACGATTACAGGCAATCACCTCTTTCCAGAATGCTAACTCTGCTTGCCAGTTACAAGCGCATGGACTGTCTAGGAAGCAGCCATAGCTTTGTGTTTAGTGAAACTCTTACTGTATCACTTGGTGGAAATGCCTCCCCCACTCCCCACACTGCCACTCACAGAGTCCAAGACTTCAGCTCACAGAGCCTAAAGCTGTAGACACAAACACAGATTCCCCAAGTGTGTCACTGAGAGTGCTAGCGAGCGGGGCGCTCCTATGTCCACTCCTTGGTTACTAGACATGTTGGGGACATAAAACCATATAATGAATATTAAGTTGTATATCACATCATGAAGGACCCCATCCTTACAGGGTATCATATCCGAGATCGACATCTCTGCTATCCACAAAGATAGGAAAGACTCAGAAGTGGAGTGACATCAGGAAAATGGCAGAGTAGACAGCTCCAAACTCCTGTCCCTCTACAGAAACATGGAGAAAAAGCAGCAGAAACTTTACCAGAACTCTGGAAAACAGTAAAAGACTTATATCAATCAGGAAAGCCCTGAAATGAGGAAAGGGCAACTTCAAAGTGACAGAAAAGTGGTGTGGCATTTTCACTTGCCCTTGCCCCACCCCTTCATCAGCTTGATGGTGATCTTGAAGATAGTAGTCCATTTTCCCAATTTAGGACCCAGGTCCCAGGTTCCAGAGGGAGCAAGGCAGACCTTATTCACAAATGACTTTGTTTGTCTATTCTAACCGGTCAGAAACGATCTGAGAGACTAAAATGAGGCATTTGTCTGTTTTGCCCAAGTCTGAATCCACTCAAGGTAGAAAAGTGGCAGGCATTGCTTAAAAACATTCTGAGATGACCAAAAAACCCACAGCTCCCTGGGACAAAAAGTTGTGGTTCAGACATACAATATATTACATAAAGCCTGGGAGGAAAATCTGGGAGAGTTTCTTTGGGAAATCAGGACATTCAAAAAATACTTGTGTTTATTGGGGATTTCAAATGTCATGCACATACCCAGGGCAGGTCACGCATTCAGGAAAGATCTGAGAAGACCCTAAGCTTTTTCCTTTGGAAGATCTCTAGGTCCAGGGTTATCAAGAAGTGAAGGCTAAGACAGAGTTGTTAATATCCTGGTTAGGTGTTGAAGGAATGCCCCAGCACAAAGCCAATCTGCAAAGATTGAAAGAGATGCTTAAAAAAATTTTTTTTTTCAACCACGGATGAATACATAAAGAAAATGTGGCATATACGTACAATGGAACATCATTCAGCCTTTTTAAAAAAGGAAATCCTGGCCTGGCGCAGTGGCTCACGCCTGTAATCCCAGCACTTTGGGAGGCCGAGGCCAGCGGATCACAAGGTCAGGAGATCGAGACCATCCTGGCTACGGTGAAACCCCATCTCTACTAAAAATACAAAAAAAAAAAAAAAAAAAAACTAGCCAGGCATGGTGGCGGGCACCTGTAGTCCCAGCTACTTGGGAGGCTGAGGCAGGAGAATGGCGTGAACCCAGAAGGCAGAGCTTGCAGTGAGCCTAGATCACGCCACTGCACTCCAGCCTGGGCAACAGAGCGAGACTCAGTCTCAAAATAAAATAAAATAAAATAAAATAAAAAGGAAATCCTTCCATTTGCAGCAAATATACTAAGTTAAAGAAGCCGGACACAGTAGGACAGATACTACATGATCTCACTTACATAAGGAATCTAAAATATTCAAACTGAGAAGCAGAGAGTAGAATGGTGGTTGCCAAGGGCTAGGGGGAGGAGGAAACAAGCAGGCATTGCTCATTGGGTGCAAAGCTTCAGCTATGCCGGAGGGATGAGTCCTAGAGACCTCCTGTACAGCATAGTGACTATAGTTAACAACACTGTATTACATACTTAAAGATTTACTGGAAATAGATCTTATGTTAAGTGTCCTTATCACAAAACATGAGAATTAGAAATGAAGAGAGAGGGAGCAAACTTTTTGAAGTGATGAATATGTTTATGGCATTCATTGTGGTGACGTTTTTATGGGTATATACTTATTTCAAACTCATCAAGTGGTATACCTTAAATATGTATATCGATAAAATGGTTTTTAAAAATACATGAAGCAAATGCACATTTCTCCAAAGAAAATATACAAATGGCCGATAAGTACATGAAAAGATGCTCAACATCATTAGTCATGAGAGAAATGCAAATCAAAACCAGAATGAGATGCCACTTACTGGTAATGAAAAAGATAATAGCAAGTGTTAATGAGGCTGTGGAGAAATCGGAACCCTTATACACTGCTGAGGAGGAAGTAAAATAGTGCAGGCACTTTGGAAAACAGTTTGGCAGTCCTGGAATGGTGAAATATCGAGTTAACCATATGATCCTGCAAATCTACTCCTAGGTATACACTCAAGAGAAATGAGAACATGTGCTCACAGAAAAGCTTGTATATGAGTGGTTATAGCAGCACTATCCATAATAACCAAAAAGCTGGAAATAATCCAAATATCCATAAAATGTGGTATATCCACACGATGAAATATTACTCAAAAATACAAAGAAATGAAGTGCTAATATGTGCTACAACATGGATGAAACTGAAAAAAAAGTATGTTGAATGAAAGACGCCACGTATAAAGCACCGCAGGTTGTGCGATTTCATTAATATGAAATGTCCAGAACAGGCAAATCTACAGAGACAGAAAGATTACTGAACAGAAAGATTACAGACAAAAATAACAGATAGTGGTTGTTTAGGGTGGGGGGGTTGCCGGTGAAGTTGGGAAGGAATTTGGTGGGGGCCAGGAAGCTAAGGGTACAGATTTTCAAGTAACGAGAATACTTTAAAATTAATTGTGGGTGGGTGCAGTGGCTCACGCCTGTAATCTCAGCACTTCGGGAGGCCAAGGAGGGCAGATCACTTGAGGCCAGGAATTCAAGACCAGCATGGCCGACATGGCAAAACCCCGTCTTTACTAAAAACATTAAAATTAGCTGGGTGTGGCGGCACATGACTGTAGTCCCAGTTACTAGGGAGGCTGAGATGAAAGGATCGCTTAAGCCCAAGAGTTCAAGGCTGCAGTGACCTATGATTGCACCACTACACTCCAGCTGGGATGACAGAATGAGACCCTGCCTCTAAATAAAATAAATACATAAATAAATAAGAGAAGTCCAGCAGCATATTAAAAGGATAATACACATGACTAAAGTGGAGTTTATCCCAGGAGTGCAATGTCAGTTAAACATTTAAAAATTATTTAATGGGGCCGGGCGCGGTGGCTCACGCCTGTAATCCCAGCACTTTGGGAGGCCGAGGCGGGCGGATCACGAGGTCAGGAGATCGAGACCATCCTGGCTAACACAGTGAAACCCTATCTCTACTAAAAAATACAAAAAAAATTAGCCGGGCATGGTGGCGGCCACCTGTAGTCCCAGCTACTCGGGAGGCTGAGACAGGAGAATGGCATGAACCCGGGAGGCGGAGCTTGCAGTGAGCTGAGATCGCACCACTGCACTCCAGCTCGGGCGACAGAGTGAGACTCCGTCTCAAAAAAAAAAAAAAATTAATGGGCCTGGGCACGGTGGCTCACGCCTGTAATCCCAGCACTTTGGGAAGTCAAGGTGGGCGGATCCCGAGGTCAGGAGTTCGAGACCAGCCTGGCCAACATGGTGAAACCCCGTCTCTACTAAAAATACAAAAAATTAGCCAGGCGTGGTCGTGGGCGCCTATAGTCCCAGCTACTCGGGAGGCTGAAGCAGGAGAATCGCTTGAACCCACGAGGGGGAGGTTGCAGTGAGCTGAGATCACACGCCACTGCACTCTAGCCTGAGCCACAGTGCAAGATTCTGTCTCAAAAAAAAAAAAAGTATTGGAAGCAAGAAAAGGATAAACTAAATCTTGCGGTACTGGATAAGAGGTGAAAGTATTATCGTGAACTCTCATTTAGCTTTATATATATATAAAATGGATAGATACAAAAACAATAATAGATACATGTGTGTACATGGGTTAGTATACAACATATATTACCTAACTGTCTCATCCAGCTTTGAGGGCTTAGAAGTAATACATCTCAGTATTGACAAGCACACCCAGTGTCCAGATCTTAGTTTCTAAAAAAACACTTTCCAGTGAAAAAACCAGATTACTTTAGAGAAATGGTGGATTCCAGGGTTGAAGCAGGGGAAATGCAAAATGAGCCTGTAGCACCTATTATATCAGAAAGGAAGGATGTGCTCAACAAATTAAATGAAGCCGGGAATGAAGCCACGGGTGCAATGGCTCACACCTGTAATCCCAGCACTTTGGAAGGCAGAGGTAGGAGGATTGCTTGAGGCCGGGAGTTCAAGACCACACCAGCCTGGGCTGTAACATAGAAAGAACCTATCTCCATAAAATAAAAATAAATTAGTAATAATTTTTTAATTTAAAAAATGATGAAGGCATGTCAAAGGGACTCAAGAGCCAATATGAAAGGGCTCCCAATGGGCAAAGCTGGAAAAATGTGAGCAACAAATTATATAATGTCATATTGGTTTATAGTCCACTGTATAAAATAAATATACATTAGGGATCTACACTAATATAATGAATAGATGAATAATAAGAGACAAATCTTTCATACAGAAAAATTAAAAATACTATGTGTAACTCCTGCCATCTGCAGGGGGTGGAGCCAACACCCCCAACCACCATCACTACAGAGAATGGGCTGGACTGAGTGGCTCACTTCTAAAGAAGCACTTATAGAAAGCGAACAGTGATGAAACCCAGAAAACACTGCCCTGACCAACGGATCAAGGTTAATGTCATCACTGTTGTCATATGTATGTTGTAGACTCCTGATAGGATGTGATGAGGATAATTTGTCTCTATGAGACTTTTTCCCAAAATTCATAATCCCAATATAATCATGAGAAAAATATTACACAAATTCAAATGGAGGGATATTCTACAAAATACCTAACTATCCCTCAAATTTGTCAAGGTCATATAAGAGCAAAGAAAGACTGAGAAATAGTCTCAAACTAGAGGATTAAATCTGTAACAATCTGTGACTACTATAAATCTAAAGTTGTTCTAAAATAGTTTATTTAATACACCAGATTAACTAAGTAAAAACAGAAAAATTACATGATCATCTCAATAAATGTAGGAAAAGCTGGCAAAATTCAACACTCATTACTGTGTAAAAAATAAAAATATAAACCTCTTAGCAAAAATATAAACCTCTATATTTTTCTTAGAGAATAAAATATCCTCAGCCTAATAAATGGTATTTGTGAAAAACCCACAGTTAACATCACACTTAATGGCAACAGACTGAAGCTTTTCATGCTTAAGCTCAGGAACAAGAATGTCCACTCTCACCACTTCCATTCAGCATTGTACTGTGAAATAAGGCAAGAAAAACAAGGGCTTTCAGATAGAAAAACATAAATAAGGTTGGGCGTGGAGGCTCACACCTGTAACCCCAGCACTTTGGGAGGCCGAGTTGGGTGGTTCACCCGAGGTCAGGAGTTCAAGACCAGCCTGGCCAACATGGTGAAACCCAATCTCTACTAAAAATACAAAAATTAGCCAGGCGTTCTGGCACATGCCTGTAGTCCCAACTACTCGTGAGACTGAGGTAGGAGAATCACTTGAACCTGGGAGGCAGAAGTTGCAGTGAGCCAAGATTGTGCCACTGCACGCCAGCCTGGAAGACAGAGCGAGACTCCATCTCAAAAATAAAGAAAGAAATAACACTGTCTTTATTCACAGAAGACTTGATTGTCTATGTTGAAATCCAGTGGCAGCTACAGAGCACCAGAATTAATAAATGAACTTGGCATGGTTTCAAGATACATGGGAACCACACAAAAATCAATTGTATTTCTGTATACTGGCAGTCAACAATTGAATATCAGAATACGAAATATTGAGAAATAATTCTGACAAAATATGTGAAAAACCTGCACACTCAAAATTACAAAACATTGCTGAGAGAAATTGAAGCAGCCCTAAATAAATGAATAGATACCCTGAGCTCATGACTCAGAGGACACAGTACCCTAAATAAATGAATAGATACCCTGAGCTCATGACTCAGAGGACACAGTACCCTAAATAAATGAATAGATACCCTGAGCTCATGACTCAGAGGACACAGTACCCTAAATAAATGAATAGATACACTGAGCTCATGACTCAGAGGACGCAGTACCCTAAATAAATGGATACACTGAGCTCATGACTCAGAGGACGCAGTACCCTAAATAAATGAATAGATACACTGAGCTCATGGCACAGAGGACACAGTACCCTAAATAAATGAATGGATACCCTGAGCTCATGACTCAGAGGACACAGTACCCTAAATAAATGAATAGATACCCTGAGCTCATGACTCAGAGGACGCAGTACTCTAAATAAATGAATAGATACCCTGAGCTCATGACTCAGAGGACACAGTACCCTAAATAAATGAATAGATACCCTGAGCTCATGACTCAGAGGACGCAGTACCCTAAATAAATGAATAGATACCCTGAGCTCATGACTCAGAGGACGCAGTACCCTAAATAAATGAATAGATACCCTGAGCTCATGACTCAGAGGACGCAGTACCCTAAATAAATGAATAGATACACTGAGCTCATGACTCAGAGGACGCAGTACCCTAAATAAATGAATAGATACCCTGAGCTCATGACTCAGAGGACGCAGTACCCTAAATAAATGAATAGATACCCTGAGCTCATGACTCAGAGGACGCAGTACCCTAAATAAATGAATAGATACACTGAGCTCATGACTCAGAGGACGCAGTACCCTAAATAAATGAATAGACACACTGAGCTCATGACTCAGAGGACACAGTACCCTAAATAAATGGATACACTGAGCTCATGACTCAGAGGACACAGTACCCTAAATAAATGAATAGATACCCTGAGCTCATGACTCAGAGGACACAGTACCCTAAATAAATGAATAGATACCCTGAGCTCATGACTCAGAGGACGCAGTACCCTAAATAAACGAATAGATAGCCTGAGCTCATGACTCAGAGGACGCAGTACCCTAAATAAATGAATAGATACCCTGAGCTCATGACTCAGAGGACGCAGTACCCTAAATAAATGAATACATACCCTGAGCTCATGACTCAGAGGACGCAGTACCCTAAATAAATGAATAGATACCCTGAGCTCATGACTCAGAGGACGCAGTACCCTAAATAAATGAATACATACCCTGAGCTCATGACTCAGAGGACGCAGTACCCTAAATAAATGAATAGATACCCTGAGCTCATGACTCAGAGGACGCAGTACCCTAAATAAATGAATAGATACCCTGAGCTCATGACTCAGAGGACGCAGTACCCTAAATAAATGAATAGATACACTGAGCTCATGACTCAGAGGACGCAGTACCCTAAATAAATGAATAGATACCCTGAGCTCATGACTCAGAGGACGTAGTACCCTAAATAAATGAATAGACACACTGAGCTCATGACTCAGAGGACACAGTAACCTAAATAAATGGATACACTGAGCTCATGACTCAGAGGACACAGTACCCTAAATAAATGAATAGATACCCTGAGCTCATGACTCAGAGGACACAGTACCCTAAATAAATGAATGGATACCCTGAGCTCATGACTCAGAGGACACAGTACCCTAAATAAACGAATAGATACACTGAGCTCATGATTCAGAGGACGCAGTACCCTAAATAAACGAATAGATACCCTGAGCTCATGACTCAGAGGACGCAGTACCCTAAATAAATGAATAGATACCCTGAGCTCATGACTCAGAGGACACAGTACCCTAAATAAATGAATAGATACCCTGAGCTCATGACTCAGAGGACACAGTACCCTAAATAAATGAATAGATACCCTGAGCTCATGACTCAGAGGACGCAGTACCCTAAATAAATGAATAGACACACTGAGCTCATGACTCAGAGGACACAGTACCCTAAATAAATGGATACACTGAGCTCATGACTCAGAGGACACAGTACCCTAAATAAATGAATAGATACCCTGAGCTCATGACTCAGAGGACACAGTACCCTAAATAAATGAATAGATACCCTGAGCTCATGACTCAGAGGACGCAGTACCCTAAATAAATGAATAGACACACTGAGCTCATGACTCAGAGAACACAGTAACCTAAATAAATGGAAACACTGAGCTCATGACTCAGAGGACACAGTACCCTAAACAAATGAATAGATACCCTGAGCTCATGACTCAGAGGACATAGTACCCTAAATAAATGAATAGATACCCTGAGCTCATGACTCAGAGGACGCAGTACCCTAAATAAATGAATAGATACCCTGAGCTCATGACTCAGAGGACGCAGTACCCTAAATAAATGAATAGATACCCTGAGCTCATGACTCAGAGGACGCAGTACCCTAAATAAATGAATAGATACCCTGAGCTCATGACTCAGAGGACGCAGTACCCTAAATAAATGGATACACTGAGCTCATGACTCAGAGGACGCAGTACCCTAAATAAATGAATAGATACCCTGAGCTCATGACTCAGAGGACGCAGTACCCTAAATAAATGAATAGATACCCTGAGCTCATGACTCAGAGGACGCAGTACCCTAAATAAATGAATAGATACCCTGAGCTCATGACTCAGAGGACGCAGTACCCTAAATAAATGGATACACTGAGCTCATGACTCAGAGGACGCAGTACCCTAAATAAATGAATAGATACCCTGAGCTCATGACTCAGAGGACGCAGTACCCTAAATAAATGAATAGATACCCTGAGCTCATGACTCAGAGGACGCAGTACCCTAAATAAATGAATAGATACACTGAGCTCATGACTCAGAGGACGCAGTACCCTAAATAAATGAATAGATACCCTGAGCTCATGACTCAGAGGACGCAGTACCCTAAATAAATGAATAGATACCCTGAGCTCATGACTCAGAGGACGCAGTACCCTAAATAAATGAATAGATACCCTGAGCTCATGACTCAGAGGACACAGTACACGAAATAAATGAATAGATACACTGAGCTCATGACTCAGAGGACGCAGTATTGTTAGGGTGTCATGTCTTCCCAAATTGACCTGCAAATTCAACACAATCCAATGAAAACATCAGCAGATTCTTTTAAGTTAATTCTTTCAATTGGCAAGCAAAAATTGTATATATTTCTGATATACAACATGATGTTTTGATATATGTATCCATTGTGGAATGGCTAAATCAAGCTATTTAACATTATCTCACATAATTATCATTTCATTTTCTTTATAGTAAAAACACTTAAAATCCACTCTCTTGGCAATTTTTATGTGTACAATACATTGTTATTAACTATAGTCACCATGATGTGTAATACATGTCTTGAACTTACTGCTCCTGAATAACTGAAATTTTGTGTCCTTTGACCAAAGTCTCCCAATCTTCCCACCCCCCAGCCTCTGGAAACCACCATTTTACTCTGTTTCTATGACTTAGACTTTACTACATTCCACATATAAGTGACATCATGCAGCATGTATCTTTCCGTATCTGGCTTATTTCACCTAATGTCCTCCAGTTCATCCACATTTTCACAAATAATAAAATCTCCTTTTGATGGCTATGTAGTATTCCTCTGTGTATATATATCACATTTTCTTGATCCATTCATCTTGTTGATGGATGCTTAGGTTGATACCATATCTTGGCTATTGTTAACAGTGCTGCAATGAACAAAGGAATGCAAATATTTCTTTAACGTACTGATTTCCTGTTGAAATCTATATTCCTTTAGATGTATACCCAGTAATGGGATTTCTGAATCTCAGCAGAATTTTTTTTTTTTTTTTGAGACGGAATCTCGCTCTGTTGTCCAGGCTGGAGTGCAGTGGCACAATCTCGGCTCACTGCAAGCCCTGCCTCCCGGGTTCACGCCGTTCTCCTGCCTCAGCCTCCTGAGTAGCTGTGATTACAGGCGTGCACCACCATGTCCGGCTAATTTTTGTATTTTTAGTAGAGATGGGGTTTCACCTTGTTAGCCAGGATGGTCTCGATCTCCTGACCTCATGATCCACCCACCTCGGCCTCCCAAAGTGCTGGGATTACTGGCATGAGCCGCCGAGCCCGGCCAGAATTTTTATTGTAGAAATCAACAGACTGATGCTAAAACTCATATGGAAAAATATAAAGGACCTAAACCCGCCAAAACAGCTTTAAGAAAACACAGATGTTGGAAGATGTATACTACCTGATTTCCAGACTTATTATAAACCCATTTGCAGTAAGATGGTGTGGTACTGGTGTCAAGATAAACAAATACATGAAAGGAACAAAATAGCTCAAAAGCAGAACCAGACATATATGAACGACTGATTTTCTTCAGAGGTACAAAGGCATTTCAATGGAAAAAGGAAAATCTTTTCAACATATAGTGCTGGAGCAATTGGACATCATATACCAAAGAATTTTCAGCCGGGCACGATGGCTCATGCCTATAATCCCCAGCACTCTGGGAGGCTGAGATGGGCAGATCACCTGAGGTCAGGATTTCAAGACCAGCCTGACCAACATGGTGAAACCCCATCTCTACTAAAAATACAAAAAAATTAGCCACGCGTGGTGGTGAGTGCCTGTAATCACAGCTACTCAGGAGGTTGAGGTAGGAGAATCACTTGAACCCGGGAGGCAGAGGTTGCAGTGAGCTGAGATCATGCCACTGCACTCCAGCCTGGGCAACAAGAGTGAAACTATGTCTCAGGAAAAAAAAAAAAAAAAATTCAATCCAAGTTCATGCGAAATACAAAAATTAACTCAAAATGGATCATAAACCTAAGTGAAAAACCTAAAATTCTAACATTTCTAGAATAAAACATAAAAGAACATTTTTGTGACCTTGGGTTAAGCAAAAATCTCTTAGATCACACACCAAAAGCATGATCCATGATTTCAAGATACATGATAACCACACAAAAATCAACTGTATTTCTGTATACTAGGAATCAACAATTGAGTATCAGAATATGAAATACTTATAAATAATTCTGATAAATAAATAATTCTGACAAAATATGTGAAAAACCTGCACACTCAAAACTATAAAACATTGCTGAGAGAACTGAGGAAGTCCTAAATAAATGAATAGATATACCAAATAATATGTAACAATAAAGAATAAAGTGATTAGTTGTACTCCCTCAAAGTTTAAAACTGCTGAGCTCCAAAAGACACCATTTAGAGAATTAAAAAGCAAGCTCTGACTTGGAGAAGACATTTACAATGCATACAGCTGACAAAGAACTTACACTCAGCATGTAAAAAGAACTCTCAAAACTCTATAAAAAGATGACAACAGAAGTTTTTAAATAGGCAAGAGATTTGAACAGACACTTCCCCAAAGAAGATATATGGATGACAATGAGCACAGGAAATATGCTTAACATCACCAGTCATTAAGCAAATGCAAATTAAAACCACAGTGAAATATTATCACACACCTATCAGAATGACTAAAATTAAAAAGACTGACCAGGGGGGTGGAGCCAAGATGGCCCAATAGGAACAGCTCCGGTCTACAGCTCCCAGCGTGAGCGACGCAGAAGACGGGTAATTTCTGCATTTCCATCTGACGGTTCATCTCACTAGGGAGTGCCAGACAGTGGGCGCAGGACAGTGGGTGCAGCGCACCGTGCACGAGCTGAAGCAGGGCGAGGCATTGCCTCACTCGGGAAGTGCAAGGGGTCAGGGAGTTCCCTTTCTGAGTCAAAGAAAGGGGTGACGGACGCACCTGGAAAATCGGGTCACTCCCACCCAAATACTGTGCTTTTCCTGCGGGCTTAAAAAACGGCGCACCACGAGATTATATCCCGCACCTGGCTCGGAGGGTCCTACGCCCACGGAGTCTCGCTGATTGCTAGCACAGCTGTCTGAGATCAAACTGCAAGGCGGCAGCGAGGCTGGGGGAGGGGCACCCGCCATTGCCCAGGCTTGCTTAGGTAAACAAAGCAGCCGGGAAGCTCGAACTGGGTGGAGCCCACCACAGCTCAAGGAGGCCTGCCTGCCTCTGTAGGCTCCACCTCTGGGGGCAGGGCACAGACAAACAAAAAGACAGCAGTAACCTCTGCAGACTTAAATGTCCCTGTCTGACAGCTTTGAAGAGAGCAGTGGTTCTCCCAGCACGCAGCTGGAGATCTGAGAACCGGCAGACTGCCTCCTCAAGTGGGTCCCTGACCCCCGTGCAGCCTAACTGGGAGGCACCCCCCGCAGCAGGGGCAGACTGACACCTCACATGGCCGGGTACTCCAACAGACCTGCAGCTGAGGGTCCTGTCTGTTAGAAGGAAAACTAACAAAAAGAAAGGACATCCACACCAAAAACCCTTCTGTACATCACCATCATCAAAGACCAAAAGTAGATAAAACCACAAAGATGGGGACAAAACAGAACAGAAAAACTGGAAACTCTAAAAAGCAGAGCGCCTCTCCTCCTCCAAAGGAACACAGCTCCTCACCAGCAACGGAACAAACCTGGACGGAGAATGACTGACGAGCTGAGAGAAGAAGGCTTCAGATGATCAAATTACTCCAAGCTACAGGAGGAAATTCAAACCAATAGCAAAGAAGTTAAAAACTGTGAAAAAAAAATTAGACGAATGGATAACTAGAATAACCAATGCAGAGAAGTCCTTAAAGGAGCTGATGGAGCTGAAAGCCAAGGCTCGAGAACTACGTGAAGAATGCAGAAGCCTCAGGAGCCGATGCGATCAACTGGAAGAAAGGGTATCAGTGATGGAAGACGAAATGAATGAAATGAAGCAAGAAGGGAAGTTTAGATAAAAAAGAATAAAAAGAAACGAACAAAGCCTTCAAGAAATATGGGACTATGTGAAAAGACCAAATCTACATCTGATTGGTGTACCTGAAAGTGACGGGGAGAATGGAACCAAGTTGGAAAACACTCTGCAGGATATTATCCAGGAGAACTTCCCCAATCTAGCAAGGCAGGCCAACATTCAGATTCAGGAAATACAGAGAATGCCACAAAGATACTCCTGGAGAAGAGCAACTCCAAGACACATAATTGTCAGAATCACCAAAGTTGAAATGAAGGAAAAAATGTTAAGGGCAGCCAGAGGGAAAGGTTGGGTTCCCCACAAAGGGAAGCCCATCAGACTAACAGCGGATCTCTCGTCAGAAACTCTACAAGCCAGAAGAGAGTGGGGGCCAATATTCAACATTCTTAAAAGAATTTTCAGCTTTCCACAGCGCGGGGGAACCGGAGGCTGCAGGATGGTCAAGCTGACGGCGGAGCTGATCGAGCAGGCGGCGCAGTACACCAACGCAGTGCGCGACCGGGAGCTGGACCTCCGGGGGTATAAAATTCCCGTCATTGAAAATCTAGGTGCTACGTTAGACCAGTTTGATGCTATTGATTTTTCTGACAATGAGATCAGGAAACTGGATGGTTTTCCTTTGTTGAGAAGACTGAAAACATTGTTAGGGAACAACAACAGAATATGCCGTATAGGTGAGGGACTTGATCAGGCTCTGCCCTGTCTGACAGAACTCATTCTCACCAATAATAGGCTCGTGGAACTGGGTGATCTGGACCCTCTGGCATCTCTCAAATCGCTGACTTACCTAAGTATCCTAAGAAATCTGGTAACCAATAAGAAGCATTACAGATTGTATGTGATTTATAAAGTTCCGCAAGTCAGAGTACTGGATTTCCAGAAAGTGAAACTAAAAGAGCGTCAGGAAGCAGAGAAAATGTTCAAGGGCAAACGGGGTGCACAGCTTGCAAAGGATATTGCCAGGAGAAGCAAAACTTTTAATCCAGGTGCTGGTTTGCCAACTGACAAAAAGAAAGGTGGGCCATCGCCAGGGGATGTAGAAACAATCAAGAATGCTATAGCAAATGCTTCAACTCTGGCTGAAGTGGAGCGGCTGAAGGGGTTGCTGCAGTCTGGTCAGATCCCTGGCAGAGAACGCAAATCGGGGCCCACTGGTGATGGTGAAGAAGAGATGGAAGAAGACACAGTCACAAACGGGTCCTGAGCAGTGAGGCAGATGTATGATAATAGGCCCTCTTGGAACAAGTCTTGCTTTTCGAACATGGTATAATAGCCTTGTTTGTGTTAGCAAAGTGGAATCTATCAGCATTGTTGAAATGCTTAAGACTGCTGCTGATAATTTTGTAATATAAGTTTTGAAATATAAATGTCAATTTTCTACAAATTATAAAAATAAACTCCACTCACTGTGCTACCAAAAAGAGAAAAAGAAAAGAATTTTCAACCTAGAATTTCATATCCAGCCAAACTAAGCTTCATAAGTGAAGGAGAAATAAAATGCTTTACAGACAAGCAAATGCTGAGAGATTTTGTCACCACCAGGCCTGCCCTAAAAGAGCTCCTGAAGGAAGCATTAAACATGGAAAGGAACAACCGGTACCAGCCACTGCAAAAACATGCCAAAATGTAAAGACCATCAAGGCTAGGAAGAAACTGCAGCAACTAACGAGCAAAATAACCAGCTAACATCATAATGACAGGACCAAATACACACATAACAATATTAACTTTAAGTGTAAATGGGCTAAATGCTCCAATTAAAAGACACAGACTGGCAAATTGGATAAAGAGTCAAGACCCATCAGTGTGCTGTATTCAGGAAACCCATCTCACATGCAGAGACACACATAGGCTCAAAATAAAGGGATGGAGGAAGATCTACCAAGCAAATGGAAAATAAAAAAAGGCAGGGGTTGCAATCCTAGTCCCTGATAAAACAGACTTTAAACCAACAAAGATCAAAAGAGACAAAGAAGGCCCGTTACATAATGGTAAAGGGATCAATTCAACAAGAAGAGCTAACTATCCTAAATATACATGCACCCAATACAGGAGCACCCAGATTCATAAAGCAAGTCCTTAGTGACTACAAAGAGACTTAGACTCCCACACAATAATAATGGGAGACTTTAACACCCCACTGTCAACATTAGACAGATCAACGACACAGAAAGTTAACAAGGATACCCAGGAATTGAACTCAGCTCTGCACCAAGCGGACCTAATAGACATCTACAGAATTCGCCACCTCAAATCAGCAGAATATACATTTTTTTCAGCACCACACCACACCTATTCCAAAACTGACCACAGAGTTGAAAGTAAAGCACTCCTCAGCAAATGTAAAAGAACAGAAATTATAACAGACTGTCTCTCAGACCACAGTGCAATCAAACTAGAACTCAGGACTAAGAAACCCACTCAAAACTGCTCAACTACATGGAAACTGAACAACCTGCTCCTGAATGACTACTGGGTACATAACGAAATGAAGGCAGAAATAAAGATGTTCTTTGAAACCAACGAGAACAAAGACACAACATACCAGAATCTCTGGGACACATTCAAAGCAATGTGTAGAGGGAAATTTATAGCACTAAATGCCCACAAGAGAAAGCAGGAAAGATCCAAAATTGACACCCTAACATCACAATTAAAAGAACTAGAAAAGCAAGAGCAAACACATTCAAAAGCTAGCAGAAGGCAAGAAATAACTAAAATCAGAGCAGAACTGAAGGAAATAGAGACACAAAAAACCCTTCAAAAAAATAATGAATCCAGGAGCTGGTTTTTTGAAAAGATCAACAAAATTGATAGACCGCTAGCAAGACTAATAAAGAAGAAAAGAGAGAAGAATCAAATAGACCCAATAAAAAATGATAAAGGGGATATCACCACCGATCCCACAGAAATACAAACTACCATCAGAGAATACTACAAACACCTCTACACAAATAAACTAGAAAATCTAGAAGAAATGGATAAATTCCTCTACACATACACCCTCCCAAGACTAAACCAGGAAGAAGTTGAATCTCTGAATAGACCAATAACAGGCTCTGAAATTGTGGCAATAATCAATAGCTTACCAACCAAAAAAGTCCAGGACCAGATGGATTCACAGCCTAATTCTGCCAGAGGTACAAGGAGGAGCTGGTACCCTTCCTTCTGAAACTATTCCAATCAATAGAAAAAGAGAGAATCCTCCCTAACTCATTTTATGAGGCCAGCATCATCCTGATACCAAAGCCTGGCAGAGACACAACCAAAAAAGAGAATTTTAGACCAATATCCTTGATGAACATTGATGCAAAAATCCTCAATAAAATACTGGCAAACCAAATCCAGCAGCACATCAAAAAGCTTATCCACCATGATCAAGTGGGCTTCATCCCTGGGATGCAAGGCTGGTTCAACATACGCAAATCAGTAAATGTAATCCAGTATATAAACAGAACCAAAGACAAAAACCACATGATTATCTCAATAGATGCAGAAAAGGCCTTTGACAAAATTCAACAACCCTTCATGCTAAAAATTCTCAATAAATTAGGTATTGATGGGATGTATCTCAAAATAATAAGAGCTATCTATGACAAACCCACAGCCAATATCATACTGAATGGGCAAAAACTGGAAGCATTCCCTTTGAAAACGGGCGCAAGACAGGGATGCCCTCTCTCACCACTCCTAGTCAACATAGTGTTGGAAGTTCTGGCCAGGGCAATTAGCAGGAGAAGGAAATAAAGGGTATTCAATTAGGAAAAGAGGAAGTCAAATTGTCCCTGTTTGCAGATGACATGATTGTATATCTAGAAAACCCCATTGTTTTAGCCCAAAATCTCCTTAAGCTGATAAGCAACTTCAGCAAAGTCTCAGGACACAAAATCAATGTACAAAAATCACAAGCATTCTTATACACCAATAACAGACAAACAGAGAGCCAAATCATGAGTGAACTCCCATTCACAATTGCTTCAAAGAGAATAAAATACCTAGGAATCCAACTTACAAGGGATGTGAAGGACCTCTTCAAGGAGAACTACAAACCACTGCTCAATGAAATAAAAGAGGATACAAACAAATGGAAGAACATTCCATGCTTATGGGTAGGAAGAATCAATATCATGAAAATGGCCATACTGCCCAAGGTAATTTATAGATTCAATGCCATCCCCATCAAGCTACCAATTACTTTCTTCACAAGATTGGAAAAAACTACTTTAAAGTTCATATGGAACCAAAAAAGAGTCCGCATCACCAAGTCAATCCTAAGCCAAAAGAACAAAGCTGGAGACATCACCCTACCTGACTTCAAACTATACTACAAGGCTACAGTAACCAAAACAGCATGGTACTGGTACCAAAACAGAGATATAGATCAATGGAACAGAACAGAGCCCTCAGAAATAATGCCACATATCTACAACCATCTGATCTTTGACAAACCTGACAAAAACAAGAAATGGGAAAAGGATTCCCTATTTAATAAATGGTGCTGGGAAAACTGGCTAGCCATATGTAGAAAGCTGAAACTGGATCACTTCCTTACACCTTATACAAAAATTAATTCAAGATGGATTAAAAACTTAAATGTTAGACCTAAAACCATAAAAACCCTAGAAGAAAACCTAGGCAATACCATTCAGTACATAGGCATGGGCAAGGACTTCATGTCTAAAACACCAAAAGCAATGGCAACAAAAGCCAAAATTGACAAATGGGATCTAATTAAACTAAAGAGCTTCTGCACAGCCAAAGAAACTACCATCAGAGTGAACAGGCAACCTACAGAATGGGAGAAAATTTTTGCAATCTACCCATCTGACAAAGGACTAATATCCAGAATCTACAATGAACTCAAACAAATTTACAAGAAAAAACAACCCCATCAAAAAGTGGGCAAAGGATATGAACAGACACTTCTCAAAAGAAGACATTTATGCAGCCAAAAAACACATGAAAAAATGCTCATCATCACTGGTCATCAGAGAAATGCAAGTAAAAACCACAGTGAGACACCATCTCACACCAGTTAGAATGGCAATCATTAAAAAGTCAGGAAACAACAGGTGCTGGAGAGGTTGTGGAGAAATAGGAACACTTTTACACTGTTGGTGGGACTGTAAACTAGTTCAACCATTGTGGAAGTCAGTGTGGCGATTCCTCAGGGATGTAGAACTAGAACTACCATTTGACCCAGACACCCCATTACTGGGTATATACACAAAGGATTATAAATCATGCTGCTATAAAGACACATGCACACGTATGTTTATTGTGGCACTATTCACAATAGCAAAGACTTGGAACCAACCCAAATGTCCAACAACGATAGACTAGAGTAAGAAAATGTGGCACATATACACCATGGAATACTATGCAGCCATAAAAAATGAAGAGTTCACGTCCTTTGTAGGGACATGGATGAAACTGGAAACCATCATTCTCAGCGAACTATCGCAAGGACAAAAAACCAAACACCACATGTTCTCACTCATAGGTGGGAACTGAACAATGAGAACACTTGGACACAGGGTGGGGAACATCACACTCCGGAGACTGTTGTGGGATAGGGGGAGGGGGGAGGGATAGCATTAGGAGATGTACCTAATGCTAAAAGACGAGGTAATGGGTGCAGCACACCAACATGGCACTTGCATACATATGTAACAAACCTGCACATTGTGCACATGTACCCTAAAACTTAAAGTATAATAATAATAAAAGAAAATAAAAAAGACTGACCATACCAAATCTTGTCAAGGATGTGGAAGAGTCGGGACTCTCATATACTGCTGGTGGGACTGTGAAATGTTGCAATCACTTTGAAAAAACACTCAATGTTTTTCAAAAAGTGCTTTTTAACATATACCTACCAGCCATTCCTCACACACATGGTTAGCCAAGAGATATGAACATGTATGCCCATACAAATCCCTGTATTTGAGTGCGCATAGCTGCTTCATTTGTAATAGCCCAGACTGGAAACAATCCAATGTCCATCAACAGGTAGATAGGAAAACAAACTGTGGTATAGCCGTGTGATGAAATACTCAGCAATGGAAAGAAATAAATCACCGATACACAAAATGAATCTCAAAATGATTATGCTGAGTGAAAGAAGATTGATTTTAAAAAGGGCTTGCTATAGGGTTTCATTCATATAAAATTATGAGAAAAGCAAATTGATATAAGACAAAGCAGACCAGACATTGCCTGGGGCAGGAGAGGGGACAGGCTGGAGGGATTGCAAAGTGCCACAAGGAAACTTTAGGGAGTGACGGACGTGTTCACTCTCTTGGTTGTGGTGATTGCTTCGGGGATGCATTTGTATGTCAAAACTTACACCCACCGTATGATCCAGCCATTCCACCCCTAAGTATTTACCCAAGAGACATGAAAGCACATGCCCATGCAAAAACCGATGTGTAGTGTCCAGAATTAGATCACTGATGATTCTTTACCAAGAATAGAGTTTCTGGAGTAAACTCCATTAAGCTAACTTCTGTTTCTTGGTCAGTTTTCTACGTATTAAAGATGAACCGTTTTCATTTTTTCACATTTCCATTGTAAATTTGCTAAGATTGGATTCACCAGAACGTTTTCCCTTGCAAATATTGTAAGATTTCCTATATTGATGAGAGGCACAGCGAGGACCTCTGCCTCTGTGAGTGTCAATATTGTGCATGATCCCTGCCGCGCCCACTGTTCTGGCATCAGAGTCTTGCCCTGTACAGTTTAGCCACTGTCAAACCATTTTCTTTTATTGTTCCTATCAGTAAACTTCATTATGAATTCAGTTTTTACAAATACTTTTCATTTGCTTAGCTGTCCCATGAGAAAACAGTGAGCACATCCCTCAGATATCTAAGTGTGCACACCCCTCGGATGTCTAGGTGGGCACACCCGTCGGATGTCTAGGTGGGCACACCCGTCGGATGTCTAGGTGGGCACACCCCTCGGATGTCTAGGTGGGCACACCCCTTAGATGTCTAGGTCCCTGGAGTTTTGGTTTGTCACACAGCTGGTCATTCTTCCATTTCTCCTGTCACTATGAGCAGGAGACACCTGCTTCACGATCTGAAAGTTTAACCTTTTCAGGGTTAAACTATCCATAGGAACATGAAGGCAGATCAAAGAGCGTCAATTTTAAAAATGAAAATTGGAACATCTATTACATTGGTAAAGATAGACACATTTGATAAGAACAGTGTCGGCTTAGATGTAGGGAAATGGGCACTCTCATGCATGGAAGGCTAAACATTCCTTCCTAGGAAAGAACTGTGCCACTTTGTCTTATAAGTATCCCTATTGTGGAAGATCAATTTAGAGACATAAGATGGGCCTGTACACACTAGCATACAAATATCTCTATATTTGC
This sequence comes from Homo sapiens, assembly GCF_000001405.40. Taxonomy (NCBI): domain Eukaryota; kingdom Metazoa; phylum Chordata; class Mammalia; order Primates; family Hominidae; genus Homo; species Homo sapiens. Next base: position 113,664,856 of record NC_000002.12, read on the forward strand.
TAAATGGAAAAGCAAGTCATAGAGTAGTGTGAATGGTGAAAGATCAGGAGATTATGTGGTATGTCACCATATTAATGTGCATGTGAAGTTTCCAGGAATCACGGCTTGAATTCTCCACCCAGTCTATGGCCTCTCACAGAGTGTTCCTTGAGAGTAGGCCCTGTCTCTCCAAGGAGGCCCAGATGTCAGCTATAGATGATAGGCCCAGGGTAAGATTTTCTCCATCACTGGGGAGGGAAGAAACTAAGGACAAGGAGCATTTATGGGGAGAGAGAACCAAGAAAATCAACTCTGGATCACAGAAAGCTCAGAAGAGAAGCAGTGAAGTCTCTGGGGTAGAAAAAAGCTGCTGCTGCTGTAGCTCCACCCCCACTTGTCCAAAACCCCTTTGTGACCGCAGCACACCTTGCCCCATACTTCTACGTGCTGGCCCACCTGGCTCTGTGTCTGGCTCAGGGTCACTGAGGGTGAATCCCAAGCTGCCGCTGTTACGGCTTCTGCACGGGGCCTTGCATTTTGTATGCTTAGTATTTAGAGAATGTCAAGTGTCTGGCACCAGGGTACAAAGGGAGATTAAGAAACTGGCTTTAGGAGAGAGAGCCTAAAAGTCAATAAAATGAATTACCAACTCCAACTTCAGCAGCACCAGCTCTTAGCCAAGGCAGATAGAATGTTTTAAGTGTGATCAACTGTTACTATCCTACAGAGCTATGGGCCATTCGACTCAATATGCAAGCCCGCCTATGTGGCCAAAGCATTTCAGGGGTCATAAGAGGAAAATGGCAGGCACCAAAGTGCCCCTGCAGATAAGCATAAGATTATGCACCAGCAGTCACCACCAGCTGGCCCATGAATGACAGCCCACGTTCATGGGCATTTCTGGTGTGTCAAGACCTGCTTTAATGCTCCGCATCTGTCCTTATTTCATGGTCACACAGCCCTCTGGTGGCACATCTTCCCCAGAGCACAGAGCTTATGCGGGGTAGAGCAGGGTATTTGCTTGAACCCAGGTAGACCAATAAATTTTGAAGATGAAGACTCACAGCTGCTCCATCAGTCCAGGTTCCAGCTCCAGCAGGAAAATGACTGGTCCTTTGAGCTTTCTCAGCCAGGGTTCCTCCCAACTGCCATGGCACCTTCTCTCTGCCACCTGTCTTGGTAACCGGGGCATAGGACCACCTTGCACTTGACTCACACAAGCAGCTAGGTGGACACACATATGAGTGAAAGCTTGTTGCAATGACTGCTCAGCCAAATGCCAAGGTTTTCTCTCTTTCTGAGACCTGCCATCTTCAGTCTCACAAGGGGTTAAACCAGCAGTCAAGTTTTGCATTTTTACTCCCTGATCAGAGTGGGCGGTTGGCCTGAACCTATCAGGATTTCCATTTTTTTTTTTTGAGATGGAGTCTCACTCTGTCGCCCAGGCTGGAGTGCAGTGGCGTGATCTCGCCTTACTGCAACCTCTGCCTCCCGGGTTCAAGCGATTCTCCTGCCTCAGCCTCCCGAGTAGCTGGGATTACAGGCACCGCCACCTCACCTGGCTAATTTTTCTGTGTTTTTAGTAGAGATGGAGTTTCACCATATTGGTCAGGCTGGAGGATTTCTTCCCCAGGATTTTGCAAATAGATGTGAACAGTTCCAGGTGACAGCTGCCCCCAGCGTGGGGCAGTGTGGGGCAGGTACTCTATGCACACCAGGGTCATGCCTTGCCTGGGTTCCTCACCATTCTTGGTGTCTGCTTCTGGCCTTTCCTATTGGTTCTGTGTGACATCTTTGCATCCTTATCACTTAAATGGCTCTAACTGGTTTCTGTTCCTTGCAATGGAAGGTCTTAAAATAAATAACCCCAAATCCTAAGGAAGCCATTCAAAGCTCACTCAGGGGCATCCAAAAAGTATTCCCCATTGCAATTCCTAGAAAGCGCTAGCAAAGAATACATTTTTTAATTTGCTCAAATCCAGGAACTAATAAGATTTAACTACAGGCAAGTAATGAACAGGCTTGTTGGTGTCAACTGGACACTAACAAGCCACAAGCAAAATTGTGTTTGGTAGTAGACACTTGTTTTGGTGGCTTAGTGGCCTCCTTAGCCTTTGTGTTCTGGGGAGTTCAACATTCATGCAGAATCTTCTCTGTGGGTGTCAACACCACCAGCCTCCTGAGAGAAGACTTGGACCCACACCCCCTCTTTCACAGTCAGCTCACTCACAGCTGCTGCTTTGGGGGTCCACCTCCTTTGACTTGCACATGCAGAGATGGCTCTTTTATTTTCACCATTTGTCGTTTTTCCCTAAGTGTGAAATAAAGACCATCCCTGGTCTACAGCCCCAGGTCACCTTATTCCAGCATTAAAAATCAAGATTTTAAAAAACACGATTGGCACTAATGTACAAGCAATTCTGCCTTATTGTAGGGTGAAGGAGAGAGGGTAGATTTTATAGGGGAAATTTGGGTTGGGAGGGGGGATAGGAAGAAGTCCAGAAAGCATCTCTTGATGTATATGCATGTATACATACGGATATGTGTGTGTGTATATCTATATATATATGTTTATTTATTTATTTCATCTTTCCTTTTTCTCAGGAGTGAAGGGCTCACTGGGTCTGTTGAGAACCAGGTCAGATCAGGAGGTCGAGGTCAGTTCTGGGAGCTCTGTGGTCTCCATGTCATAATGGTTCTTTCCGTCGGAATAGGTCTTCCCCTTCAAGACCTCTATGAGCTGCTGTAGGCGCTTGGCAAAAGAAAGTCCTTGGGGAAGTTTTGTGGTAGATGAGGGTGTAGGTGGGGGTGGGGGTGGGGGTGGGGGTAAAGGTGAGGGTGGGGGTGGGGGTGGGGGCGGGGGTGAAGGTGGGGGTCGGGGCTGGGCTGCCGGTGGTCGGGGTGGAAGTGGTCGAGGGGGCGGTTGGAAATACCAAGGAAGGTGAGCAGAGAGAGGGTGGGAGAAGGGGGGTCGAATCGGGGGCGGTCGAGTGGTGGGAGGTGGAGGGGTGGCCGATTGAATCATACGCAAAGCGTTAGAACCAATCTTGGAGGCGATCCAGTTCAGATAGGGCCAGGTGGCCGTGTAGATTCCGGGGCGCTTGGCACGGGCACAGCCTACCCCCCAGCTTGTGATTCCCACGACCACACAGGCGCTTTCCTTGCTGTCTTTGCACATGAGAGGCCCGCCGCTGTCCCCCTGTCCAGAAGGACACAGAGGTCACTATCTGCCTGAGCCACTCTTCCCCTGCCCAGAGGGGTCAGAAGGCTCTGGGAGGACAATTTCCACAGTCACATGGTCTCCTGCTGCTGTAAACGCAAGTGGTTGTAGTAAAGTTTGAGGGGGTGTCAGGGGCTTCATGTGGGATGTGAGGAGGGTGTGAATTGTCAGGGCTTTCCTTGCAGTGAGATGAGCAAACCCACGTGTCCACAGGGGCACATGGCAGGGGCAGCCGGTGGCTGTCACCGCTCATCCCCACTGTGAGAGTAGGTGCTAGAAAAGGGACCGGGGAAGCAGTCACTAGAGAAGGGCCCTGGGCAGAGCAGTGGAGATAGTGGAGCTTGGGGATCCAAAAGGAGGATGTTCTCAGGGGCCGGGAGAGTCCTGGAGGGACCCAGGGGCCCAGAAGCCAGAAGGAAGGTTACCTGGCAGGTGTCGATCTTGCCTACAGGATACCCCGCGCACACATTGGTTGGCTGAACGTGCTCATTGTACCACTGGGTCGAGTTACACAAGTCCAGGTCGATGAGATCCACACGTGCCTCCATCAGCATAGATGATGGCCTGGGGGCTACAGTCAGACCACTCGGTGGTCAGTGATCACGGGAGACACGGACAAAAGCCCTGCCTCCTTGCCCCACCGAACCCCATCCTCTGTGATGCTCCAGTTAAACCTCAGACCCATCCAGTCGATGCCCCGACCCCTCCTTATACACCAGAAAGAGCAGACGAGAGGTGGTGGGAGGAGGTGGGGAAACGTTACCCAAATCAAGGCCAGAGGAGAGAGGAAGAGAGGAAGGAAGGGTGGAGGCCCGTGGACAGGTGGATGGAGGGTGGGTGTGCGTATTAACGATGGATTATGGAGGTTAGTTGCAGTATTGCCAATAACACCTGGTGCGCACCAAGCACTCCCTGAGTCACATGGTCCCGTTATTCCCGTTTTGGATCAGAAGGCTGGAGCACCGCCCACCCAGGTCACAGTAGAGAGGTGGTGGGGCTGCAGCCTGGCCTCAGGACTGCTCCTCTCCAGACTCCAGTCTGAGACACACTGTCCGCTCCCACAGTCTGGCTGTAAGCCACTCCCCCTGCTTCTTGTCCCTCTTCAGACCTCCTCGGCTCAGCTGCGGACGGGATCTGCTGGAGCTGGGTCAGTAAGTCCCTCCCCATATGCTGCACATCTGTTCCGAGGAGACCGCAGGGGAAGCTCGGGCAGCGCCTCCACACACGGGCAGACCTGGCAGGGGCAGGGGCGGTTGAAACAACCCCGATGCGGACTTCCTCGAAAGCCCCAGACTAGGCCGGGCGCGGGGGCTCACGCCTGTCATCCCAGCACTTTGGGAGGCCGAGGCGGGCGGATCACGAGGTCAGGAGATCGAGACCATCCCGGCTAAAACGGTGAAACCCCGTCTCTACTAAAAATACAAAAAATTAGCCGGGCGTAGTGACAGACGCCTGTAGTCCCAGCTGCTGGGGAGGCTGAGGCAGGAGAACGGCGTGAACCCGGGAGGCGGAGGCTGCAGTGAGCCGAGATCGAGCCACCGCACTCCAGCCTGGGCGACAGAGCCAGACTCCGTCTCAAACAAAAAAAGAAAGACAGCGCTGGACTCTCTACCGTGACCTTTGGGTTAGAAAGACCCGATGCTACGGCGCATGCGCCAGCGTTGCTCCTTTTCAAGGGTCCCACAGACAGAAGGGTCCCCAACAGCAGCAGCCACTCTGGCCCCCACCGCAGCAGCACCTACAACCCTGGGGGTGGATCTGGAGGTCACCTGCAGAGCAGATGGGAGCAGACTGAGGTAGGGGCAGACCCAGAACATAGCTGCACAGGCCAAGACGGGAGACAGGGGACACACGAGTGACGTGCATAGGGCTCGGCACACAGCAGGCGTCTGGTAAGCGGCTGCTGAAGGAGTGCTCGCTGGCTTTACGTTTTTTAATCCCCTTAGCCCCTACCTTTTCTTACCATCCAAGCAGCAGTGAGAGTTTTGTACATGCACTGCCCTTGCGGTAGGGGTGACATTGAAACAACAATGAAAACAATCCTGGCTTATTAGCCATTAAGACGATTTTTTTTTTTTTTGAGACAGAGTCTCGCTCTGTCGCCCAGGCTGGAGTGCAGTGGTGCGATCTCGGCTCACTGCAAGCTCCATCTTCCGGGTTCACGCCATTCTCCTGCCTCAGCCTCCCGAGTAGCTGAGACTACAGGCGCCCGCCACCATGCCCGGCTAATTTTCTGTATTTTTAGTAGAAATGAGGTTTCACCGTGTTAGCCAGGATGGTCTCGATCTCACGACCTTGTGATCCACCCTCCTTGGCCTCCCAAAGTGCTGGGATTACAGGTGTGAGCCACCGCGCCCGGCCAAGATGACTTTTTAAGTCTAGGGCAGAGCCCATAGTCTTGAAAGCCATGGGTTTTATTGTGAAGAGCCAGGTGTCCTCAGACAGAAAAGGGTTTTCTAAATCCCAGCACCTTGGCGGGTTTTTTTTTGAGATGAAGTTGCGCTCTTGTTACCCAGTCTGGAATGCAGTGGCGCGATCTTGGCTCACTGCAACCTTCACCTCCCGGGTTCAAGTGATTCTCCTGCCTCAGCCTCCCGAGTACCTGGGACGACAGGCATCCACCACCACACCCTGCTAATGTTTTATATTTTTAGTAGAGATTGGGTTTCACCATGTTGGCCAGGCTGGTCTCAAACTCCTGACCTCAGGTGATCCACCTGCCTCGGCCTCCCAAAGTGCTGGGTAAATTACAGGAATGAGCAACTGCACCCAGCCGACACCTGGGCTTTAAATAACAAATGCTTAAAAGTCTGCAGGGACTCAAAACCCAATGGGAAAGAAGCAATACCCAAGCAATACCCTTCCAGCCCCAAAGCAGATGAGTTGAAGGAGGTGGTAAGACATGGAAGGTTTGAAGGGATCACAGGAGTTGGAGCCTGGGGGTTTCTTTAAGACTTGGGCTTATGGGTACAGGATGTGTTTGTAAAAATGAAAAACAAAAAACCCGAAACAGAAACAGAGTGATCCTATTAGGTTTATGGGAATTCCAGAACAAAAAAGGTTTTGCATGGCAACCAAGATGTAGCTAGGAGACTACAATCCGTCTGAGTAATAGAATAGGACAGCAACGGTTGGCAGTGGGGACCCTAAGATCAGCCTCCCAGGAACATAGGGACCCCCAAGAGCTGTGGACATCATCAGACAGGGGACAAAGCATGGCAGGCTAGGGGGCTGGACAGAGGCCAGGGCAGAGCCATGGGTATCGGCAGCTGGAATAGAGGCTGTCACTCCAGGCCAGAAGGGGATGGCCACGTGTCAAGTGAGGCCAGTGAGAACAAGGACAGCCGGGATGAGACTCTCTTCCCTGAGGGACAGGAGAAGTGACAAACCTGTCAGAAACTTAGACCACGCCCTCAGAGAAGGAAATAAGAGTTAAAGGAAGAATCCTCAAATTATTGACTTTTTGTTGTTGTTACCCAAAAAAGGCTGCGTTTTAGACTCATATGACTGAATTGCCTTGAATTAAGAAGCCTCATTATCCATTATCAAGAAAAAAAGAGATTGAGATGCACCACTTTTGGAAAGCTGAAAGTATAGGTCACATGCAGAGATCAAGTCCTACTGGGTCTTGTCCTGCTGGCAAAACCTTGCTGCTCACTGCTGCCTTTTAATGGGGTCACCTGTTGCTTCTGGGATAAATGGTATCTCTAGTGTGCCTAAGTATGTAGGGAGAGGTGTCTGGGCCTCTCTGACCATGGAGTCAGTAATGACAATTTGTTCTAGGTCACACCTGGGGCCCTCCGTGAGCCTGGTCTGGTACGGAAGAAATTCCCCCTACTGTTCTAGAACTCATCTGGTGTCAAGTGTGTCAGGTAGTGTTGGATGGGCACGAGATCTTCTGGGAGCCAGGGGAGAGAGAGACAGCTTGGTTATGGACAGAGCTCTAGAGCCACAGCTACACCCGTCTTGAATGGAGAGGTACCTGCCGGACACTCCAGGAAGCCTGAAATACAGGGATGCCTATGACCCACAGAAAGCCACACCAACCACGTGTCCCCTTCCCAGTCTACAGAGCAAATGTCAAGTAACTCGGATGGAGAGGGTAGATCAGGTTCTCACTCTCTCCCATCAAAATTTAGCTGCCTTATGTCCCAACTCCCTACGGTATTCCTACCTAAAAAAAGGAGGGGCAGCTAAGGCATTAATTGTTAGTAATGGCTTAATGGAAAGTCTTTAGCAAATCCATTTGCATTTTAATAGAGGGCTTTTAGGCCTTGGAAGAGAAGTTAGTAATGGGGGATTTGGGGCTTTTAGAGAAATAAATTAGGGCACCCCTGACATTTACTGCAGGGTCCTTTTCCTTGCTGGTTCCTTAAAGCTACGCTGCCAAACACTTCCAGAAGTCTATTGTCGCCTGTGGCTTGACAGTCCTGGTAGAGGTTCCCTATTTTGACTGTGGCAGGCCCCTCCCAAGAGCAACTGAGCTCAGCACAGTTCTTTTCCCCTCCTTCCATCATCCCTCCAGTGACGGGGCACTGAGACTGATGCAAAGGAGAAAGGCAAGGAGAGAAATGATTTGCATCTTAGACTGGTGCAAATTCACACTTTGTGGAAAATTAACAGGTTCCTCACAAGACACCCTCCCCAGCCACCGTGAAACCAGATGCTCCTTAGCCTCCCCAGGGTGAGTCGAATGCGATCACATGAATATTGATATCCGAAACTCCCTAGGCCTAAGCATCCATTTGCCCAGTCAAGAATTTCAATTCTCACAGTTTTTCTCCTCTGCTCCACATATTCCTGGGAATCACCAGGATGTGTCTTACATGTGCCAACAGTGAGCCTGGGCTGCCTCTCACCCTGAGTCTGTGTTGCTGTGGAGGCACCACTCTGCAGCCTTCTTCCTCTCTGCAAGCAGGCTGCTACCCACACTGGCTTGGACCTCTGCCCCAGTCAAGGGGGGCAGAGCTATGACACTAGTCTCAGAGTTTCAACAATGCCTGTTGGAAAGGAAAACCCACCTATTTATTGTATCCTTTCTAACTCACTTAGGAAGGATGCACAACATCTTAAATATCACTGGAGATAAGAAGTCAACTCTGACATGAGTCTGCACAAATAAACCTTATGGAAATAACCCTTATTGTCCATTCATTTCTCCCATATATTTCCTAGGTTTTTCCCCCTCAATTTGCCACCCCTAGAAGCCCAAATGCCTTTTCTTTGTCTAGTCACTTCCCCACAATTTATTGCCCTTTGTTATGATGGTACCGTAAGCCCCCAAATCTCGCCACTTCCTTGAGGTTTTCACTTTTTTTTCTATGAAGGCCCCCTTCCTGTGCCACATACAAATATAAATGTCAAATAAAATTTAAATGATTTTCCATTATTAATCTGTCTTTTGTCAGCTTAATTCATAGGTCTCAGTCACAACATTAAGAGGGCAGAGAAAAAGTTGTGTCCTCCCTCACTATTATCAAGCTCTACTAAAGAATATGGCCTACCCTGCAGGATTCCTTCTTTCTAGGACCCACTGACTCTCTTTTAATCTGATCTTCCATTCAGACTTCCCTCCCAGGCATTGTGGAGTTTCATCTGCAAGCTACTCTCTACACAGTATTTCTGAAAAGGATGGCTTCATTCTTACAAAGTGATGTCAGACTTCTAGAGTGAATTTATTTTGGAGGTGTTCGTCAAGACCAAATGCTGCCAGGGAGCCCCACTAGAGCTCAGACTCATGTCCTCACGCAGGCATTGGAATTGGATTTGTTGTCAATGGCGTTTTACAAAACTCTGATTTTTTTTTGTTTTTGTTTTTGTTTTTTTGAGACAGAGTCTTGCTCTGTCACCCAGACTGGAGTGCAGTGGTGCGATCTTGGCTCACTGTAACCTCCAACTCCTGGGTTCAAGCGATTTTCCTGCCTCAGCTGGGACTACAGCACACGCCACCATGCCTGGCTAATTTTTTGTATTTTTAGTAGAGACGGGGTTTCACCGTGTTAGCAAGGATGGTCTCGATCTCCTGACCTCGTGATCCACCCGGCTTGGCCTCCCAAAGTGCTGGGATTACAGGTGTGAGCCACCGCGCCTGGCCCGCAAAGCTCTTTCTTAATAAAAGCTGAGACTGGTCTCAGAGAATACAACAGCAAGAAGAGAAAAATTCATCCCTGGTTCAAGGACCACACAGGCAGGGATCAAGGTGGAAAGAGATGGTTGTTGGAGAGAATGTCATAGAGACCCATGTTTAACTCATTCATGTCCTCAAGTTGAACAGTGCTTTGTTGTTGGGGGCCGAATGCCTCAGGTCTCCAGGATGTGCAGTTCAGATGCCCAACACTTTCCAGACGGTAGATTAAAAGTCTCTGCTTAAATATTGAGGCTGGTGGTTCTGTTACTGAGAGCTGTACACTTAAGAGCCTCCAACACATGATTGTGGGTGTCCCACAATAAAACACTTGCTGCAATATTCAACCCCAGACTTGGCTTGAAGAGGAAGATCCCTTCTGATGGTGAGGAGGAGGATGCCGAACCATCCAAGGTCAAGGTGGAGACCCTGCATAAGCTGTGCTAGTCAATACAGGCAGGACTCCTTGCACCTCAGATAATTATCTGATTGGGACTCCATAGGCCATAAGTTTAAAGAAGGTACTGCTCAAACCCAAGTGGATCATTTCTTGGGCAAAACTTAAAGACCCAATGAAGTGAAAACACCTATCATTTTGCTCTGGTTATGGGAAAGAGGATATCTCCTGTTAGCATACGGCAATGGTATACCTAGCAATTCAGATACTAGTTTGTCTGGGAGCAGTCAGGAAACATGAACAGGAAGCAGAAGAGTCACCCCATTCCCTTGAATAAATGGGCTCCGATGACCCTGGCGGATGGAGTTCTAAATGAAAAAAACGGAACAATCAGACTGGGTGCCAGATGTCAGCAGTGAGACAGATGGTGAGGCCAGGTAAAGTCAAATGCAGCACCCAACAACCTCTCTCATTCCTAATAAAAAGATAGTAAGGGCTCCTTTGACTCTCAGCTTATAAAGATTAGCCTACATCTGGCAGGCTCTCCAGAGGTGAGATTCTGGGACTCTGAGTCTGGAAAAAACATTACTGGAAACTAGGATCAGGGAAGAAGCTGTCCCCTCTCGTCATCCTCAGCCTTCATTCATGCTGCCACTGTAGAGCAGTCATATAGACTCTGAGCATGACATCCTCAGTGTTAGACAGAGCTTGTCTGGGGTCACAGCATGGTGAGAAAATGAGCCAGAACTGGATAGAGAGGCGCTGGAGAGGACAGAGGGAGAGATGTTGGTTAACACTCAGTAAGGAGGCTGCCCAATCCATACTTGAGCATGCGAAGCCTGGCATCACCTCATCTATAGAAATATGACCCTGGGGACAGAGTTCTGAGACACAGCAGAGCAAAAAACCATGTCGTGTTTACCTCCAAGAAGAAAAGTTTAAGTGAAGTTGGTAGAGACTTTTGCAGGTACTGTGAAGAATACACTAGGGAGAAAGAGAAATAAACATTCTCTGCACTCTCTTGGAGGCTTTATTCTTCCAGATGCTTAGATTGCAAGTAATAATAACCCAGACTACATTAACAGGAAAAAGAATAATGTATTAGCTCATAGAACTGAAAGCACAGGAATAAGTGCCTGTTTCAGGCAAAATTAGATCCAAGGCCTCCAACAATGTTTTCTGGAAATTGTTGCTCTGATTCTGCTTTCCTCTTGATGTGATTTGGATGTGTGTCACTGCCCAAATCTCATTTTGAATTATAATCTCCAATGTTAGCAGTAGGGCCTGGTGGGAAGTGATTTAAATCATGGGGGCAAATTTCTCATGAATTGTTCGGCACAGTCCCCTTGGTGCTGTCCTCAAAATAGTGAGCAAGTTCTCGAGAGATCTGGCCATTTAAAAGTGTATGAAACCGAGACAGCCAAGTGTAAAGGGGTCCCCAGAGAAACTCCAAATGGCCTGCGCACTGGGAGGGGTGCACACTGGGGTGGAGCCTCGGGAAGTTGGTGCTGTTTGCAGCCGGAAGGAGCCTGGCCCCTCCTCTTCCTGGGATTCAGACTGAACGTGGGATTCAGTCTGCGAGGCGGGAAGCACACTAGCAGGGTTCTGGCTTTGTAGAAGGTCCCTGTTAGGGTTTTTTTCCCTTTTGCCCAATAATTTCCATTTATTCTCACCCTTCAAAGTGTCTGCAAGCCTGATCTCTCATGGCCATGTGACAAGAACCCAGCTCTTAGCTGAACTAAGGGAAAAGTCCTACAACAAAACCTCCCTCCCCACTCTCTATCTCTCTTCCTCCTGCTCCAACTATGAGAGAAGCCTGCTCTCCTTTCACCTTCCCCCATGATTGGAAGCCTCCTGAGATCTCCCCAGAAGCTGATGCTGGTGCTGTGCTTAATGTGCAGCCTGAAGAACCATGAGCCAATTAAACCTCTTTTCTTATACATTATCCAGTCTTAGGTATTTATTTATAGCAATGTGAGAATGAACTAATATACTTCTCTATTAAGCTTCATTTTCAGGCAGGCTCCCTCACCCCTTCTGGAGAACATCAGCTACTCTAGGCTTACAGTCTACAGTTTAACAATTCCAGGGAAAAAAACAAGACCCTTTTTCAATATTTCCAGCAAAAGTCCAGGCATTGATACCAATTGGTACAGCTTGGTCCTGTGCCCATCACTGGTTGGGCCAATTACTGTGCCTAGAAGGACATGTGGTCTGATACATTAAGCTCACATCATGACCTCGCCTCTGACACCTGTAGGAGGGATGAGAGCTCCTCTTTATAGGACTGAATTGAGAGTGGGAGGGCTTAGCTCTCCAGAAGAAAACAGGTGCGCTGTTACTCAAAGAAGGAGTGTTGGGAAGGTGAAACAAGTGTTCACTCACCCAGTGGCCTAGGAAGCCACTTCTGCCATAAAATTGCAATACGGGTAAATGCTGGCGCTCTGAACACAGGCAGGGGTGGGCTTGAGTCCTTATGACTTATTAGTATGAGGTCAGTGAATGATTTCACTCCTCTAGGCCTCAGGTTTCTCACTGTAAAGTGAGAATACTGCCTTCTTTGTGGGTATACTGGGAGAGTGAAATGAAACAATATTAAATATTCATTCAAAGCTAAAACTAATAGTACCTTTTCCCAACCTCCCCTAGCAGCTTCAGCTTAGATTAAACTGAAAGTAGATTTTGTCTGCTTTCTTCATAACTATTTCCCTATTCTTTATAGAAAGTAGGCACCCTTGTATACAGTTGCCATAGTGTCAACATTTGTTGAATAAATGAATGAATGATGACAAAATTAATAAATTTCTGGAGAATTCCTACTTTTCAAATATCAGCTCCCAAGCCCTAGCAAACAGAATGAATTATCCCCTCCTGTGTGTCTGCTGGTATTTTTAATTAACTCCTCTTCCAGCTCTTATCAGCCAGAATGTGAACCAGGACTGTGTGTGACTCAACTCAAGCTCCTACTGCCTAGCACCCAGCCTAGTTTATGTTGCTGAATAAAAAAGATCAGCTAGTCCAAACGCCTCACTTTGCAGATGTTCTAATAGAGCCCCAGAGAGGTTAATTTGCCAAAAGCCCCACAGCTTACCGAGTGATCCATGACTTCTAGTCTATTCTTTTTTCTACTTCATACTCAGGACTCTGTTTTTTTCATGCTGCCATGAGCAATGCACACTGCCAGGAATAAAGCGAAGTTCTTGGTCCTCTAGAAAGGAAGGGGCATCTTCAGTATGAAAAGTCATCATCCTTAAAGAGTGGCATCAAGTACCAAATGCAAGTGTAAGGGTCATTCACTTGCTTCATACCACATATAAACACATTTTTAGTTTCAACATTTTTGTTTTTATTTTTGTTTTTGCAACCTTTGCTTCTTTCCAATAACTCAGGCAAGGCTCAGCCATTCCTATCCATCCTCCCCACACTTGCATACCCAATTCCCAACTATGGTTGGAGGAGGCCAACAGGCCTTATTCGGGCTGGAGACTGAATGCTACACCCACAGCAGTGGGTTGTGAACCTCCTCACGCTATGCCATCCCTTTTCTGTCTGAAGGAAGAGGTCCCAGCAGGTACTAAGCTAGCATCTCCCCTTCCCTGACTGCTCCTAAACCCAGTTTCCCAAAATCCACGTACCCTGCCCAGTTAAATTCTATTCAAACAGGATCCACCAGAAACACATTCAAGATTATTTATGGTATTTTCCTTATTGGAGACTATGAAAAGACATTTCTCTTATTCATTTACTAATTCGACAAACATTTTAGCAGATACCTGTACTATGTGCCAGGCACTGAGCGTACGAGAACAAATAAATGAATCATGAAGAATGTATGCAGGGCTAAGGCAACTATGTAATCCCTTAATAGTTTTTGTATCAGAATCCCCAAAGCAGAACTTTCTCATTCACCAACCTCTCCCCCCACCCCTCCCCCGCCAAACACCAATATTTAACTCAAAGAGCATGTCGTTAATAGCTTTTTAATTAAGAGGAAAGGTTCTTTCAAGGTAAGCTGAATCTTTTGGCTGCAAAAAGGTGTTCTTCTTATAAAAATAAAGAAAACAGCAGGTAGGTCTCTCATATTGATAGAAAGAAGGTTGATGGTGATGTATTCACTGCTTCCTTAATACCAGGAGGAAGGGCTGAATCTAAACTCAAAGTACGTGGAATGTTTTGATGTGAGAAGAGAGCAAAACATGTAAGACTCCATCAAAAATCCCATTTGGAGGAGCTCAGAGGAGCAAGACATTTCTCCAAGACTCAGGTGCACAGCTAACACATCTGAATGAATTAACTCGGCTATGCATATTTTTCTTCCTCTCTTATTCCTAATGAATTCATTCATTTTGAAAATTTAATGACCCTAACTTAGTAGTGTTAAGCCAGGCTTCTAGAATGTTCCCTAGTATTCCAAAGCTCCTTCCTTGCTAATTGTAAAAAAGTTTCCTTTTCAATTTATAAAAAGAGACATCTTGGCTTCTCATTTGTGCAAATATGTAATTTTCGAGTGAGGAAACTGAGACCCAGAGTGATTTGCTTAAGAGTACACAGCTAATTAGCTCTAGATCCAAGACCTAAGCCTCTTAACTACAAATTGAGAATTACACTTAAAGAAGTCCATTCCATAACTGTATTCCTTGAAATTTACATAATAGCCTACCAATTATTAAGGGTCTATTATGTACTAGGTACTTTACATATTTTTTTCTTTTAAGCCTCAAGTAAAACCTCCAAGATAGGGGTAATTAATGGATGCTGTTGAAGTGTTTAAATAATACCATTATATAGCACTTAGGGTGTACTGAATACTTCCTACATATTATCTCCAATTTTCACAAAAACCCTGCAAAGTATCATCAACCTTGTTTTATAGATACGAGACCTGGGTCTCGGAGGGATAAAGCAACTTGCGAAGCTCACGCAGCTCGGACATGAGTAGGGCTGCATCCAGATCTCAAAGCCTGTGTGCTACCCCTGAAATGCTGCCCATGTAGGCAGCCATAGACCTATCTCAGCCCAAATAAATAGCATCAAAGACTCTTTCTCTCAGCGGGCCTATTGTACACCATAGAAACACTCCCCAGCATGAGGTAGCTAACTAGAGTGATGGTGCAACTGATAAGGTAGGTGACACTTCCAGGCAGGGCCGAGCTCTCAGCATAGTAGTGCCATGTAAGGGGACCTTGCATTATGTTTCTATCTGGGCCTTGGCTTGTCAGAGTCTGGAATTTCACGCTAACATTTCATTTAGGGGTGGCCGGTATCCTTAAATTTTGTTTAATTTTAGCTGTATCACAAAACAACAATTATATAATGATTATAACGATGATGATGCTGATAACTACCATTTATTGAGTCCTATGTCATATGATGTGCTTTATGTACTTTGTCTCTAATTACTATGGAGATTGACTTACCTACCTAAAATGAAGCCCATTTCTCTTTCAGGACACATCCCCCTGTTGAATTGTGGTGTTTAAGAGATTTTTTTTCAGAACTGTTGCAGACAGAGGTGAGTTCCTATCTCCTTCTGCAATTACCTGCTGAATATCCTTGAGTGAGAGGTCATTGCCATAAAAATAACTTGCCAAAAGTTAATTTTCCTTATGCATAAGTCGTTGTTTTAGTCTGTTCAAGCTGCTATAACAAAATGCCATAAGCAGAAATTAGTTACTCATGGTCCTAGAGGCTGGAAGTGCAAAGTCAAGACATTGGCAGATTTGGAGTCTGGTGAGGGTCTGCTTCCTGGATCATAGATGGCTGTCTTTCTGTGTTTTCACATGGTAAAAGGGGTGAGGAATCTTTCTGGGGTCTCTTTTCTAAGAGGCCACTCATAGATGGCTGTCTTTCTGTGTTTTCACATGGTAAAAGGGGTGAGGAATCTTTCTGGGGTCTCTTTTCTAAGAGGCCACTTGCTCTTTTAAATAAGGGTTCCACATTGTTGCCAAGTGTACAAAAATAGCAGAAAAGCTAAAATCAAAATGTTGGACTAAGATTAGATGCAGGAAAAGATGTAGACAGGACGTAAAAAAAACAAGTATGTAGAGTCATGAATGGCTCAAAGTCAGACACAACAGCATCACAAATAACAGTCTAAACACTGGTCATCTCTGAGATGTCTTCCACAGATTAATCTCACCCATTGCATACAGATGCTTCCATTTTATCTTAACATTTCGAGGTGATTCATTTTATTTTGAGGACCTACGTGCCATTCATTTTCTTCCACAGCTGCACCAACATACACACACATGCTCAAACATTAGTCTCAACCAAAAATTATATACACAAACAGACTGAAGCTGGGGATGCAGTCAGTCAGCCAGAAGTTGTTTGGTAAATTATCTATTCATTTGGAAGAAAAACAAAGTTAGATCCCTATCTCAAGCTACTGAATGAACAAAATTAAAACTCCAAAATGTAAACATTAAAAAAAACTATAAACATACCAGAGATGATACTTCAAGTTAGAGCAGCCTAAAAAGGTGGACAAATCCTCTCCCCGCCAAAACAAATATAAAAGTATAAAGTTGTTTTGCTCACTTCAGCAGCACGTGAACTAAAATTGGAATGATACAGAGAAGATTAGCATGGCCCCTGCACAAGGATGACACACAAATTCATGAAGCATTTCATTTTAAAAATAAGTATAAAATTGTTTAAACAAGCGTTTTAGGACTGGAAATCAACCAAAAGCAAATAATAAACTAAAAAGGGTCTATTCATGAAATCTACCCAAATGTCATATAAGAACAGCAAGAGTCTGAACTTACTGATTATTTCCTTCTATCATCTCACATCTATAGACATAGATAGATGAGTAGAAATTATCCTTTCTGCAGCCAGGCGAGGTGGTTCACACCTGTAATCCCTGCACTTTGGGAGGCCGAGGCAGGTGGATCACCTGAGGTCAGGAGTTCGAGACCAGCCTGGCCAACAATGATGAAACCCCACCTCTACTAAAAATACAAAAATTAGTCGGGCATGATGGCGGGTGCCTGTAATCCCAGCTACTTGGGAGGCTGAGGCAGGAGAATCACTTGAACACAAGAGGCAGAGGTTGCAGTGAGCCAAGATAGTGCCACTGCATTGTGGGCGACAAGAGCAAAACTCTACCTCAAAAAAAAGAAAGAAAGAAAGAAAGAAAAATTATCCTTTCTGAAGAACACAGAGAAAAAAGGCTGGAGAAAAATGATCAGAGCCTCAGAGACCTCTGGGACAACATCAAGCACACAAACATACATATAATAGGAGTCCTGAAGGGGAGGAGAGCAGAAAAAAGGTTAAAAAAATTTTTTTTGAAGAAATAATGCCCTGAAAACCTCCCAACTATGCTGAAAAACATTAATCAGCAGGTTCAAGAAGCCCCACAAACCTAGGTAAGAAAAACACAAAGAGATTTGCACATCATAGTTAAATTGCTAAAAGCCAAAGCAATTTAAAAATCTTGAATGCAGTAAGAGAAAAATAACTCCCATGTACAGAAGAACAACAACATATTTAACAGCTGAGTTTCCATCAGAATCAATAGAGGCCAAAAGGCAGTAGAACAACATATTCAAAAGACTCAAAGAAAACAGTGTCAACCAATATGTCCAGCAAAATCCAGCATATAAACAGAACCAAAGACAAAAACCACATGATTATCTCAATAAATGCAGAAAAGGCCTTTGACAAAATTCAACAGCACTTCATGCTAAAAACGCTCAATAAATTAGGTATTGATGGGACGTATCTAAAAATAATAAGAGCTATCTATGACAAACCCACAGCCAATATCATACTGAATGGGCAAAAACTGGAAGCATTCCCTTTGAAAACTGGCACAAGACACGGATGCCCTCTCTCACCACTCCTAGTCAACATAGTTCTGGCCAGGGCAATCAGGCAGGAGAAAGAAATAAAAGGTATTCAATTAGGAAAAGAGGAAGTCAAATTGTCCCTGTTTGCAGATGACATGATTGTATATCTAGAAAACCCCATCGTCTCAACCCAAAATCTCCTTAAGCTGATAAGCAACTTCAGCAAAGTCTCAGGATACAAAATCAATGTGCAAAAATCACAAGCATTCCTATACACCAATAACAGACAAACAGAGAGCCAAATCATGACTGAACTCCCATTCACAATTGCTTCAAAGAAAATAAAATACCTAGGAATCCAACTCACAAGGGACGTGAAGGACCTCTTCAAGGAGCACTACAAACCACTGCTCAATGAAATAAAAGAGGATACAAACAAATGGAAGAACATTCCATGCTCATGGATAGGAAGAATCAACATCATGAAAATGGCCATACTGCCCAAGGTAATTTATAGATTCAGTGCCATCCCCATCAAGCTACCAATGATTTTCTTCACAGACTTGGAAAAAACTACTTTAAATTTTATATGGAACCAAAAAAGAGCCTGCATTGCCAAGTCAATCCTAAGCCAGAAGAACAAAGCTGGATGCATCCCACTACCTGACTTCAAACTACACTACAAGGCTACAGTAACCAAAACAGCATGGTACCAGTACCAAAACAGAGATATAGACCAATGGAACAGAACAGAGCCCTCAGAAATAATGCCACACATCTACAACTATCTGATCTTTGACAAACCTGACAAAAACAAGAAATGGGAAAAGGATTCCCTATTCAACAAATAGTGCTGGGAAAACTGGCTAGCCTTATGTAGAAAGCTGAAACTGGATCCCTTCCTTACACCTTATACAAAAATTAATTCAAGATGGATTAAAGACTTAAATGTTAGACCTAAAACCATCAAAACCCTAGTAGAAAACCTAGGCAGTACCATTCAGGACATAGGCATAGGCAAGGACTACATCCCTAAAACACCAAAAGCAATGGCAACAAAAGCCACAATTGACAAATAGGATCTAATTAAACTAAAGAGCTTCTGCACAGCAAAAGAAACTACCATCAGAGTGAACAGGCAACCTACAGAATGGGAGAAAATTTTTACAATCTACCCATCTGACAAAGTGCTAATATCCAGAATCTACAAAGAACTCAAACAAATTTACAAGAAAAAAAACCCCCATCAACAAGTCGGCAAAGGATATGAACAGACACTTCTGAAAAGAAGACATTTATGCAGCCAAAACACACATGAAAAAATGCTCACCATCACTGGCCATCAGAGAAATGCAAATCAAATCCACAATGAGATACCATCTCACACCAGTTAGAATGGCAATCATTAAAAAGTCAGGAAACAACAGGTGCTGGAGAGGATGTGGAGAAATAGGAACACTTCTACACTGTTGGTGGGAATGTAAACTAGTTCAACCATTGTGGAAGTCGGTGTGGCGATTCCTCAGGGATCTAGAACTAGAAAAACCATTTGACCCAGCCATCCCATTACTGGGTATATACCCAAAGGACTATAAATCATGCTGCTATAAAGACACATGCACACGTATGTTTATTGTGGCACTATTCATAATAGCAAAGACTTAGAACCAACCCAAATGTCCAACAATGATAGACTGGATGAAGAAAATGTGGCACATATACACCATGGAATACTATGCAGCCAGAAAAAATGATGAGTTCATGTCCTTTGTAGGGATATGTATGAAGCTGGAAACCATCATTCTCAGCAAACTATTGCAAGGACAAAAAACCAAACACCGCATGTTCTCATTCATAGGTGGGAATTGAACAACGAGAACCCTTGGACACAGGAAGGGGAACATCACACACCGGGGCCTGTTGTGGGGTGGGGGGAGGGGGGAGGGATAGCATTGGGAGATATACCTAATATAAATGACGAAAGTTAATGGGTGCAGCACACCAACATGGCACATGTATACATATGTAACAAACCTGCATGTTGTGCACATGTACCCTATAACTTAAAGTATAATAAAAAATATATATATATATATAAAGAAGCTAAAATAAATTCATTCAAAGATATACAAAAACAGGCCGGGCACAGCAGCTCACGCCTGTTATCCCAGCATTTCGGGAGGTCGAGGCGGATGGGTCACTTGAGCTCAGAGTTTGGGATCAGCCTCGCCAACATCTCTACAAAAAATACAAAAATTAGCTGGGCGTGGTGGCAGTCACCTATAGTCCCAGCTACTCTGCAGGCTGAGGCACAAGAATCACTTCAACTCCGGAGGTGGAGGTTGCAGTGAGCCAAGATCGTGCCACTGCACTCCAGCCTGGGTGACAGAGCGAGATTCTGCTCAAAAGAAAGATGAACAAAAACAGAATCTGTAGCTAGCAGAACTGTCCCATGAGAAATACTAAAGGAAGACTTTCAGGTTGAAAGAAAATGGTACCAGGAAATGAATCCGCAGAAAGAAATGAAGAGCAATGGAAATGATAAATATGTGGGTTAGCATAAAAGGCTGTATGAACAGGTTTTTTTCTCTTTTTTTATATGAGTTTGTTTTAAATGTTCTGTTTAAATATATATTTATAGATTATGTAAGTTCATATGATATATAAATATATATACATTTGTTAATATAAGATAGTTTAAAATGTTTGTTTAAATATTATATGACTGCATAAGGCAATCACTCTATCACTGTTCTGTCGGATTTATGGCATATATAGGTATAATAAATATAGCATTAATGGCTCAAAGAATGGGGAAATGGAGCTATATTAGAACAAAGTTGTTATATTTTTCAAAATTCCCAGCATTAAGCTAAAGTAGATTGTGATATGATATGTATTATAATCCCTAGAGTAACCACAAAGAAAATTAAATTTCAAAATAGTTAATAAAATAACCTAGGACTTAAAATGTCTCACACTTAAAAAAAAAAAAGGATGTGTTTAACACAAGAGAAGGCAGCAAAATAGGATGGGGGAAAAAGACATGGGACATACAAAAACAAATAGTAAAATGGCAGATGCAAATCCAAAGATATCAACAATTAAATGTAATGGATTAAACACTGCAATCAAAAGGCAGTCATTATCAACATGTACGAAAAAGCACGGTCCAATACAGTCATGTGCTACACCATGACATTTCAGTCAATGACAGGCCGCATATAGGACGGTGGTCCCATAGGATTATAAAGAAGCTGAAAAATTTCTGTTGCCTCGTGATGTCGTATCTGTGGTAATGCTGCAGCACAAAGCATTACTCATGAGTCTCTGGTGAAGCTGGTGTAAACAAATCTACTACCAGTCATATAAAAGTATAGCCCACATAATTATAGTGGCAGTCTCTAATGCTTGATAAAGACAATAAATGACTACGCTACTGGTTTATGTATACACCGTACTATACCTTTTTTTGTTGTTATTTTAGAGTGTACACCTACTTATTTTTTTTAACTGTAGAGCAGCCTCAGGCAGGTCCTTCAGGAGATATTCCCAAAGAAATTATTGCTGTCATAGGAAGTGACAGCTCCGTCCATGTTACTGACCCTGAAGACCTTCCAGTGGGACAAGATGTGGAGGTGGGAAACAGTGATATTGATGATCCTGACCCTCCGTGTACAGCCCTAGACTAATGTGTGTGTTTGTCTCTTCGTTTTTAACAAAGAAGTTTGAAAAGTAGGAAAAGAAATTACAAATTTTAAAAATAAAAATTGAATAAGGCTATAAAGAAAGAAAATACTTTTGTACAGCTGTACAATATATGCTTTAAGCTAAGTGTTATTGCAAAAAAGTCAAAAAGTTAAAATATTAAAAAGGATAAAAGCCAAGCTTGGTGGCTCATGCCTGTAATCCCTGCACTTTGGGAGGCCGAGGTGGGCAGATCACAAGGTCAGGAGATTGAGATTATCCTGGCCAACATGGTGAAACCCCATCTCTACTAAAAATACAAAAATTAGCTGGGAGTGGCGGCACGTGCCTGTAATTCCAGCTACTCAGGAGGCTGAGGCAGGAGAATCGCTTGAACCCAGGAGGCAGAGGCTGCAGTGAGCCAAGATCACACCACTGCACTCCAGCTTGGCAACAGAGCTAGACTCTGCCTCAAAAAAATAAAAGGGTATAAATTTAAAAAGTTGTAGTATGTAATGTTATTTTATTATCGAAGAAAGAAAACCATTTTTAATAAATTAAGTGTAGCCTAAGTGTACACAGTGTGTATAAAGTCTGCAGTAGGGTACAGTAATGTCCTAGGCATTCACATTCAATTACCATTCACTCACTGACTCACCCAAAGCAACTTTAGTCCTACAAGCTCCATTCATGGTAAGTGCTCTATACAGGTGTTACATTTTTTATCTTTTATATCATATTTTTACTCTATCTCTTCTATCTTTAGAAATGTTTATATACACAAATAGTCATGATTATGTTACAATTTCCTGCAGTGTTGAGTACAGTAACATGCCGTACAGGTTTGTAGCCTAGGATCACTAGGTTATACCCTATAGTCTAGGTGTGTAGCAGGCTATACCATCTAGGTTTCTGGAAAGGTACATTTCTCAAAACATCCCTGTCGTTAATTGACACATGACTACATAAGCTGCCTTCAAGAAAAGCACTTTTAATTCAGACAAAAGTAGTTACAAAGTAAAAGAATGGGGAAAATATAGCTGGCTCATGCCTGTAATCCCAGCACTTTGGGAGGACCAGGTGGGCGAATCGTTTGAAGTCAGGAGTTCGAGACCAGCCTGGCCAACATGGTGAAACCCCATCTCTACTAAAAATACAAAAATTAGCTGGGCCTGGTGGTGCACACTTGTAATCTCAGCTACTCAAGATGCAGGAGGCTGAGGCAAGAGAATCGCTTGAACGTGGGAGGCGGAGGTTGCAGTGAGCTGAGATTGCACCAGTGCACTCCAGCCTGGGTGACAGAGAGAGACTCTGTCTCAAAAAAAAAAAAAAAAAAAAAAGAATGGAGAAAATATATGTAAATCATACAAAATGTTACCATAAGGGAGTTGAAGTACTTATGTTAATATCAGAAAAAAAATAGAATTTAAATCAAGAAATATTGGTAGGGATAAATAGCAACAATATTTCATAATGATAAAAGTATCAAAACATCAGAAACATAAAACAATTATAAAGACATAGGCATTGAATAACACATACATGCAGCAAACACTGACAGAATGGAAAGGAGAAATGGACAATTTAGTAATTGTAATTAGAAATTTTAAGTCCCTTCTCTAAGTAACTGATAGAATGGCTAGGCATAAAATGAATAAGGATATATAAATCTTGCACAACTGTCAACCAACTTTACCCAGCTAACATATAGAATGCTCCCACCCAACAGCAGGGTATACAGTCCTTTCACATCCACATGGAACATTTTCCAGGATAGAGCCTTTGCTGGATCACAAAACTAGTCTCAATAAACTTAAAAGGATTGAAGTCATCTGAAGTATGTCCTCCAACTCTGATGGAACTAAATTGAAAATTAACGACAGAAAGAAATTTGGTAAACCCTCAAACATTTGAAAAACATACTTCTAAATAACCACAGAGGCCAGGAGCGGTGGCTCATGCCTGTAATTCCAACAATTTGGGAGGCTGAGGAGGGTAGATTACCTGAGGTGAGGAGTTCGAGACCAGCCTGGCCAACATGGCGAAACCCCATATCTACTAAAAATACAAAAATTAGCCAGCATGGTGGCACACACCTGTAGTCGCAGCTACTCAGGAACCTGAGGCAGGAGAATTACTTGAACTGGGAGGCAGAGGTTGCAGTGAGCTGAGACTGAGCCACTGCACTCCAGTCTGGAAGACAGCATGAGACTCCATCTGTGAAACCCCGTATCTACTAAAAATACAAAAATTATCTGGCGTGGTGGCACACGCCTGTAGTCACAGCTACTCAGGAGGCTGAGGCAGGAGAATCACTTGAACCTGGGAAGTGGATGCTGCAGTGAGCCGAGGTCGTGCCATTGCACTCCTGTCTGGCCAATAAGAGCAAAACACCATCCCCCCAAAATAAAATAATAAATAAATAAATAATTTAATAACCATGGGTCAAAGAAAAAAAATCATAAGGTTAATTAGAAAACATTTCAAACTGAATGAAAACAAAACCACTGAAATCTCTGAGGGTAGCTAATGCAAGGCCTAAAAGAAAGTTTATAGCTTTAAATGCTTAAATTAGAAGGAAGAAAGATCTATAATCCATAATCTAATCTTTCACTTCAAAAGGTAGAAAAAGAAGGGCAAATTAAACCCAAAGTAAATTGAAGGAAACAATAGCAATCAAAATACAAATCAATAAAATAAAAACAGTAAGGAAGAAAGTCAAAAGCTGATTATTTGAAAAGAGAAATACAGTTGATAAAATTTTCTCTAGACTGACAAAGAAAAAAAGAAATAAGACATAAATTATGAAAATCAGGAATGAAAAGGGAATGTAGCTACTGACCCTACAGAAAGAATTTTAAGAGAATCCTATGAACAGCTTTATGCCAGCAAATTACACAACATAGATGAAATGTATAAATTCCTAGAAAGACAAAAATTACCAAAACTGACTCAATCAGAAATTTAAAATCTGAGGAGACTGATAACAAATAAGAAATTGAATTAGTAACTTAAAATCTTCCCACAAAAAAAAACTCTAGGCCCAGATGACTTTACTGGTCAATTGTATCCAATATTTAAGGAAGCAATCTTGCCAATCCTATACAAACTCTTCAGAAAATCTGTGTATTTGTTTATGAGGGCTGCCATAACAAAGTACTGCACTATGTGGCTTAAACTATGGAAATTTATTGTCTCACAGTTCTAGAGGCTACAAGTCCAAGACCAAGGTGTTGGTAGGTTGGTTCCTTCCAAGGACTGTGAGGGAAGGGTCTGTTCCAGGCCTCTTTCATTGGCTTGCAGAGTCATCTTCCGCCTGTCTTCACATTCTCTCCCCTCTGTCTGTGTCCAAATTTCCCCTTCTTACAAGGACACCAGTCGTATTGGATTGGGACCCACCTTAAAGACCTCATTTTAACTTGATTACCTCTATAGAAACCTTATCTCCAAATAAGAGCACATTCTGAGGCACTGGCACTTAGCATTTTAACGTATACATTTGGGAAGGAGGGCACAGTTCAACCGATACCAATAGGTGAGGAAGAAATATTTCCTAACTCATTTGATGAGGCCAGTATCACTACCCAGATACCAACACAATACAAAGATATCAGAAGTAGGAAAAACTATCAACTAAAATCTCTCATAAAAATAGATGCAAAAACTCTTTAAAAATAATACTAGCAAACTGAATACATAAACATATATTTTTAAGTACACACCATGACAAAGTGGGAATTACCCCAGGAAAGTAAGGTTAGATTAGCATCTTAAAATATATTAATATTACATACCATATTAATAGAATAAAGAATAAAAATCGCATGATTATGTCAATATAGGAAAATCATTTGACAAAATCCATGATAAAATAAAAAGAACTTTCCACAAAGTAGAAAAAAGCAGAACTTCTTCAACCTTATAAAGAGCTTTTCTCAAGAAACCTGTATCTATGTGATATTTGATGGTGAAAGACTGAGATCAGAAACAAGACAAGCATGTCCATTCTTAACACTTCTATTGAAAATTTTACTGAAAGTTATAGCCAGGGATAGACCAGAAAAAAATAATAAAAGGCATCCAGACTGGGAAAAAAAGAAATAAAACTGTCCTTAATCACAGAAGATGTGTGTAGAAAATCTGATGGAATCTATTTTAAAAAACTTGCTAGAACTAATGAGTAAGTTTAGGAAGGTTGCAGGATATAAAACCAATATAAAAAATCAATTGTATTTGATATGCTAGCAATGAACAATCTAAAATGATATTAAGGAAAAAAATTGCACTCACAATACAATAAAAAATAATAAAACACTTGGGAAAATATCAACAAAAGAAGTGTAAGACTCATACACTGAGAATTTCGAAACAATGTTTTGTGAATATCTAAATAAATGGAGAAATATGTTATGTTCCTGGGTCAGAAAACTCAGTATTGTTCAGATGGCAATTCTACCCAAATTTACCTACAAATTCAAATGCAATCCCTACCAAAACTCCAGTTAGGATTTTGTAGAAATTAGCAAGTTGATTCCAAAATATATATTAAGATGCAAAGGATGTAGACTAGCCAATGTAAGTTTGAAAAAAAACCCACAATTCATATTACTTCACTTCAAAATTTACTGTAAAACTAGAGTAATCAACTCAGGGCGGTATTGGCATACAGACAGACATGTTGGTCAATGGAACAGAATAGAGAGTACAAAAATAAACCTTTACATTTATGGACAATTGATTTTTGACAGTGGTGCAAAGGCAATCCCCGTAGAAAAGACAGCTTTTTTTCAACAGATAATGTTTATTGATATGGTTTGGCTGTGTCCCCACACAGATTTCATCTTGAATTATAGTTTTCATAATCCCCATGTGTCATGGGAGGGACCCGGTGGGAGGTAATTGAATCATGGGGGCAGTTACCCTCATGCTGTTCTCATGATAGTGAGTGAGTTCTCATGAGATCTGGTGGTTTTATAAGGGCCTTTCCCCTTTTTGCTTGACACTTCTCCTTGCTGCCACCACGTGAAGAAGGATGTGTTTGCTTCCCTTTCTACCAGATTGTAAGTTTCCTGAGGCCTCCCCAGCCATGCTGAACTGAGTCAATTAAACCTCTTTCCATTATAAATTACCTAATCTTTGGTATGTCTTTATTAGCAGCGTAAGAATGGACTAATATAGAATTGAATTGATATACAATAAATGACTTTAGACCTTTATCTCACATCATACACAAAATTATTATTTTTTGCCTTTTTAATTTGTATTTTTATTTAATATTTTTTATTTCAATAGCTTTTGGGGTACAAGTGGTTTTTGGTTGCATGGATGAATTGTACAGTGATGAAATCTGAGATTTTAATGCAAGCGTCACCTGAGTAATATACGTTGTACCAAATATGTAGCTTTTTGTCACTTGCCCTCCCTCCTACCCTCCCCCTTCTGAGTCTCCATAGTCCATTATATCACTCTGTATGCCTTTGCATACCCATAGCTTAGCTCCCACTGGTAAGCGAGAACATGCAATATTTGGCTTTCTATTCCTGAGTTATTTCACTTAGAATTATGGCCGCCGGCTCCATCAAAGTTGCTGCAGAAAACATTATTTTATTCTTGCTTATGGCTGAGTCGTATTTATGGTATATATATACCTTATTTTCCTTATCCACTTATTGGTTGATGAGCACTTAGGTTAGTTCCTTATCTTTGCAGTTGTGAATTGTGCTGCAATGAATATATGCATGCAGGTGTCTTTTTTATAATGATTTTTTTTCCTTTGGGTAGATACTCAGAAATGGGATTGTTGGATCGAATGGTAGCTCTACTTTTAATTTTTAAAGAAATCTCCATACTGTTTTCTATAGAGGTTGTACTAATTTACATTCCCACCAGCAGATATACACAAAAATTAATTTAAATGGACCATAAGCTTCCATGTAAGAACTAAAACTATAAAACTTCTTTAAAAGATAGAAGAAAAATCTTTGTGGCCTTGAATTAGGTAAAAAAAAGATTTTTAGATTTGACATCAAAAATATGATTCATAAAAGAAAATATTGATAAATTATACTTCAACAAAATTTAAAACTTTTCTTCTTCAAAAGACAGCATTAAGAAAGTAAACAGATAAACTATACACTTGGAGAAAATATTTGCAAATGGTTTATTTGATCAAGGATTTATATACAGATAATGCAAAGAATTTGAACAGCTCAATAGTTAGAAGCTAATTAAAAATGTGTAAAGGATTTTAGTAGACATATCACCTAAGAAGATATATAAATGGCTAACACATGAAAAATGTTCCAAATAATTAATCATTAGGGAAATGCAACTAAAACCAGAATAACGTACATTCAGTTCATACCCACTAAAATGCCTATAATTAAGAGATTGACAATACCAAGTATTGACAAGTATGTGTTGGTAAGATTTTAAAATGACATAGTCATTTGGAAAATAGTTTGAAAGTGTGTTAAAAAGTTAAACCTGTACTTAACAAACGATCCATCAATTTCACTCCTAAGTATCTATGAAGAGAATTGAAGGTTTATGTCTACCTAAAAGCGTACATGGGGGTGTTTGAAGCCACATTATTCATAATAAGTAAAAACTGAAAATAATTCAAATATCCATTAACTGGTGCATAGATAAAGTAAACTATCCATTAACTGGTGCATAGTAGATCTGTACAATGGAATCCCTAGCAGCAGCGAACCAAGGCTTCAAAGTTCCCTAGTGGTTTCTTTGCCCTCACTGCTGCATGCCACAAAAAGACCATGCTATGAAAAGACCAACATCTCCAAGCATAGCTGTAGATGACTTTGCTTTCACTTCTGGTTACAACTGAACTTACTCATTCTTTGTCTTCTAAAGAAGCCATTCATTTCTTGAGAACTTTTCTGGTGTTTGGTTCCAGAATCTGTCTTTTAGATGACAATTTTTTTTCTTCAGAGTTAGACACAGACTCCATGGCATTTTACTATATTTATAGCGTATTTTTATTATAGTTATGAAATCAGTTTTTTTCTTTTTAATGGAGTTCTTTTTCAAGTTTGATTTTTTCTTTTTTCTTTTCTTTTTTTTTTGTGTGTGTGTTTGTTTGTTGAGACAGGGTTTCACTCTGTCACCTAGGCTGGAGTGCAGTGGCATGACCTCAGCTCACTGCAACCTCCACCTCCTGGGTTCAAGCCATTCTCCTACCTTAGCCTCCAGAGTAGCTGGGACTAGAGGTAGGCACCACTACGCCTGGCTAATTTTTGTATTTTTTTGTAGAGACAGGGTTTCACCATGTTGGTCAGGCTGGTCTTGAACCCCTGACCTCAAGTGATCCACCCACCTTGGCCTTCCAAAATGCTGGGATTACAGGCGTGAGCTACTATGCCCAGCCCCGAATTTGATTTTATTATACCAATATTATCTTCTCCCCCTCCCACAGTTCCCCAAACACTTCTCTACACACTCTGGTCTGGCACAGTTTCAAATTTGTGGAGTTGATATCTGGGGCTCCTACTGGAAGGAGGATAAAAACAGAAGGAATTTGGCACGGGGCTCCTCCATCTTCCACGCATGCGGCATTTGTTCTGAGAATGTCAGCTCCCTCACAGTGCATGTCAGAATGGCATGCCAGCATGGGCCTCTGGTCTAGCACACAGAAAGGGTGAAGAGTACACATGGTGACCATTGTCACTTTGCAGATTTCCTGCCTCCCACTCACATGTCTGAGACCAGTTTTGCTACTGTTGCACCGCTAACCACAGAAGCCAGAAAGGGAAACGACTTTCTTTCTTTTCTTCTTTTTTTTTTTTTTTTTTTGAGATGGAGTCTCACTTTGTCGCCAGGCTGGAGTGCAGTGGCACGATCTCGGCTCACCGCAACCTCCAACTCCCTGGTTCAAGCTATTCTCCTGCCTCAGCCTCCCAAGTAGCTGGGATTACAGGCATGCACCACCACACCCAGCTAATTTGTGTATTTTTAGTAGAGACAGGATTTCACCACGTTGGCCAGGCTGGTCTTGATCTCCTGACTGTGTGATCCACCCGCCTTGGCCTGTCAAAGTGATGAGATTACAGGCGTGAGCCACTGAGCCCAGCCAGGGAAAATAAGTTTTCAATAGAGAATTTTCTATTAAGGAAGAGAGTGTTCTTTCAGCAAAGACAGGCTTTAGCCACACCTGTTTTTATAAGGATTTGAGGGGAGGGAAATATGCCAAGAGACAACTTCAGAAGTTTATAAAGACAAGAGCGACCTCTCCAAAACAGCTAGGAGAGTGGGTCTTTAGTGGTGAGGTCTTCATCTCTGTCTGATCTCTCTAGGCTGAAGGAAAGATGTGAATTTGCTGTGAAGGGATATTCTCCTCAAGGACACTTACCATCTGTTTCCTGGGGATAGGAAGGTAAGTCATCAGTGTCAAGAACCTTACTGGTAAAACAATAAAACAATGTATTCATTCGGATTTGTGCTCTTTAAGTGAGAGGGGTTCTAGAACAGCCTTTCTGTCTGGACCCCTTGATGGTAAACCATCCCGTGTGAGGTCTGCTCTTTACTGTGTGGACGAGGCCAGGGCTGTTATTTGACATCCGTGGCCACAGCCCACAGTCTAACGTCGGCCAGCTCCGGTGTGATTGTACTTAGTACATCAGTAGTCATGAGAAAACTGGCTAAGAAAACACAGAGCTTCAACTGGAACAAAATATTATACGTGCAACACCCATGACCGTGTGGCTGTTTTATCCCCATTGCTCCTTTCTTTTCTGCAGAAGGTTCTTTTTAAATTTTAACGTATATTTGTCCAATTGTTTGGTAATGCATTTCCATGTTTTCAGAAATAGTGAATCAAATCTGGACTGGAACAACACTCCCTCACTTACCTCCTGCACCCAGCGCCTGCCTCGCTGTGGGAATGCCCCATCCTTGGTGTCTTAAAATTTGCAGAGCTTCTTTACTTGTACATAAGACATGTGCATATACAGAGCAAAAATTCTGCATGACCTCACTTACGTGTGGACTCTAAAAATGTCACACTCACAGAAGTGGAGAGTAGAATGATGGTTACCAGAGGCTGGAGGGAGGGGCGGGCAGGGAAAGGGGAGAGGTTGGTCAATGGGTACAAAGTTATCATCAGTTAGAAGGATTAAGTTCTGGTGCTCTATTGCACCGCGTGATGACTATAGTTAATACTAATGTATTGTGTATTTGAAAAGACCTGAAGGAGAGGATTTTCAATGTTCTCACCACAAAGAAATGGTAACTATCGGAGGTGATGGATATGCTAATTAGCCTGGTTGTATCATTCCCCAGTGCATATGTGTATCAAAGCATCACACTGTATCCCATAAATACATGCAATTATTTTTTAATTAAATTTTTTTTAAAACTTAGGCCAGGCTTGGTGGCTCATGCCTATAATCCCAGCACTTTGGGAGGCTGAGGAGGGGGGATCATTTGAGGTCAGGAGTTTGAAACCAGCCTGACCAACACAGGGAAACCCCCTCTGTACTAAAAATACAAACATCAGCCAGGTGTGGTGGCATGTGCCTGTAATCCTAGCTACTCAGGAGGCTGAGGCAGGAGGCTGAGGCGGGAGAATCACTTGAACCCAGGAGGCAGAGGTTTCAGTGAGCCGAGATCACACCACTGTACTCCAGCTTGAGCGACAGAGCGCAGGCTCTGTCTCAAAAAAAAAAAAAACCTAAAAACTTCAAAAATAAATGTGTATCTTATTGTCCCAAATGTTTCACACACCAAAAAACCATTCTTTTCTAAACCTTGTTTTTCTTTTCATTGAACAATAATTTTTGGAGAGCTTTCCAAAGCAGCACATACAGAAATTCATTTTTTGTAGCTCTATAGTATTTTATCTTTGCACAATTTATTTCAAAGCCTCTATTGAGGGACACGTGGACTGTTTACAATGCTTTACTATTATTAAAAAAAAAGAATGCTGCAGTGAATTACCTTACACATATATCTTTTGTGTTGTATCTATGGAATAAATTCCTAGAAATAGAATTGGGAGAGATATACATTTGCAATAAATATCACCAGACTGTCCTTTGTAGGCTTTGGCTTATCACTTTATAGCGTAAAAATTTTTATAAGATATATCCTTACCTCATACCATATAAAAAATTAACTCAAAATGAAACAAAAGCCTACATGTAAGAGAATACACAGGGATAAATCCTGATGATCTCAGATTTGGCAACGGGTTCTTTGTTCTGAGAATCCTGACTCCCTCACAGTGCGTGTCAGAAGCTCAAGCAACAAGAGAAAAACATAGATGAAATGAATTTCAACAAAATTTTAAACTTTTGTGCATTGAAGAACTCTATCAAAAAAGTGAAATGACAACCCACAGAATGAGAGAATATGTTTGCCAACTGTATATGTCTGTTCAGGGTCTGTCTAATATTGTCCTGTGATTTCCCAGATTTTTTTTTTTGAGATGGAGTCTCGCTCTGTTGCCCAGGCGGGAGTGCAGTGGCACGATCTCAGCTCACTGAAACCTCTGCCTCCCATGTTCAAGCCATTCTCCCACCTCAGCCCCCCAATTAGCTGGGATTACAGGCACACGCCACCACACCTGGCTAATTTCTGTATGTTTAGTAGAGATGGGGTTTCACCATTTTGACCAGGCTGGTCTCAAACTCCTGACCTCAAGTGATTTGATCTCAAGTGATCTGCCCGCCTTGGCCTCCCAAAGTGCTGGGATTACAGGCGTGAGCCACTGCGCCTGGCCTTAAATTCTTTATGTCTATTTGGTATCTAGTAACTGCAAGGCCAGCAGACAAGTGTTTACCTCTCTCCTTCAAGAAGGGGCATTCCCCTCCAAGGATGGGGCATTCCCACACTGAGGCAAGGCTGGGTGCAGGAGGCAAGTGAGGGAGACTTGTTCCCGTCCACGTTTGATTCACTGTTTCCAAAAACATGGAAATGCATTATCAAACAATTGTACAAATATACGTCAAGTTGCCTGGAATTCTCCTTTCGTGTGCAGACAGGCTGATCCAAGTCTGTGCCTCCATCTACCTTCTATATAACTCTCACACACCAAACCAATATTTCCCTTATCCTAAATCAACCCAAGGCCAGGTTCCAGGCAACTAGAGACCACCCCCTATAGCCCAGGCTCACCCATGTTATTCAAAGTAGCCAGTCCTAAACTGATGGCCCGGCCCTGCCTTGCCTTTCCTGCAGAAACTCCAGTAAGGGCTGTGGCCCACGCCTTCTCACTCATCTTTTGCCTCTTGACCATCCTAACGCTTTCTCTGTGGCCCTGCGTGTTGTGGCATGTCCCCTCCTCTCAGGAACTGTAAGAAAACTTCTTTCAGTAACATTGGCCTCTCCACATCATCATTCAGTCACTTCCATAAACTAAAATCCTGCTGTTACAATTGAGACAATATATATATTGTCTCAATATATAAAGAACATATAATATATAAAGAATAGTATAATATCTTATATATATATTCCTTATAATATAAAGAATAGTATAATATATAAAGAATAGTCACAACTCAACAATAAAAACACAACCCAAATCAAACATGAGCAAAGATCTTGAACAGACAGTTCTCCAAGGAGGATATACAAATGGCCAGCAAGTCCAGGAAAAAGATGCCCAACACCATTAATCATCAGGGAAATGCAAACCAAAACCACCATGATGCGAACAATATGAATGTCATGAAGGCCGCTGAGCTGTACAATTAAAAATGCCTCAGATAGGCCAGGTGCAGTAGTTCACACCTGTAATCCCCGCTCTTTTGGAGGCCGAAGTGAAAGGATTCCTTGAGCCCAGGAGTTCAAGACCAGCCTGGGCAACATGGGGAGAACCCAGCTCTACAAAAAATAAAAAATTAGCTGGGTGTAGTGGTACATGCCAGTAGTCCCAGCTATTCGGAAGGCTGAGGTGGGAGGATCACTGGGGCCTGGGAGGTTGAGCTGCAGTGAGCTGTGACTGCACCGCTGCACTCCAGCCTGGGCAAGAGTGAGACTGTCTCACAACAACAACGACAGGCTAAAATTATAACTTTCATGTGCTGCCTATTTTACCACAGTAAGAAAACAATCATTAAAGCGTTGTGTTGGTCAGGGTTCTCCAGAGAAATAGAACCAGTAGAATTTGTTTGTTTGCTTGTTTATAAGCTATTGATTGGCTCATCTAGAACCAGAAATAACATTTGACCCAGCAATCCCATTACTGGGTATATTATAAATCATTTTACTATAAAGACACATGCACACGTGTGTTTACTGCAGCACTATTTACAATAGTAAAGATTCGGAACCAACCCAAATGCCCATCAATGACAGACTGGATAAAGAAAATGTGAGACATATATATCATGGAATACTATGCAGCCATGAAAAAGAATGAGTTCATGTCTTTGGAGGGTCATGGATAAAGCTGGAAACCATCATTCTCAGCAAACTAACATAGGAACAAAAAACTAAACACCACATGTCTCACTCATGAGTGGGAGTTGAACAATAAGAACACATGGACACAGGGAGGGGAACATCACACACCAGGGCCTATTGGGGGTGGGGGGAAAGGGGAGGGAGAGCATTAGGAGAAATACCTAATGCATGTGGGGCTTAAAACCTAGTTGACAGGTTGATAGGTGCAGCAAACCACCATGGCACATGTATACCTACGTAGCAAACCTGCATGTTCTATGCATATATCCCAGAATTTAAGTAAAATTAAATTAAATTAAATTAAAAAGATATTGATTGGATACATCATTCTGGAGGCTAAGTCCCGCTGCGAACCACCTGTGAACTGGACCCCCAGGAAAGCCTGTGGTGTCCCAAAGTCCAAGAGGTGGAGAATCAATAGTGTAGATTCTAGTCCAGGTCTTAAGGCCTGAGAACCAGGAGTGGTGAGGGCTGGAGAAGATTGATGTCCCACCTCAGTAGTCAAGCAGAGTTAATTCAACCTTCCTCTGCCTTCTTGTTTTATTCAGGCCCTCGGTAGATTGATAATGCCCACCCATGTTGACCATCTTCTTTACTCAGTCCAACCATTCAAATGTTAATCTTTTCTGGGAACACCCTCACAAACACACCAGAAATAAGGTTTAACCAACCAGCTGGGTATCCCATCACCCAGTCAAGTTGACACATAAGAGTAACTATGTCAAGCATAGACCATAAAAACGAAACCAAAACATCACAGTGATACACCACTTCGACTTACGAGTAAGGCTGTATGAAAACAAGAAAGCCCCTAAAAAACAGAGCATAACTAATGTTGTTGAGGATGTGGAGAAACTGAGACACTCATACATTGCTGGTGGAAAGGAAAAATGGTGCAGCCACTGTAGAACAGCTGGGCAGTTCCTCAAAACATTAAATACTGAGTTACCATTCGATCCAGCAATTCTACTCCCAGGTATATATCCAGGAGAAATAAAAACGTGTCCACACAAAAACTTGAACACGAACATTCGCAGCAGCACTATTCATAATAGCCAAAAGGTGGAAACAACCCGAACACCCAACAACTAGTGAATAGATCAACAAAATATAGTTTGTCCACACAATGGAATATTATTTGGTCATAGAAATAGGCCAGGCGCGGTGGCTCATGCCTGTAATCCCAGCACTTTGGGAGGCTGAGGCGGGTGGATCACTTGAGGTCAGCAGTTCAAGACCAGCCTGGCCAAATGGGGAAACCCCGTCTCTACTAAAAATACAAAAATTAGTCGGGTGTGGTGGCGCATGCCTGTAATCTCAGCTACTCAGGAGGCTGAGGCAGAAGAATCGCCTGAACCCGGGAGGCGGAGGTTGCAGTGAGCCGAGATCAAGCCACTGCACTCCAGCCTGGGCGACAGAGTGAGACTCTATCTCAAAAACAAACAAACAAACAAACAAACAAACAAAAAACCATAAGATTCCAACCTTTTGGGCTCAGCAATTACACTCCCAGAAGTCATGCCTCAAATGCACTTTTCTGTCTTCTAGGTCTTTTCTCCTCTCTGTCCTAATCTCCTCTCCATGCCTCAAGTGATGCCAATAAATGGGTAATAATTCCCTTAAACTCCGTGGAATTAATTTCTTTTTGACTACAGGAATTCACAGTTCAAAACAAAATAACCCCAGATTCCTTAATAAATAGAAACCTTAAAGTTCCTTCTAAAAAGATTCACGGCTATAAAAGTAATAAATGAATCGCCCAAAATATCGCGCTGTGGGTCGGGTTAATAACCCTATTGGACAGGAGCTGGCATTACTCGGTTTGGGCGGCCGAGCCCAGACATCAGCATATGTGCTACCGTAGTACCCTCTTCTGGCCGAATACAAAATCAAGTTTATGGGGCCGCTTTTAGTCAAGTTTTCCATAGCTGCTTACAAGCACCGAGTTTCCTGCGACTTCCTGTTTATCGCCTCTGCTCTCCTCAAGTTCTCAGCTTTTTCTTGCATCAGCTAGGCTTGCCTCCTCCTCCTCAGGGAAGATCAGGATCCCCTGATATTCCTAATCTCAGCTCCCAAGATTTGCCCCTTGCACTACCCTGTTTCCTGGCTGTTTGCACCATAGCCTCCCACCTTGAGTAAGTCTAGTTCCATCTGTTCTCTCTTATCTATCTGCCTCCGTACTGGCCATTTACCATATGCCCACATTGCATCTGGGCCTCTGCACTCATGACCTACCTGCCGTTCCCTCACTCACTGCCCCATCTCACCTGCACTTGCCTGAGCACTCTCCGTTGATTCCTTGATCCAGGGTTTTATAAAATGAGGTCTGTGGACAATCTACATTCTCTCCACCTGGCTGCTTGCTACCTGAGCTCCCTGAATCAGACCTTCTGGAATCCTGGAACCCGCATTTATAATAAATACCCTGAATAATTTTTATGTACATGCACACACATACACACAAACACACACACAACATAAAAACCACCCTGGGCTGGGCACAGTGGCTCACGCCTGTAATCCCAGCACTTTGGGAGACCGAGGCGGGTGGACCATGAGGTCAGGAGATCGAGACCATCCTGGCTAACACGGTGAAACCCCGTCTCTACTAAAAATACAAAAAATTAGCCGGGCGTGGTGGCGGGCGCCTGTGGTCCCAGCTACTCAGGAGGCTGAGGCAGGAGAATGGCGTGAACCCGGGAGGTGAAGCTTGCAGTGAGCTGAGATCGCGCCACTGCACTCCAGCCTGGGCGACAGAGCGAGACTCTGTCTCAAAAAACAACAACAACAACAACAACAACAAACACCCTGATGTTTTTGTTTGTTTGTTTTACTAAGCCATATTATCTTGTCTAGAAACTTGCCATGGCTCCAAGCCATCTAAAGATTTAAATGCAAAAGACTCAGATTGGCTTTCAAGGCTTTTGGTAAATTGTTTTATATATTTTTTGTCCTTTCCTGTAAGAGGATTATATTTCCCCTTTCCCAGGGATGGCAGGCATGGCCAAGTGACTTGCTTTGGCCAATGAAACGTGAACAGCTGTAACATGTGCCACAGTCAAGCGGACACTACGAAAACCATTGAACAGTTCTCCCATATTTTCTTTCCCTTGGCCAGAATTGATGATAACCCAGATCGAAGCTGCTTCTGCAGCCTGACCCCAGAACAAAGGAGCCATGGAGCAGAGCTACAGATACCCACAAGGGAAATGTAATGTAAGAGAGAAATAAGCTTGTAGTATTGCTGTGATTTGGAGAGTCCTTTGTTACTGCAGTTTAACTGCCTAAGCCGACTGATACACAGTATTTCACAATTTGCTTTTCTAACTCTATTTCCCATTATTCCCTAACACTTATTCCAACTCCTGCCAGACTGAACTACTTGCTTTTCCCCAAAGACCAACAAATTTCTCCAACTCGATGCAGTTATTTGCTTCCTATCTCCTGCCTGCCAACAATACCTCTCAAAGTTTAATTTCAACCTTCAAGTTCATCTCAAGCGCTACTTTCTCTGTGCAGGGGTGTCTGATCTTTTGGCTTCCTGGGCCACACATAAGATACACTAACACTAATGATGACTGGTGAGCTAAAAAAAAAAAAAAAAAATCTCATAATGTCTAAAGAGAGTTTATGAATTTGTGTTGGCCCACATGCAGCCTGCGGTACACAAGCTAGACAAGCTTGGTAAAAAGCCCTTCCCCATTCCTTTGATGCCAACTACTGTAACCTATGTTTATTGTTTTTACATATTTTCTTATCACCTCCGCCAAGAAAAAAATCATAAACTCCTTGACATTAAAGACTATCTTATTGGCCAAGTGCAGTCTCTCACACCTGTAATCCCAGCACTTTGGGAGGCCGAGACAGGCGGGATCACTTGAACTCAGGAGTTCGAGACCAGCCTGGCCAACATGGTGAAACTATGTCTACTAAAAATACAAAAATTAACCAAGAATGGTAATGTGCTTCTGTAATCTAAGCTACTTGGGAGGCTGAAGCAGGAGAATCACTTGAAACCCAGGAAGTGGAGGTTGCAGTTAGCCGAGATCACACCACTGCACTCCAGCCTGGGAGACAGAGCAAGACTCTGTCTCAAAAAAAAAAAAAGACTATCTTACTCACCACTGTATTCCTTGAAGCTTTGCAAATAGTAGGTATCCACTCAAATATTTATCAAATTAGCACATTCAATTAGAGAACTGCTGTTTAATATGTTTACTTTTTTACAGGAAGATTTTAAAGAACATTTAACATACTCATTGGGGAAGCAAAATTAAGATACAAGAAGAATTAAAAATCATAGCAAATAGCAAAGATTCCTACTGAGTAAAATATGGGCCAGGCACGGTGGCTCACATCTGTAATCCTAGCACTTTGGGAAGCTAAGGCAGGCAGATTGCTTGAGGCCAGGAGTTCGAGACCAGCCTAGGCAAAATAGCAAGACCTCATTGCTACTAAAAATCAAAAAACTTAGCCAGGCTTGTTGGTGTGCACCTGTAGTCCCAGCAACTTGAGAGGCTGAGGTGGGAGAATCACTTGAGCCCTGGTAGTGGAGGTTGCAATGAGCCAAGATCATGCCACTGTACTCCAGCCTGGGTGACAGAGCAAGACCCCATCTCAAAAAAATAAATAAATAAAAATAAAGTATAACTCAAAGTTTAATGAATCTCTTTCTCTCTCTCTCTCTCTCTCTCTGTAAAAATAAGCATGTCTTGACCTTCATCTCTCTCCCTGGATATACTCAACAGATCTTAAAGTAAAACTTCACCAAAGGGAAACAATGTGTCACACGACTCACGAGTTACAACCCCTATTGTTACAGTCCATATGCTAAAAGCAAGGATTTTTCTAATTATGGAACAAATTAGCTTATGTAAATTCTTAGGCGTAGGAAAAATGTATTTCCCTGCTTATGATTAAAAGCCAACAAAATATAATTCCAATTTTAAAACAAATCCCCTTACCAAACCCCAACAGCAAAGTGCTGCCCCTACAAACCTCACAGCAAATAGAGAGTCCTTATTCTCAGTGACTAGCAGCTGCCTCTTTTCTCACTCCTCTCCAGCTTCAATTAACCTAATGCCCTCTGAGACATTTTGGCAGTAATTGCAAAGCTTCTTCCGGTTTGGGAATCTAATTTAATTAGATTGGCGAGACTTGATTTTAGATGTTTCTCCTCAATACCAATTCAAAACTTAATACTTACTTTGCTTTTGTTTCCTGGTAATAACTGGTTTACGGCCCTGAGAAGAAAAACTGGGGCCAATAAAACAAGCTGGATTAGCCTGGTTCTTCACTGACTCCACAATTGGCCTACCATTTGTGCAAAGTCCACTCCAGGAGAAAAATGCTTTGAAGGTGGGACTCTAACATCCTAATGTGTCCGGACTCAGTGGGTTCTCGGTCTCACTGACTTCCAGAATGAAGCCGTGGCTCCTCGCGGTGAGTGTTACAGTTCTTAAAGGCGGCATGTCCGGAGTTGGTTCCTTCTGATGTTCGGAGTTTCTTCCTTCTGGTGGGTTCGTGGTCTCGCCGGCTCAGGAGTGAAGCTGCGGACCTTCACCGTGAGTGTTACAGCTCATAAAGGCAGTGTGGACCCAAAGAGTGAGCAGCAGCAAGATTTATTGCAAAAAGCGAAAGAACAAAGCTCCCACAGCTCGGTAAGGGAACCCCAGCGAGTCGCCACTGGGGGCTCGGGCAGCCCGCTTTTATTCTCTTATCTGGCCCCACCCACATCCTCTGATTGGTCCATTTTACAGAGAGCGAGTGGTCTGTTTTGACAGGGCGCTGATTGGTGCGTTTACAATCCCTGAGCTAGACACAAAGGTTCTCCAAGTCCCCACCAGAGTCAGGAGCCCAGCCGGCTTCACCCAGCGGATCCCGCACAGGGGCCACAGGTGGAGCTGCCCGCCAGTCCCGCGCCCTGCGCCCGCACTCCTCAGCCCTTGGGTAGTTGATGGGACTGGGCACCGCGGAGCAGGGGGCGCTCTGGCCACACAGGAGCCCACGGAGCTGGGAAGGCTCAGGCATGGCGGGCTGCAGGTCCCGAGCCCTGCCCCGCGGGGAGGCAGCTAAGGCCCGGCGAGAAATCGAGCGCAGCGCCGGTGGGCCGGCACTGCTGGGGGACCCGGCACACCCTCCGCAGCCGCTGGCCCGGGTGCTAAGCCCCTCATTGCCCGGGGCCGGCAGGGCCTGCCGGCCGCTCCGAGTGCGGGGCCCGCCGAGCCCACACCCACCCAGAACTCGCGCTGGCCCGCAAGCACCGCGCGCAGCCCCTGTTCCCGCCCTCGCCTCTCCCTCCACACCTCCCCGCAAGCTGGGGGAGCCGCCTCCGGCCTCGGCCAGCCCAGGAAGGGGCTCCCACAGTGCAGCGGCGGGCTGAAGGGCTCCTCAAGTGCCGTCAAACTGGGAAACCAGGCAGAGGAGGCGGGGAGAGTGAGCGAGGGCTGTGACGGCTGCCAGCACGTTGTCACCTCTCACTAATCCAAAGACTGAAGATTAATTGTTGGCCAATATTGCTTCCTTTGTGGATCCGTATCAGTCTAGTATAGAGAACACTAGACTGACAGTCAGAAAATGTGAATTTTGTCAGCAGCCTAGATGTTAAGAAACATGGGGCATATAAGGGTGGTCAGGTAATTTAATGTCTAAACTATGACACTTTTGAAACTGAAAGGGGCACTATTCATGATTGTCCTAGGACAGCAGGTAGAAACTGGGACTGTCCTTGGCAAACCCGGACACCTGGTCACCCTAGAGACCCTTGAAAAATGATGCTGTGGGCCGGGCGCGGTGGCTCACGCCTATAATCCCAGCACTTTGGGAAGCCAAGGAGGGCGGATCACGAGTTCAAGAGATCGAGACCATCCTGACCAACATGGTGAAACCCCGTCTCTACTAAAAATACAAAAATTAGCTGGGTGTGGTGGCGTGCGCCTGTAGTCCCAGCTACTCGGGAGGCTGAGGCAGGAGAATCGCTTGAGCCCAGGAGGTAGAGGTTGCAGTGACCCGAGATCTCGCCACTGCACTCCAGCTTGGGCGACAGAGCAAGATTCCATCTAAAAAAAAAAAAATGCTGTGATTAGTGAACTGATTTTAAATGTTTATCTCTAAAGGTTAGGATTGACAAATGACTAAGTGACTTTTCAAAATAATTAGTAGATGAAGAAAGAAGTTATAAGTAGTCAAGTAGTCAGATCAAGGCTTTAAGAACACTATCTCCTTAAGATTCTATTTTCAGTCTTTCAAGAAAAAAATTTAAGAAATTATTTTTACTCTTTCCCAAAGCTTCTATGAATACACTATCCTGAATGCTTTCATTCTTATCTTTTGTCACTGAAAAATATTTTTCATGTTTTATATATGTTTGGTTTTAAAGAGGCAATAATGTTCTTCACATTTCCCTTTAGCTCAGCTTGGGAGAAGAAAAAGGGAAAGGGGAGTAAGTAGAGGAGGGAAGGGATTCGAAATACTAGTCCAGGGCAGGTACTTTCCCCTAATTCCACTTTCTGGAGTGGACTTGACATGGATAAAGGTGATCTTGGTTCCAGAATATTTCTTGTACTGTGACATCTTCGCAGGCTGTGATTCTACTGTTGAAAGTAAGTGTTGTCCATACAATATGGTCCCCAGTGCAAATGTGCCAATTCTGAGCCTGCTTGACCTGAGGTCTGCGGCTCTGCTCTAAGTCAGGGGAGTCGACACCAGAGGGATACCACCAAGCTCCAAGCTCCTGTGCCAGCTGGCTTCCAGTCAGCTCCTGCCACCGGGAGTCAATGGCAAAAAGCAAAGCAAAGCGAGAGTATTTCTTTCCCTCCTTCTTTGCCTCCAGCTGCAGCACCCTGAAGGCCCCTGTGCTCTGCTGCGGGGGTTGTGCTTCCTCTGGGTGACCCTGGCCTTGAGCTTTATGACGGCTTCCTCCCTCCACCCCACCATCCTAGGGATAGCATTGGCTTTCTGCTGTTGCTAATTTCTATTCCAATTTTGGAGGAAAAGTTCAATGGAAGGGACTTATCATGAGATGGAATGTAGGTCTCTTATTCAGGACCCTCCCAAGGGCAATTTGATTATTCAAAAATTTCACCTTTTGGCTTTAGACCTTAACATGCATAAGATGCAACTCAGTGTGTTTAATGTTTGGTCTCCAAAGCTGAGTGATGTGCTCCACAAGAAGACCTACTTTATCAAATACCCGAGACACATCTTAGAGACTAAGGTGTGAAAGAATGAATGAGTGAAAATGTTTTAATAAAAGGAAACTAGAAATCAAATATTTGTATAAGGACAGATTTGAGGTTTTTCTGTACTTTTAATGAGCTAGAAAATGCATACTATAAATAGAATATACAAATGATTTTACACAAATGAAGCATTAAAAATCACAAATCTTATATTTGGTTATCCACAGTCTATAAAATAATGTTCCCAAATTATATAGTTTAAAATACACAATGTTTCAAGTTGCAAGACAAAACCAGGGTAGTTTTGGCCCTAAATCATAGCTAACATAAGTAGGAATTATAATTAATTTTATAATTGTGTTTAAATTTTAAATACTCTAGAATCTGAAAATATTAAATATTAAATAGATGGAGGGATCAAATTATCAAGTTTTTTAACAAAATTGAGGTAAAAATCTGCATTAAATTACACCAAGAAAAACATTTCTAAAACATTGTTTCCATAACTCATTATAAATATTTCATCTTCCGAAAGTACTCTTTGATTACCTCTGGCCTTCTGGGTCTGGTAATTAAGTTGACTTAATATTTGCACATAGCTACTGATTACTCAATACAGGCCTATCAGATAAAACTAAAATGCTGCAACTTAATCAGAATGATGCAATCTTGTCTTATATAAATATACAAATCACAGTATGCTGACACTAGATAACTTCAGCTTTATTTGCCAAAGGGGATTTAGAATATACTACAAAATTGTATATAAAATAACCCTTTACAAGGATTTACTAGGATGACTGCAAAGAAAGGCAAATTAAATATACCTGGTCCCATATAAGAATTGTTGCCTAACCTCATATACTAATTTGAATATGAAGACTCACTTTTTATTTCTTATTTTTTTGAAACAGGGTCTCGCTCTGTCACCCAGGCTGGAGTGCAGTGGTGTGATCTCAGCTCACTGCAACCTCTGCCTCTTGGGTTCAAGCGATTCTCCTACCTCAGCCTCACAAGTAGCTGGGACTACAGGCGTGCACCACCATGCCTGGCTAATTTTTTGTATTTTTAGTAGAGAAGGGGTTTCTCCATGTTGGTCACACTGGTTTTGAACTCCTAATCTCAGGTGATCCACCCGCCTCGGACTCCCAAAGTGCTGGGATTACAGGTGTGAGCCACCGCACCTGGCCTGAATATAAAGACTCATTTTAAATTATACTAGTTGAACCTTTATACTACAATGTATCCTGGCACTTATTTTTTTTAAACCATTATCAGATATTTCATGTTCTACTAGTAAAGGGAATTCGCATTTTCAATGTCCTGTCTGCATTCCTCCTAGCCTCTCTCTGCTCAGGTTTTGGAAAATAGATCTTTCAAATGCAATTGCAGTATCCAAGGAAATTCCTCCCACCCATGCCACCAGTGCTCATCCTGTGGGCACCCCACAGTCAGCAGTTTAAGACCATTCTGGATGAATGCAAATGCTTGATTCAATTTTCCCAAATCCCAATCAACTAGCTACAGTTTTTATTGTATGCAATCTTCCCAACATTGCAGTAAAGCAGTCTAGATGGCTGGGGAAAGGTAAAAGAACCCCGGTTGTGATTATTTTTTTCTAACAAAATGGAATTAAAAGATGAGAAAACCTCGTAGTATTTTAGTCTGGTACTTTTAGCATCCCCAACTTTTAAGATTATAAATTCACAATAGTGAACACCCTAGTGACAACTTTTAAATAAAATACTGGATAGCTGGGCGCAGTGGCTCACACCCGTAATCCCAGCACTTTGGGAGGCCGAGGCGTGTAGATCACTTGAGGTCAAGAGTTCAAGACCAACCTGGCCAACATGGTAAAACCTCCTCTCTACTATAAATACAAAAAATTAGCTGGGCGTGGTGGTGCATGTCTGTAATCCCAGCTATTCGGGAGGCTGAGGCAGGAGAATCACTTGAACCCAGGAGGCAGAGGTTAGAGTGAGCCGAGATCGTGCCACTGCACTTCAGCCTGGGCAATGGAGTGAGACTCTGTCTCAAAAAAAATAAAAAATAAAAAATAAAATACTGCAT
Source organism: Homo sapiens (assembly GCF_000001405.40). Lineage (NCBI taxonomy): Eukaryota > Metazoa > Chordata > Mammalia > Primates > Hominidae > Homo > Homo sapiens. Next base: position 113,708,741 of record NC_000002.12, read on the forward strand.
AATTACATGCTATAGTAAATTAATCATACACTCAAAATTTTAGCTTGGATTTGTTTTGCAACTGATTTGATGCTGTCTGAAAATCAAGATCAAGCAGGTGATGAAAACTATACCTTTTGAACATGCATTAGGTAACCAGGGGGCAACAGAGTAGGGACTAATAAGGCCAGCAACTCAGGGAAATTAGCCTATTCATCTGATATATTTGGCCTCCATAAAACTGCCATGGATTCCAACTGTACTCAAATATAATACAACTTCTTCAATGCTGCTTTATAAATCTGACTGAAAACCTTATTTAAGGAGTCAAGATGCTGAACACCCTAACAAAAGCAAAAACAAAATTACGGCCTATGTGGTGTCACTGTTATTACCACTCTTTACAAAGCACTAAGTACACATAGGTGTTTGGCATTGTCTCTGGAACTACAAAACTATGGCCTATGTGGTGTCACTGTTATTCACTCTTTACAAAGCACTAAGTACACACAGGTGTTTGGCATTGTCTCTGGAACTACAAAACTACGGCCTATGTGGTGTCACTGTTATTACCACTCTTTACAAAGCACTAAGCACACACAGGTGTTTGGCATTGTCTCTGGAACTACAAAATTAAACTTTTAGAATCACAGCATTTTACACCTGAGAGGAATCTTAAAAGATACTGAATTTCGCTTCTCACTTTATAGCTGAGAAGAGTGAGGGAAGGACGGACCATGGGAGTCAGCATTTTTCAAGCATCCAGGCACGCTGGGCCTGGTATTTCAATTAGAGTTTCTCATTCTCACAGTCTCAGGCAGGTTGCATTAACCTCCACTTCACAGCTAAGTAAATGCGGATCTACCAGATTGAATAATCTCCCCCAAATAAATTCACTAATGAGGAACAGAAGGAATCCAACGTCAGAGTTAGTGCTCTTCTCAGAGTAATAATCTGCAAAGTGTGGTCCTGGGACCAGCAGCTGGGGCATTACCTGGACGCTTGTTAGAAAGGCAAATTACCAGGCCCACCATCCCCACCGCCAGACCTACTGAATCAGAAACTCTAGGGTGGCCCCCAGCAATCAAGTTTTTGGTTTTGTTTTTTTAACAGACAGGGTCTCACTTTGCTGCCCAGGCTGGACTGCAGTGGCCCAATAATAACTCACTGCAGCCTCGAACTCCTGGGTTCAAGTGATCCTCCTGCCTCAGACTCCCAAGCAGCTCAGACTACAGGTATGCACTACCATGCCTGTTTGTTTTTTGTTTTTGTTTTTGTAGAGACAGGGGTCTTGCTGTATTGCCCAGCCTGATCTTGAACTCCTGGGCTCACGTGATCCTCCTGCCTCAGTCTCCCAAAGCACTGGAATTACAGGCATGAGCCTGTGTTCTCCCCTCTCTTCCAATAATGTGTATTCAACAAGGCCTTCAGGTGATGCTGATGCTGTCTGAAAGCCACTGCTCTCCAGCATGTGGTCTCTGAAACTTTACTTAGGAGTATGCATATTAAAATATATATATAACTTAACACTATGCTACTACAAAGGGCAAAATAATTCACTTTATTGTACTTTATTTTAGAATAATTAAGACAAGGATAGGCTTCAATGAAATTTTGCTTTGATGTTACATGGTCTGACTGACACTGGATTTCTTCATAAGAAAAATAAATGTGAAAGCTATTCCAAGTAAGCAAATGGTGGCAAAAACAATCTAAAGAATTGGTTTTAGCCAGGCATGGTGGCTCATGCCTGTAATCCCAGCACTTTGGGAGGCCAGGGCGGGCAGATTACTTGAGCTCAGGAGTTCAAGAGCAGCCTGGCCAACATGGTGAAACCCCATCTCTACTAAAAACACAAAAATTAGGCAATATAGCAAGACCCCATCTCTACCAAAAATACAAAAAAACTAATCAGGAATGGGGGCACATGCCAGTAGTCCCAACTACTCAGGAGACTGAGGTGGGAGGATGGCTTGAGCTTGGGAGGTTGCAGTGAGCCAAGATCCTGCCACTGCACTCCAGCCTGGGTGACAGAGTGAGACCCCATCTCAAAAAAAAAAAAAGAATTTCATCTCATGTCAAAAATAAGACTCTTGGACAGAAATCTTCTGCCTGCCTTCCAAGGACCCACTGAAATTAATGGATACTCTCACATGACTGACTTTATTATTAAATACTTGCTGTAATCACAACTAGGCATAGGAAAATCAAGTAGAGAAATACTGAATGCCTAGCATACAACGATCTAAGTGAAAGTTAATAAAAGTAGCTCTTCAGAAAGACATCTCATGTAAAATTAAATTTAAAACTAAAAATTTCATGAAGTGACCTGTTAAGAGTTTCAATTTAGAAGCTTTACTTTTCTAATTTTAAAATATCATGAATGAAATGGTGTCTTCATCTAGGTGCTTCTCCATCAAAATCCCTAGCTCAAAAATAAAAATCATGTTTGTGTCACCCCAGATTCAAAATGCTGTTATTGGAAATGTTACCATTTCACATGAACATTCCAGTAAATATGCACATAGAGGGTACTCATTACTTTTGGTTGGTAATTTTTCCTTAAATATATTTCAATGATTTCATTGTTTGACATTTTCATAGTTAACGTATACTGAATACAGAAAATTTTGTAGGAAAACACTATTTTTTAAATGTAGTAACATTAAAATATTAAAATATCCCGTTTATTAAAGGCTCTTAAGATTTAAAGAAAAATTTCCTGTGCACATACAATGTACCTATGAAATACTGTATTATTAGTTATTGTACAGGCAAATGAGGCTGTTACTATAAAAAAAATGTGGTGTCTAAAAATTGCAAGTCTATGTGAAAAATCAACCTCAATTTATCTAAATGGGATTTGGGGGACACGGCAGACTATTAAAATAGAACTCAAACTTCAAATTCTGTAAACTGAACATCTCATTAATGCCACTTCACCATTTAAAAAAGTCAGCACACAATGTTAGCTATGTAAGTTTATCTGCAGATGTTACAGGTAATTATTTCTGTTAACTCCTCCTAAAATATTATTTAGTAATAAAGAATATTTCAAAAGGAGAGTAGGTAGAAACGAAGATCATAACTATACTTACTTAATATGAAAATGACATTTCATTTATTTGCTAATATGTGGAAAAAAATTTTCTAATTAATTCCTCCTTTATCCTTCTTTAAAAACATTTTATTTCTTCAACCAGCACACTGAGGATTAGTGCTATGGGTATTACCACAGTGCCCTGTGAAAAGACTTGGCTTCCAGAGAAGTCATACCTTGCATACCCTGGAGTCATACCTCAAATTGGCTCTGCATGATTGATTTTACAGCGGGCATTAAAATTCTTCTGAAACAAGGCTGTGTACCTTTGAGAACATTCACATTTAACCTTGTGAGCTCACTTCTACAAGAACAATGAACTTATTTGTCAGCTGCCAGGGGGAAAATCAGCTTAATGTAAAGAATTAATTAAATCAGGTTGACAGAAGCCAATATCTCAATGTTTTTAAATTAAAATTTATTTAAAGGAATAAGTATGGGTGCATTACATAAACCTAATGGTTCTTCTAAGCTTCAAAAAGCATTCATTTCAAAAGTATTCACTTTTTTTTTTTTTGAGACGGAGTCTCGCTGTCGCCCAGGCTGGAGTGCAGGGGCACGATCTCGGCTCACTGCAGGCTCCGCCTCCCGGGTTCACGCCATTCTGCTGCCTCAGCCTCCCGAGCAGCTGGGACTACAGGCGCCGCCACCACGCCCGGCTAATTCTTTGTATTTTTAGTAGAGACGGGGTTTCACTGTGTTAACCAGGATGGTCTCGATCTCCTGACCTCGTGATCCGCCCGCCTCGGCCTCCCAAAGTGCTGGGACTACAGGCGTGAGCCACCACGCCCGGCCCAAAAGCATTTACTGTTAAGGCTGCCTCATTTTTCAGCTTTGTTGTAGTTGAGATTCTGATGTTCACCTAACAAAGTCCCTGACAAAACAGACTTCCTTCAATCCAGGTCATAATTTGAAACGTTATACAATAATGAGATTTAAGTGATGAATGGAAAGAAAAGAAGGAGACTGAAAAGATATCAGAAATTTCTATTTGTTTTTAGATTCAGAAAAATATAATTACAGGCCAACATGGGTCTGACAGAGAGGAAGGACGTCAGCAGTTACTTGAATGTAACCCCTTCCCAGCATTTCCAAAGACCTGCAATGTGCTCATTGTGATCCAAGGGCCTTGTTACCTAGTTTCTAGGTGATCTACAGAATTGAAACAACCCAGCACAACTTTATTTCTTGAGAAGATGAACCCTTAACTATGAAGGTGCAGAAAGGAAGTCTTCAACTGCTCACTCACCATGGCTACAGTATTCAAATGCAACAATCATTCAGATAAATAAAACCTGTGAGAAAAAGCAAACAGGTGGGCAAGCAAAGCGGCAGTGATTCATACTTTCAGTTAACCAATTGAACAGTGGTGCTTCCTTCTGAAGAAGTTGTTCATTGATTTTTGTTTTTTAAGAAACAGAAAAGCAGCAGTATAATGAAAGAAGATTGGCTGAAGATCTATCCAGCCTGTTAACTACGGCTTAGTACTTCCAGAATCCTGAGTAACAACACATGACCTGTGTGATGATAAGAGCACAGAACACATGAACAACCAAAAGATTCTAAGCTCAGCCTCTTTCCCTATAGTATTTACAGAATAATTTTAAATTTCAGTTTCACCTCCACTACTTCAACGATTTTACCCTGTAAATTGCTGAAGGTCTTTGTGAACTGTCGAACAGCAAAAACAAAAAGTAGAGGTATCTAGATTATAAACTTCAACCAAAAGTAGTCCTTGAGTAATTAAAATGTTACTTCATTATGTTCTTTTTAAAAGAAAATTCCTCAGAAGTCCACATTCTTTACATGCCTTCACCCTGTTGAGCTAAACAGGTCAAAAGTATAATAAACTCAACATTATTTTTAACTTGCGTTATTGGTGGTGCCAAATGAGAAAAGAGCTGTTTTTGCCACTTTGGGCTGGATGATTAAAAAAAAAAAAAAAAAAAAAGAGAGCTGTTTGTATTTTAAATTTAATATCATAAACAATTTTTAAAGGTAATATAATATAGAAGTTCTCAGAATGAAACAAAAGGAAGGCTAAACTTCATTTTAGACTCATGGTAACACCAAAGCAATTTTAAGAATGTGAATAGGAAGCTAAACACTGCAAAGAGAATTCTTAAAAATCAGATTAGTTAAGAAATTTTGAAGAGAACTAAACTCTTCACAGCAAACTTGAAAAGAATATTGATTAATCAAAAGCCTGTGAATCCTGGGACATACGTTTACTGATATCTATGGTGAATAGAGTCCAGGAGCAGTTGCATAATAAGTACATGTAAGGCCTAAGTTTAAGAATTGCAATTAGGAGTATTTTACATTTAATTTATAATCTTAGTAGAGGAAAAGTTCTGATGTGATTTTAAAAACAGAATCCCTTCTCGCCTTACTTACTTGGTACTTTAACCATTACAAATTTATTCAGGAAAACTAAAATTATTTAAAGAAGAGACATCTAGTTCTAGAGTAATCTGGCACATTCATATGTGAAAAAAATTAGAAATCACTTGATACATCTACAATACACAAATAGACGTATAAACATTGTATTTTAATAATACTCTTTGTCACTTCAATTTAAATCATTCCATTATGAAAATTTCTTAATTGAAGGGAGACTATTTCTTCAAAACTCTAAATTAAACAGAGCTTTATCAATTAAGTTTACAGCAATATAGCCTTTAGAAATACATATTTCTTCATTTTATAATAATACTTCCCCTTTAAAAATTTGCCATGGTTTGTCACAGATTTAAAATACAAGGCACCTAATGCTATAAAAGAATAATACAGTAAATGTAGTGTAAGTGAACCAGATATTTTCTCAAATACTTATTCTTTTTAAAGTCCCATGAAATTTGCACAAACATGCTTGTTGCATAAATTAAACATTTTTTGTGTGGTTAATTTGCAATATTCTACAAAACCCAAAAATATAATCCACACTTATTACAGGTAGCTTATTTTAGCATTTTACCTGTCAGAAATACTGGTCTATGAACACTTAAGTGATTTCTTGAAAACATTTTCATAATATATTCCAGCATTTAACATGTGAAAATAAAGTCCCAGAACATTAGGATTTATTCCTTGATTAGTTCAAATGATTTCAACAGCTGAATTCCTTGAGATGTGTAAGGCAGGTTGGTCCTTTGGATGGACTGTAGACTGAAACTTCCTATAACTGTAGTGATATGTACACAGCTACATAGCAAAGTGCTTCATTATGAAAATGAAGAAAACAGGTATGAGAAAAATATATTTTAGAGTTTCAAAGAACTCAAACTGTTATTTTTCAGACTAGGCACTGAAACATTTTTTCTACAAAAACTTGCCAGAGATTGTCTCTTCGCTGTATAGTTCCATTATCAAGCTAAAAACAGAAACCACAGAAATGTGATTAGATTATAATTTCACAGTTTTAGTTTTCTATAGTTTACATTTTAAAAAGCAAATTATCTTAAAATTGAAATACCTATTTTCACTGTATACATACTTAATAACTGGATACTCAAATTTGGAGTACTAAGAACTTATGAATGTGACTTCTATAGCAATGTCAAAAGCTGACATCAACACTAAAGACTGTGTATTAGCAGTTAGTTGTACTCCTGGTATATTCCACCATTACTCCTGCAAAGACAAAGTCACCTGCCCAGTCTATTCTACTCTATTGCAATCCATCCTCCCTAGTCTTCACTCTCTCCTTTACACAGCTCTCACTTCTAAAAATACTGAAACCTTGCTGGATATGGGTAGGTTTAAGTGTGAGTACGAGAACAATGCACAGCATACCCAAGAAAAATAATGCATAAATTACAGCATTAAAAAGCTTTCAAGAATACAAAGTCCTCACTTAATGTCATAGGTTCTAGGAAACTGACTTTAGGTCCCCGAATAACATTTTTTCGTTCAGTGTTGTTATGTTATAATGTTGATGCAAAAAAAAAAAGTTTTGCTGTAATTTTGCTTAAAGTCACAGTTTATAAGAACCTACTGATGATGTTAAGTGAGGACTTACTGTAATTGTGTTTACGTTTTTTTAAATTTAAAGATGGCACATAAACATATATTTAGTTCCACTTGTTCTCCAAAACCTCACTAAAAAGGAAACAAAGGGTTAAAAAAATATATTTTTTAACAGAAATAAGGTCTCACTATGTTGCCCAGGCTAGTCTCAAACTCCTGAGCTCAAGTTATCCTCCCTCCTTGGCCTCCCAAAATGCTAGGATTACAGGCATGAGTCACTATGCCCAGCCTGGAATTTTTTTCTTAAAAGGAATAAACCACATGGACAAAAAGAAAAGTAGAGAGATGAGAAAATAACAGCCAACTCTTGGTTAGCAATGGAAAAACAGGACCAGATATCTCTGTAAGGAGGGGTGAAGAAACAACTAAAAACATGAAGACTGGTATAATGTCTATAGAAAAAGCAGACAGACACTCAGATGCCCTCTCTTACTTTTCACAGTTGGCCAAGTGCCTTTTCTCTACCCCAGGAGAAGACTTTAAGGTTTACTCTCCAAAAAGGGTAGTAACAGAGAATCTCTGGATAAGGGAAATACCAGGACGAATCCTACATAGCTCAGTCATAAGTAACAATTTTTTAGTGACAACAATATAAACACTGACTACAGATCTATCCAAAGTTATGCAACAACTACACAGGGATGATGAGGAGGCAGAACTGATATGGAGACAGGAGGCCTATGAGGTGGGAGCAGAGGAGGAGTCAACTTGAAAATAATCTGTCCTCGTTGATCTTAGTGGGAAAGTCAGCTGAAGATGCCTAAAACCGAGAACTCATGAAACACAAGTCATAAGCATGATACTTAGGGAGACAAGAAGGAAAATACCAAAAGAATCAGCTAAGAGTTTAATTTCCTCAGAGTGGGAAGAAAATGAAAGCAGGATGAGCAGGGCAGGGAAGGGCAGGGGTAACTGCCTTGTACAAAAAGTCTTGGAGAACTAGAGCTCAAACCATGTGCAGGTATAAACTAGATTTAAAAACAGCACACTAAAGAAAAACAGAAAACCAGGACCATTAGCTGTAGGTTAGAAGCAAGTTTACCAGGAGGATAATGAAACTTAACCTTCAAGCCTAATATAAGTGTTAACAACTGACAGGAGTTGTACAATGTTCTAGATAGGGAGGGAAAACTCAGTAGCAATCAAGAAACACTTCAATATAAATTGCCTAAAGATGTCTTAGAAAAACTAGAAAAATTCTAGTAGTTTTTTGTGATCTTTCATTCTAAATAATCACTTTTGTACCTGCAAAATCTGTACGTTACATTTAATTCAAGCTTTCATTCAGCAAAATATTAAATGTCATGTACTCTATCATCGAAGACATATAAAAGACACTATTTCTTAAAATGGAAAAAATGGAAAAAAATTCCAGAAGCATTGTTAAATGACAAAGCAATGTCAGAGAATGAGGATAAACACTGTGCCAGTTATGTAAAACAGACACATAAAGACTAGTATTTTCCAACCAGTATATTGTACACCAGAATATTACATTTTTCTTTTATCATCAGAGAAAAAATATTTTTCTAAAGCATATTATTAAATAAAATGACCCTTAGCATGAATAAAAATGAGTTAAAACTTTCTGATCATTTGAGTCAGGCACTATTATACATACTTTATATTTACCAAGTATTTACTATTTTAACACCCTCATAAGGGAGGTTCTACTGTAATCCCATTTCACAAATAAGAAAGCTGGAGCATCAAGAGATTAAGAACCTTGCACAGGGCCACACAGCTAGTATGTGGAGAAGACGGAACTGGAGTCCAGGCTTTAGCCCCTTTAGCCTCTAAGGCTGTATTGCCTCTCAAACAACTAATTATAGAAAATCAATCCTTTGAATATTACACAGATAAGAACCTTATTCAATACTAAACCCAGCTCACATACAAACCTGGGCTACAGACAACAGACAGCTAACTAGCTCCATCCTCCTGAGAAACACTGTGCATAGAAATGAGACTCTCACACTGTTCGCTGTCTTCTGGAACTCTTAAGAAAAAAAAAAGCAGTAATTAAGGAAAGCTTTAGAGCTGAAAAGGAACCTCAAACCTTATTTATTCCATTGCCTGAAGCTATGTGGACAGGATGCAAGTCAGTGGCAGAACCAACACTAGGATAAAATTTCCCAAGAACTTGTCCCAAGTTAGCGTTTTTTGTTTTTGTTTTTTAAATAAGAGATAGGGTCTCACTTTTTGTTTTTTAAATAAGAGATACGGTCTCACTTTTTGTTTTTTAAATAAGAGACAGGGTATCACTTTGTCACCCAGGCTAAAGTGTAGTGGTGCTATTATAGTTCACTGCAGCTTTGAATTCCTGGGCTCAAGTGATCCTCCTACCTCAGCCTCCCAAGTAGCTTGGGACTGCAGGTATATGCCATCATGTCTGGGTAATTTTTTTTTTAATTTTCTTAGAGACAGGGTCTTGATATGTTGCCCAGGCTGGTCTTGAGCTCCTAGCCTCAAGCAATTCTCCCACCTCAGCCTCCAGAGTCACTGGAACCAAGTTCTTTTTATAGCAAAATGTAAAAAGCTTTCATTCTTAAAAAGAAAGAAATTGGAAAGAAAAACTGAGGCAATACTATTCTATCATGAATTATGTTCAAACCAATAAAAGTTTTCTATATTTAAGTTTGTTATGGCAAAACAGTAAACCTTTTGGTATTACCTGTGAATCATATTTTTTTTAAAAAAATGTAGTTACTAGGCAGGCAAATCACTTGTGGTTGGGAATTCAAGGCCAGCCTGGCCAACACGGTGAAACCTGCCTCTACTGAAAATACAAAAATTAGCTGGGCATGGTGGTGCATGCCTGTAATCCCAGCTACTCAGGAGGCTGAGGCAGGAGAATCACTTGAACCCAGGAGGCAGAGGTTGCAGTGAGCTGAGATCGTGCCATTGCACTCCAGGCTGGGCTACAGAGCAAGACTCTGTCAAGAAAGAGAAAAAAAGAAGAAAGAGAAGAAAGAAAGAGGGAAAGAAAAGGAAAGAAAAAGAGAGAGAAAGAAAAAGAAAGAAAGAAAGAAAGAAAGAAAGAAAGAAAGAAAGAAAGAAAGAAAGAAAGAAAGAAAAAGAAAGGAAGAAAGGAAGGAAGGAAGAAAGAAAGAAAGAAAGGAGAAAGAATCTTATTACCCAAAAGATCTAAACCAATTATTTTATTTTCATCTGCCGTAACATATAAGTTATCATCTTTCAATAATTCCTCACAAAATCTCTAAAAGCTAGGCCAGCATGATGCAATTCTCAGTTATCTAGCAAACACTATTTTTAAAAATGTGTATTGGGACTAAACTTACCTCTGAATTCGATGTTTTCTGCATATAAAAGCAAATATTCTTCTGATTCCCACCATCACAGGATCCCAATTATTATAATGGCATAGGAGAGTTACAATAAAAAATGAAAAAAATACAGGGATAGCTCCTGCAAAAAATAACCAAGAAAACTGCACCTAAAAATAAAAGATAGAGGAAAAAACACACCCACAATTATCATTAAGGCAATTTTCCCCTTCAATGTAAGTTTTCTATTTGTGAAAACTAGCAGGAATAAGAACAATGGGAAGACAAAATTAAACACTGACAATGTATTAAGTGTATTATTATTAAATAAGAATTCAAGACTTCAACTTACTATTCCATGCACCTAAATTACCAACAACAATAGTTCTTGCTTGGAAAATAGGCTAAAGGAAAGCCAAGAAAGCATACTTTCCATTTATAGGCATTGTACACTTAGAGTAGAGATATACAGTAGGAAACTTTGCTCCTGCACACCATGTTGCTCATTTCTTCTTCACTGTTTGCTGCCTAGTCTCAAGTGGGTCTCTCTCCCTCAGTTTCTGAAGTCATCTTCAAAAAATGTATATTTTCGTAAAAAGTTACAGTTGTAGTATGCTGTGTATGCTACAGTCCTTATGACAGTACCAAAAACAAATTAAGTGCAAATTTGACACTCAAAACTCGCTTATCTAGTAATAAATGAAAAAAGCTCAAAATGAAATAATGACCAAATAAAATAAAGAAAAAAATATAGAAATATTTTTACTAAGGAATGTTAGCCAGAGAAGACAAGCAACAAGACAAGCCTCATCAGTGATGTCAACAAGTCTGATCCTCCAATCCATCATTTATCAGAGTTGTCAAGAAAATAAAAAATATCTGTAAGTAGGGTGGAGGTATTAAAATCAAAAAGAAAAAAAAATAAGAAAAACAAATATATAAATAAAAAGAAAATAAAAAATAATGAGATGCCATCCAAAACAAAACTCATTCTTCCCTTTCACTAGTTCACTTTTACCATCTAGACTCAGCTAAAGATCAGAAACGATTGTCAAAGAAGCCTACACTGATCAACCACTGAGACTTAAGTGTAACACACAGGAGGTTTGCTTTAAAAATAATGATGAAAATAGTAACTTCTATCTATAAAATAGGAAAGGAAAACTGTGTTTGCCCTCTTTGAGAATTAAAAAAAAAAAAAAAAGGGCATGGAATCATAGGTAAGACTCCCTCTGGTGGAAAACATATACTATTCCATTTCATAGCACCATTAGTCAGAGTAAACGAGTTTTGTGAGCATAATGTCTTTTATGAGGGAACTCACAATGCATAACACAAGAATAATAACTGACAATTTTTAACATGCATGCCCTATTTCTATGGTATTCATATACAATGACTGAGTCAGCCTAAGAAGACCCCGGAAAGAATAGTCATTAAACTGAAAAGCCTTCATTTAGTTATGAAATTACCAATATATTTTAACATATTCCTGGAATATTTGCCAGAATGACTAATAATCAGGAAAAACCATGCTGCATTTAAATTATCCAAGATCAGAAAAGGTATTAAGAAGTTATAAATAATGCGATTAAAAATGTAGATATAGTTGATAGAATTATTTCATGAATATTCAACTAAAAACCTTATTTCATAACTGAATCAAAGCAAACTTAATAAAGATAGATAAAGCCCTAGAAGACTTTAGAAGGCAAGTTCACTTTCCACAATGTAGCTGTTTATATGTTGTCTCATAATAAAAAACTTCTAATTTGATTTCCAACAAGCTAAGACAAAAGAAACGAAGCCATTTATTACAACAAAGAAAATTACCTATGTAAACAAAATTTTTTTTTCTAATTCCTAAATATATCTGAATATCAAATAGAATATGATCAAGGATGCTTTCTATTATATAAAATGATTATAAATAGATTTAAATAACCAATTTGTTTCAAGCACAATGTTAATAAATGCTAACATTTCAGAAGCTATATATAAATACAGTTAGCTAATTAAACCTAAAAACCCTATAAAAGTAGATTTCTCTTATGTTTGTGTTACAGTTCTGGACACACACTGCTGCTTTTTCCAGATGGAATCTCCCTAACCTCAATCCTGACACCAACACACAGCCTGCTCCTTTAACTGACTGCCCAGTTCTAGATATGAAGACAATCAAGAACACCAAATCTTTTCTTGATTGTCTTCATATCCAGAACTGGGCAATCAGTTAAAGTTTGGTTATGTTTTTATAATTAATTGCATGTGCATACATTTCCCCGTTTTGTCTTTACCCTAAAATACTTTATTAAACAAATTATAACCATTATTGTTTGTAATGATAATTATGAAATGACTAATCATTTAATACAATTAGGTCCCCTGTGACTATTTTCTTAAAAATTCCTGAACATTAAGCTGCAATTTTTTTCAATCTACGAAAGCTTTTGTTTTTAAAATATCAGTACAATAAAGATGATTTACACAGTAGTCTACCAAAATCCTCTAACAAGTAGCACCTTCCCAGTTTCACAACCAGTTTGGTTCATATTCAGGATTATGACCTGAAGATGAAGAAGGGCCTAGATATTACTTAAATCTATAAAAGAATGATGTGTAATAATGTGCAATGTTAGTGTTATATGGAATATCCACATTCTTTGAAAATGCAAGTTATGTAAGATAATTAATTCTCAATTAAGGAAAGAATCTCAGTTCTTTAACCATGACAAATAAGAATTTACTGACCATAAAACAAAGTTAAATATCAGTAAAGAATTATTTTATAAATAAAGAGGATATAGAGCACTAAGCATATTTTGCTTTTATCTTTTTTTTTTTTTTTTTTTTTGAGATGGAGTCTTGTTCTGTTGCCCAGGCTGGAGCGCAGTGGCATGATCTTGGCTCACTGCAACCTCCGCCTCCCGGGTTCAAGTGATTCTCCTGCCTCAGCCTCCCAAGTAGCTGGGATTACAGGTGCACGCCATCACACCCAGCTAATTTTTGTATTTTTAGTAGAGACGGGGTTTCACCATGCTGGCCAGGCTGGTCTCGAACTCCTAACCTCAAGTGATCTGCCTGCCTCGGCCTCCCAAGTGCTGGGATTACAGGCGTGAGCCACTGTGCCTGGCTAAGACCTAGAGAAAAATAGGTTTAAAATTTTGATTATTGCTTGTACACATTATAAGCCTTTGGGCCTTGAAGTATTTCCCTCTTCAAATTATATTAGACTAAAACACACATACATACACACACACACACACACATACTTCTGTGACTTAGTAGTTGCAGTTAAAAGTTAAATGCCTACATATACTGAACTGTGTGATAAATGGCTATGCTCCATCTTTCAGTGCTGGGCAACAGCATACCTCTGTTCTTCCTGCTTCACCCAAGAGCACTGAATAAACTCTTCCCTTCTAGGCTGCTGGCAGAAACATCCCAGATTCTCTTTTCTGCGGTGTTAGCATTGCCAATATTTATCACAAGAATCCCCACATCCATACTAGGCCTTCAGAGAAAAGGGATGGGATACCCACTCTGCTGAGTCCAGAGAGAGATGGCTAACTTTTACTGCAAACAGCATGATTCCTGTGCTGCTCATTCAGCACAGTGTTAAGGAGCCTGTGATAGGGTTTATCGCAGAAACTAAAATGCTTGTATGATAAAATGTGACTTACCAAAGAACATCTGGAACAGAATCAGCTCAAAAACTGGAGAACTACATATGAAGATGATGCCCTTAACTTAGAAATTTAGGGAAAAAAATGGAAAAGCTAAAAATGGAAATTATCTATTTCTTCGGTACTTTCTATATTTCTATGTAGTAAAGCACCTTGGGAGAGAAAGCATCAAGTATTATTTATGTTTGTATCCTTATAATTTAATCACATCTCAACTTTCATTAGGTTTGTTTTAATAACACACCTAAAATATCTATGAATAATAAATAGTTTCCTTACCTTTTGCATACACATGTCAGCTATTATGGACAGAGGTATTGTAAGGCTTAGTGCAAGTGTGCCTATCAATGATGAGGTAAGAAAGCAGCCCCTAAAAAAAAGAAAATATACATTTCTATATTTAAAAAATTAAACCAAAGAAAAACACTGAACAAAGACTTTCTATCCTATAATATAGGCCTGTGAGATCAGGAGCAAAGATAAGAGGCTAGGATGGATTGAAACATAAAATATAATAAAGTTATTAAGATGATTCTCAGTTTTTCTTCAAATATTAAAAATACAAATATATAAGTATAAAAAGCTCAAAATATTTTATGCTATTTTCAAGAGCTGTTTGCAGATCTTATTCAACTTTGGGTGTATAGCTTATATTTCATTAATTTTTTTAAAAAACTGTTGAACAGTTATTACCGTTTTGTGATGATTTGTAGATAACAAAGAAAACAGCATTATTAACATTGCAGGACAATACTTCACACATAGACTTTAAGGAAGTGATAAGCCAACATGTGATTCTGTCACCAAGCAAAAATATCTCACCTTCATGAACACTAAAATCATGTGTTACTCTTTTGATTTGGCTTGGCATAAAAAAAGAAAGACTTGAATATTCTTAAAAAATATTTTCTTGTTGTTTTCCATTTTTCTAACAATTGTCCTAACCAAAAGCTAAGTAAGCTCTTTATTTTCACCTTGAATTAACAATGTGGGTATGAAATTTTGAAATATCTATCTGCATACAATTTTGTTGAATTGAAAGAAAATATTATACCCAATGGAGACAGATGAGCCATTTATAAAGACTGATAATTTGGGCATATAAGGAGAAAATGAATTATAAGCCAAGATAAAACCATAATGTATATTGTTAGGACTACAGATCCATGGAAGTTATAGGCAAGTAAAATCTAGCTCAGTATATGTCAGAATTAATAGTGCTGTCCTGCAATAAAAGGGGCTATCTCTCAATAAAGTGTCACTAGAAGTAATGAACAGAGGCTGAACAACGAGTCCTTATTGATGAGGTAAAGGAAACAAGTACTTGTGGTTCCCACTACTTAGCTGCTCTGTGAAAAGAGCATTCGGGGTCAAATACAGCATATGTTCTTGGATGTTTATCATGCAGAGTACTATAATAAAAAACCTGGGAGGTAGAATTATAAAGCCTGTTTGACTTAATCCAGCTGTTAAGGTGGATCCAATTTAGCTAAAGGCTAAAGCCTTTTGTCATCTGTTAATAGTTAAGGTTAAAAAAATCGAGTATCTAAAATGTACATAACTAAAGATGAAAAAATTAATGAGCAAATGGATTATGATTTTAAAGAATTTTAGATCAGCAAAGGAGTTTAGATAAGAACATAAATTACTACAATACAAAGTAAATCTTTAAGTATTACACAAAAGAGAGTGATATGGGGGATACCAAGAAAATAGGTATTTCTTAACTGGGCAGGGAGACAGCACTGTAGGCAGAGCATTAAGGAAGACTCCACAAAAAAGTCTATTTCTGTTGCAGTCTTTTGCAAGGGAAAACTAGTTAGCAGTTTCAATGGGTATGTAATAAAACTCATTTTATTCACTTAGGTTTTATTCATTCTATTCATTTCAAGTTTCTATTAAATAAAAATAGGACTAAGTATAAAGCTCTGTTATTTGAAAGGTCTCTCAAACTCCATACATGATACTGTCTTCATACTATTTTAAGTTTATTATCGCATATCAGTATATTGGATATACAGCATATCAAAGTATGTTAACATCTCAAATCAATCAGAGTTTAAGGTTTACATATCTGGCTCACCCATATGAAAGGTTCTGAAAATAAATAAAACAAAAACACCTATGAACAAGCAAACAGATATTCCAAAGCCTCTTAAATAAGCAGCATCTCCTGGATTCTCAACTAGAACTCATGCACTCATACTTGGCATACATACCTCATATGTTTGGATATCCATTAGATAATGACTACTTTCATTTGCATAACACTCCACTTTCTAAAACATTTTTACAGATTTAGACCATTCATATTCATTCTTTCATTCAACAAGTATTTATTGAGCTCCTTCTGTGGACAAGGTACTACTCTAGAATGGGCACACAGAAGTTAAAAAACAAAGTCCCTGCTCTAGTGGAGTTAAAGTATTCAGTTGTATGTGTGTTGCAGAATGGGGTGCACAGGAAGGGCCACCAGCAAACAGACAAATATAAATGCTTAAAATATCCAAAAATTAATCAACTGATAATAATTGGAGAATAAACAGTACATACCACAACCACAGGAACTCTGAGAGTACTGTTCCAATAAGGCCATTAATGATAATGCACATTAATACTACTTTATTGGGAAACTCGAAGTCCTCAAATCCAGTATAATGAAGTAAAAAGAAACCTGGCCATAAGAGCAGCAGATTAAACAAACCTACAAAACCTGAACATGTATAAAAGAGACAAGAGTTAAAATTGATTTATTTCTATTTTCCAAGCTTATTAACTCTAAAATCAAAATTAGATTTTGCACAAAAGCACTCTGGGAGGTTTCCTTAGCTAAAACTTCTGTTGGTTTGTTTTTAAGTCAGTCCTGTGAATAGCTCAACGCCATAGAAAAAAAAACTGTCTGAAGCAACTGGTGATCACTCAGTTCAACTACCCACATTGTATGGGAGCAACTACTATGGAATAAACCACTTAGGACAACTCAACAAGAAGGGTTGTTAACCTTAGCTACTGATAATATAGTGCCCTAGAACTTAAAAGAAATAACTGGTATGTATGTGTTTGTGTACTCAGCCTAAATTAATTTTGAGGAATTAGATGGTTTGCTCTCTGATTCAATTATTTATGTCCAAAACACTTGTGCTTTGCGAGCAATAATGGAAGAAGGTTCCAAAGGAGATAAAACTCTTGGTTCCTGCATTCCCAGACCTCTAACTAGTTAGTGAGAAAGTATGTACACACAAAGAGCTATTCAACGTATGAGCAAAGTACAGACTGACTAGTGGTTAAGTGTGTGCTCGGCCATCTGACTGCCTGGGTCCAATCCCAGCTCTATATATCACTCAATAGTAGTGCAAGCCTTATACCTCTTTAAGCCTCAGTTTTCCAATCTATAAGCATAAAATAACATTTAATAATATTTAATTAGGTTGCTGGGAAGATTAGACAAAACACATAAAATATAGCATAGTATCTGGCACATGGTAAGCACTTAATAAAAGTTAGCTAATATTATTATAGAAATTAAGTTTATATATGACTATATACATGTAAAAGTAAAGAATATAAAGAAAAAAGATTACAATTCTATAATAAATTTTGTTGTACTTCCTATACAGTTTATGTCACAAATTTGCTATATGATTTATGTAACTATATAGCTTTCTTAAAAGAAAATTAAATTACAGTAGATATATAATTGATACTTACTATGTCACCTAAATAATAAACCAGTCATTAGGATGCCTAGTTAAATCTTAACAGGGCAGGAGCACCCACTCTCTGTCTGATGCTAAAGACTCACAGCCACCCCACTTCTGTGAAGGGGGGCAAATAAGTCTGCCTTTCCCAGCAAGTTCCCACCCTCCACTCCACCCCATCTTCTGCAGCTCATGACTAATTGATGGAGGCTTTACGAGGCCAGCCATCACGACTCAAGGCCCAGACATATTAGCTGCTCTCCCTCTGCTCCCCGCCTCAGTACCTGCAATGAATTGGGCCAAACCTCAGTTATACTTGTGCGCCACACGGTTCTTTCCCCTTCTCTATCTTGCTTCCTTCACTGCAAGTTTTTCCTTCAGTGAACTCCCCACAAAAAATCACCCACACAAATTCCCCATCTCATATCCTGTTTTAGGGAGCCCAACTATTATGGTTTGGCTCTGTGTCCCCACCCAAATCTCATCTTGACTTGTAATCCCCACGTGTCAGGGAGGGACCTGGTGGGAAGTGACTGGATCATGTGGGTGGTTTCCCCCATGCTGTTCCCATCATAGTGAGTTCTTACAAGATTTGATGGTTTTAAAGTGTTTGGCAGTTCCCCCTTCTCAAGTTCTCTCTCTCTTGCCAGTGTGTAAAACATGCCTTGCTTCCCCTTCACCTTACGTCATGATTGTAAGTTTCCTGAGGCCTCCCCAGCCATGCAGAACTGTGAGTCAATTAAACCTCTTTTGTTTATAAATTACCCAGTCTCAGGTAGTTCTTTATAGCAGTGTGAAAACAGACTAATACACCAACTTACATCTATTGATTAAAAAAACAACAACAAAAGAACACATATACAGCAAGGACACGACCTAAAATGCTTAAATAACATTACAAAGTTGTTTTAATGAAACACCAAAACGTGGCATTACCAAGATCTAAATCTATTTTCTAGTCCCTGAAGTGCTGAGTCTATGAAATCCCACGTAAATTAACATCCTTTGACCTAGAGACAAAAGTCCCAATGACCCCACCTATTCCCTCGACTGCCCAGAATCTGGCGCCACATGCCTTTCTGTTCTTCTTCCACAAAGCGAAGTTCCAGCACAATCATTCAGATCTACTCACTGCTCCCTGTTAAGCCTCTGCTCACACTCCCTTGCCTGAAGAGCCCCCAACATCCCAATCCTAACTTCTCCGAATCCTGTCTATTCTAAAGCCCAGGGCAGATCAATATTGCTTTACATATCACATCACATATGAACAGGACCAACACAAGCCACATGTCTATATGCACTCTCCCTAATATGAGTAAATTAAGCAATTTTTCTTGCAAGTTGTCAATGTATAAATTTTTAAAAAGTACCACTGACCCAACCACCTACCTATAACACTAAAAAAAACTAGCATTTTATTCCATTCCAAATAAAATTTTCTATGACTCTCAAATAAAATATCATTAAAATTATCTTTTCTTTTTTAAGAGACAGCATCTTACTCTGTTACCCAGGCTAGAGTGCAGAGACACAATCATAGCTCACTGCAGACTCGAACTCCTGGACTCAAGTGATTCTCCTGCCTCAGCCTCTCATGCAGCTGGGATTACAAACACATGTAACCAAACCTGGCTATTATGCTATATTTCTTGAATTCTATATTTAAAAAGAATTTAAGCAATCATTCAGCCTCATGGCTTTTCAAACATTTTATTTTTGTTAGTCTTTAGGTACAAGTATTTAATCTATTTTTAGTTTTAAAATAGTTTTAAAATAGTCTTTTTTTAAAAAAAATTAAATAGAAATGCAGTCTCCCTATGTTGCCCAGGCTGATCTTGAATCCCTGGCTTCAAGCAGTCCTCCTGCCTCAGCCTCTCAAAGTGCTGGGATCACAGGCGTGAGCCACAATGCCCAGCCATAAGAAAAATCTTTACTATAAATTAAATTCTAATGCAAAATGCTCAACAAAGTAGAGCTGTTCCACAGGTGAAGCAGCAAAGGAGTCCAAGAACTAGACCCCTGCATGCAACTGTATTTCCTTCCAACCATCCCAGAAGCCTACCTATTCCCTAAATCACAGTTTAGAGGCCATTCATCTAGTCCAATTTCCTCATATTTCAGATGCCTATGAGATAAATAAAGTTACAACAGCTGGATTCCAGGTCTCCTGACTCCTTGTAAGCTGCACTTTGAACTCTTATCATGGAGCTTCTTTATCTATTTATATTCAGATATCTTTTGAAAGATTATCTTGTCAATGTGTTCTTCTCCAGTCCTACAGATATCGCAAGTTCTTTCCTGAACTGATGTCAGGCAAAGGAAAATTTATAAACCATATCCAGAAACTATAATTGGGTAATTTGAGAATGAATCTATGTTATAAAAGTGTCTGTGTCTTAAAGATAAAATGCAAATGAAAAGCATTTAAATGGCCCACAATTTTTAATGTACATAAGTACATAGACTGCGACAGCATTAAACATATAATTCGGGGGCAGTCTCCCCAGTCCTTTGCTAACTATTCAAAAATGGCAAAATGTAAAATACAGCAGGTAAACTCTCACATGCTTGTAAGAGCATAAATCTGTCCTATCAGTGAGATAAATATCTGACTTGCAGTCTGAAGACATCAATTTGAAAAAAGTGTTAGGAGTTTCTTTCTGTCTCACACTGAGGAGATGGGCACTCCCTCATAGGTGCACAACTATGCAGGATAAAGTAAGGAAAACATTGGGACTGGCCTTCATAATCTTTAAATGGTTTTAAAGAATCATACGGAAGAAAAAAAAAGGCTTCCCTATTCCCTCTGAAAAACAAAAGCAAAACCCTGTGTTAATCATTTAGAGTAAATAGCCTCCCAAGTTACATATATTCTTACCAAAGAACATTGGAATATCCAACTTGTCTTCTCTATCTACTTTTCTCTTAATCATAACAATATAGACAGCATAGAGCATGGCTCCAGCAAGAGACCAAATGGAACCTGTAAAAATGGACATGATTTAAAGCAATCACTCATTAGCTCATTCAATATACGCTTAAAATCCAATAATGTGTCAGATAATATTGCAAGAATATACAAAAGTGAAAAGATATATAATGATATAAATCACCTTTATATTGATATAAAGATATATAATGAAAAGGTATAGCCTACCCCATCCAAGTCTTCTAGGAGTACAGGAAGGAGTTTAATGTGTTAACAAATAAATGCAAAAGCATTCACCTCAATGATTCGACCAAAACCTATACATATTATAATAATACAACTCCAAAGTAACACTTTGTTTTTAATTTAGAAATGCATGTTTCTTATTTTACCCTACCTAAACAATCTTGACACCTGGCATTTTCCAACTTAACAAATTTTTTTTCCATCACTAAGCTGTTGCTTGTATTGTCTTCCTTACCCCCATATATCATTCTTAATATGTATTGCACTACCACTCCCATCTTAAAGGCTCTGTTAAAGTTCCATTTCTTCCACAAAGCATCCTCTTTCTAATCGGCTGTATTTCTGTCCTGTCTTCTGTTTTAGACAATACTTACTATTGTCAAGTGTGGTATTAGTTTAATCCCTAGTAGCTTCATTTTATAAATCTCATATTGTTCCAAATCAAGAACTCCTTGAAAACTGCAAACACATAATTTATACTTTTTAATGTTCCAAAACAGCTAACATAATACAGATCTCACAGTACATGAATAATAAATACTGATTCTCTTTATTAACTCTCAAAACCATTTAAACTTTTCAAAACAGCTAAATAATGTTCTGCCAAGTGGTCATATTCAATACTTTAATCAATTATTCAAAAGACGAATGTTTTATTAAATTTTTTTTATTATTTTCAAACTTTTTTTAAAGCTAAGGAAAAGCCTGTCAACAAAATCTTGCATACACATGCACATACCAAATACATATATTGTTTTATATACACAAAGCTGCTCTGGGTGAGAAAGAGGTGAGGAGGTTCAAAGCACAGCTCACTGGGTAGTAGCTAGGAACAATTTAGAAAGCATTGTTCTATTCAATAAACCTCAAATATCTAAAGAAGTATTCAAAGAGAAATAATTAATCTAGGTTTATTTTTTATTATGAGGTCTCACTATGCTGCCCAGGCTGGTATTGAACTCCTGGCCTCAAGCGATCCTCCCACCTTGGCCTCCCAAAGCACTGGGATAACAGGCATGAGTCACCATGCTCAGCCCAGCTAGGTTCTGATTACTTTTGTTTTTGTTAAGTCTAAGCAATGGATCAAAATCTAAGTGTTCACCATAGCAGTAACTATGAATCAAGAATCAAGAGTAAATGGCAATATTCGTGGGTGAAGATATGACAGCAACAGGAAATTTGTATAGCCTCAAAGTATCCCCCACAAGATGCTTATTACTTACAGTGGGAAATATTAGTAACTTTACACTGGAGTAGGGTGGTTAATTTTAACCACCTTAAAATTAACATTACCAGCAACAGGACAAATCAATATCATGTGCCTTTTGGTAGAATGCACTGATCAGGAAACAATATCACTTCCATTATATTCTTACCAAAAATGCACAACCTCAATTTAACCAAAGAAAATGTCAGACAAATGCAAATTGAGGAACATTCTACAAACCAACTAGGTGGTACCCTACAAAAGTGTCAAGGTCATAAAAGACAAGAAGACTGAGGAACACTTCTGCATTTAAAGGAAACTAAGGAAACACGACAATTAAATGCAATAAATGATCCTAGATCAGAAAAAGAACATTAGTGGAAAAAGTGGCAAAATTTGAAAAGGCTTTATAGATAACAGTATCATAATCAACGTTAATTTCTGATTTTTATAACTGTATAATATTTATGTAAGTTGTTAACATTTGAAAAATCTGGGTGAAGGCTATGAGAATTCACTAAACTATTTACGCATTTTTTTATGTTATTTCCAAAGGAAAAGTTCAAAAAAAACCCACCCTGCTAGTGCCTACCCTTTGTGCGTTCATCTGTGCACATGAGCACGCACATGTAACTTTCTTATTTACTCTAACAGAGAGAATCCAGAGTCCAGTACTTACCTACTGTGTCTCTTCCAGCAGGTTTTTCAGACCCTGCCAGGTTTACCAGTACAACGCCTCCAATGCTATGAGAATAACAGTCATTAATGATGAGCTAAAGAATTCTGAAAAGCCTAATCATGAAGATAAAAATTATTTATAAGTGATCAAGACTAATCTCAACTTTGGGTAAAACTATCAAATAATTTAGCAATTTCAATAATAACATCTAACAACATCAATATAATAATATAGTGTTATATTTGTATTAACTCATTTAATCCTCACAAAATGTACAATATTATACCTTATAAGGAAGTGTTATTACTGCCATTCCCATTTTACATGTGAAAGCTAATACACAAAGAGGTAAGGTAACTTGACCAAGATCACATAGCCGAGACTGAAATACAGGCAGTTTTACTCCAGAGTCCAGTGCTTTTATGTGCTATGCTATCCACTATCTTTCAGTTAAGAATGAATTAACCAACTTGTCATCCCTTTCCAATCTTTCTTTTGGATTATAAAATTATATCAAACCCATATAAATCCAGCAATAGTACTACTCTTGCTTATTGGTAAAATCTAAATTAACAGTAAAACTATCCTTACGTGCTTAAACAATTTCACTAATCTCATGATTTTAGTGGATAAAAATAAGACTGAATTAAGGATGTAGAGATATCAGAGGTCATTCATAAACTCAATTGTTATTTTCTGGGCATCTAATATGGGCAAAGCACTGGGTTACAGAAGTGAACAATACAGATGTGGTTCCTGTCCTCAGGGAACTCTTTGCATTGTCTATTTCTATGAATCTTATAAATTGTAACACGTTTTCAAGTAGATGAGATATTGCTAATTAAAAAAAAAAATTAGCCTAATTCTCTCACCCTGATGAGAAAGACCAGTGTGGCAGTGGGAGAGGAAG
Organism: Homo sapiens; assembly: GCF_000001405.40. Classification (NCBI taxonomy): domain Eukaryota; kingdom Metazoa; phylum Chordata; class Mammalia; order Primates; family Hominidae; genus Homo; species Homo sapiens. The sequence goes on from NC_000002.12 coordinate 113,732,494, forward strand.
ATGAAAGAAAATATGTATTCCCTTATGGAAAGATGTCATCAGAACTCAAGTGCAGTCCTTACACTAAATATGCAAACCCTTCAATTAAATCATCCCAATTTTCTGTAATAATCACTGTTCATATTCAGATTCAGCTATTATTTATTGAGTATCCACAATTTATTAGAAACCAGGGATTTTGTTTCCATTTAAATGATGATGATTATGATAATGGCTAAATATAGTGAGCACCTCCTGTTGTGTATCAGACATTGTTCCAAGCACTTTACAACTTCTACTCATTTAATCCTCATAATAATCCTATGAGAGAAATCCTATTATTATCCCCAATATACAGACGAGAAAATTGGCACAGAAATGTAAGGAACTTGTTCAAGATCTCAAAACTAGTAATGATGGAGATGGGATTGGATTCCAAGTTGTTTGGCTTGAGGCCACACTCTTGTCTCTCAATTGATGAAATGAGATTTCTTTGCTTAGATTCCCTTCAAGATTGTTGTTATGTAAAATTCTTTTTATAGCCTCAGAAATTGAATCTCTTAGTAAAATGCCAATTCAAAACAAAATATTAAACAATGTTTAATACATAATTCTTAAGAACATATACTTACTCAAAAAATTTCTAAGTAACACTTTTTTTTAAAGGTACAGATAGTAAATATTTTAGGCTTCTGGGCCACATGGTATTGCAATTCAGCTCTGCCTCTGCAGTGCTAAAATGGCCATAGACAATTTGTAAATAGATGAGAGTGGCTGTGTTCTAATACAATCTTATTTACAAAACCAGCAGCTGACCCAACATAGTTTGCCAACCTCTGTTCGTCTACCTACTTTAATGAGAAGAAGTAATGTACTCTGTCAAAATACTTACAAGTTCAATATTTTATATCCATTTCCTTCTTTATCAAGTCTTTATTAAGATAACATGAAGAAAAGTTATAAATTAGCACATATTTTAAATAAAGTTAAATAAAACCTCATTTACTTCTCCAATACAAACATATTTCCCTAATGCAAAAATTTGCTCGGCTTAAAACATTAGTAAATCATGTAAAAGAATAAATCCCTAGTGGCCATAAAGTCTAAATGGTAAATTAGTTGGATCAACCAGCTGCCCATTGGAGCAACCGTGGTTAATTTACCCTTATAACTAAAAAAGAAAAACATTTAATATTAAGAGCTACCAGTTTTCTATGATTGCCCAATACCAGACACTTCATAGCTATTACCACTAAACTTTAAAACAAGGCTGCAAGGTAAAATAGATAATATCATTTTCTCAACTAGGAAACCCTTTCAGAGTTTAAGAAAACTGCCCCAGGGCAAACAGCAGAGCTCTTATTCAATCTCAGCTTTGATAACCAAGAAACACTACTCTCCATCAAATCATCCTGCTACCTTCTCTGATTTTGTTTCATAAAATAAGTTTTATTAAACCAACACATCTTTTTTCAATACTGTCTATGGGCAAAGCCCTATGCTAGGTCTTTGATGACACAAATATAAAACAAGGCTATGGCCTTCAAGGGTTTACAAACCAGTATGGAAGACAAAACAAACATACATAAAGTTAAATTAAAATATTTAAGTATAGTTATCAGCAACACTCATATTATGCAGTAGTGCAAAACTGCCAAATGAATTATACAGAAAATAACTGAAACATCACCTGAGGCTTAGACAATTAGAGAAAACTGAATGTTAGCTTTCTAAGAGAAGTAGAAAAAGGAGAAATAAAAATCAAAACAAAGAGGGGAAATTGCCTTAAGAAAAAGAAATAGAAACTTGGGAGATTATGAGGATTAAGCTGCTACATTAAGTGTGAACGTCAGTCCAATACTTGATGAGTCTGCAGACACATGAATGGGAACCAAAGCAGCCTTGGGGTTTTCCCTCTGGTTACCCTACCCAGGAAGGTTTAGAAACCTAGTGCAGGATGTGACAGGGCTAAGTAGCATCATGTCCACTTAAAGCCTTCTTTTATCCACATCTTTCTTTGCTCTTACAATACAAACTACCCTGGTGCCACTATCAGAAATTGTAATATTGTATTTTTAAGCAGAGCAAACTAGCTATCACACTATATGCTTACCTTAAAATTACAGCTAATAGTTTAGAAAGGGTAAATCTATCTCCACTGTTACTTGGAAATACTGCAGCAAGGATTAAGGTAAAAAGTCCTATGAGGAGAAAAGAATTTAAAAATGGTACATGAGTTTAAATACTGTCAACATTTTTACTACCAACTTCATTGTTTAAATAAGCAAATTATATACCTACCTTTCAAATTATTTTTGTCACTCTTAACTAAGAAAATGACTGCAGTTAAGTAATGACTAGACTGAAATGTTTAAAGTTCATGCATAAAATAGCCTCCAAACTAAACCATGTTTATTTCAACAGTACAGATCAAGTACAGTCCTATTTATTTTAAACTAATAGGAAACTTAAATCTTATTCAGAGTAACATGCTGACTTCATCATAATCAAGCCTGTGTCCCTAAAGTTATTTTTATAGCTTTAAAAATACTTTTGTCTTCCAGATTTGAAAGGTGATTCAATCTTAAAAATAAAACACCTATCATAGGGCAAATTATAGTTCTGAAATAAGCAATTACATTTTAGCCAAAGGGTCTAGAAAAAGATCTCTGGAAAGGATGTGTGAAGGGAAAGGCAACTACAATACAAAAGGCCAGCCTATAAAACTGTAATATGTTGTTATATAAAAAATATTGTAAAGTATTTGAAGGAACATAAATAGCACAGGCTAAGGCATGAAACTACAGTCATGCTTAACAACAGGGATAAATACAGAGAAAATGTGTGTCGTTAGGCAATGTCATCCTTGTGCCACCATCATAGAGCATACTCACACAAACCTAAATGGTATAGCCTACTACACAGCTAGGCTATATGCTATAAGCCTATTGCTTGTAGGCTACCAACTTATATGGCATGCTACTGTATTGAATACTGTAGGCAACTGTAACACAATGGTAAGTATTTGTGTATCCAAACATATTTAAACATAGAAAAGGTACAGTAAAAATACAGTATTATAATCTTATGGGACCACCATCATATATGCAGTCTGTTGTAGACTGAAACATCATATGCAGCACCTGACTGTATACAGATTAAAAGGCAGTTGTAATAGACTAATGTATATTAGAACTAATGTAAGAAGCTATAACAAGATAAAAATGTTGTACATGTACACACATATATACCAGAAATACATACACTGATTTATAATGCAGATTTTTAAAGACAAATTTCTTACCGGAAGTTGAAGATAAAATATTAACTATAGCAACTTGTGTGTCTGAAAGTGCTTCTTGATATGACAAATTTGCCAAAAACCACTAAAGAAAAAGAAAACCAAAGTGAACCCTAATGAAAGACATGTTTACATCTGTCATTACAATTCAGAATTCCCTTTTTTGTTCTCCTCCTAAATACCGTTCTCACAAGATGTTTTAAAAGCTGCTTTGTATTGAAAAAATCACAGGCTCCCAAAAAAGACAAACATTTATAATCAGACCTAAGACCATGCTACCCAATTTCCCTTAAAATTTAACAATAGTTGGTTAACAATTAGCATTCAGGTTTTTTTTTTTAATGAGTAAAATCAAGTATCAAATCAATTTAAAAATTTGCTTTATCTAGGCTGCGCGTAGTGGCTCATGCCTGTAATCCCAGCACTTTGGGAGGCTGAGGTGGGTGGATTGCTTGAGCCCAGAAAGACCAGCCTGGGCAACACAGTGAAACCCCATTTCTACAAAAAAAAAAAATACAAAAATTAGCCAGGCGTGGTAGTGCACACCTGTAATCCCAGCTACTCAGGAGGCTGAGGTGGGAAGATTACTTGAGCCTGGGAGGTTGAGGCTGCAGTGAGGCATAACTGCCTCACTGCACTTCAGCCTAGGTGACAGAGAGACCATTTCTCAAAAAATAAAAAAATCGCTTTATCTAAGTACTGCTGACACTCTGTTAAGTTTATCTAAATCATATTTAAATTTGAGAAAATTCTCCAACATTAGAATATATACAGATGAATACAGCATAATGAGAAATCTATTAAACCAGATGATGTGCATGGATATGGATGGACCTAGCTAGCTAGCTGGATTGAAAAAAGGCTATATTCACTTTGGAAATTTAGAAATGTCCTATGAAAATGATAATTTATTGATTAATTGTGATTGCTTTTCTGAATCTCAGTTTGGAAACACAACCCAAAGAGTTCTCATAACTTTGGATACAGTGAAGGAAGTTTTCCAGCTATCAGGACTTTTTTTAAAAAATTCTTTCTTCTCTTCCACTTATCTAGGTTAGGATGGAGAATAAGAAATAATGCTTTTTTTGATGAAGGTTGGCAGGATGTGTGTGTGTCCAAAGTTCAGTAATTTTCACTGATAATTCATCCATTTTTTTGTGGATAACACTTTTTTACTATCTGAAACAATGCTACTATGAATATCTTAATTCTAGTACACACCTGCCACCTGGTGCATAAGTACATGAGTGTCACCAAAGCATATACTAAGAGGTAGATTGCTGGGTCAAGCAAACTAAACTAATGGCTAGTTTTTGGTGTCTCTGTTACTTACACTGGTTGACTCGAAGAGTTATTCCACCAAATGACTTATTTCTATTAAGAGAAGAACATCTCTCGATCTCTCTCAGAGCTTGTGGCTGAGTAGTTTTACACTAGTATTTACATTGCAAAGAAGTAGTAGAGACACATGATTGTAGAGCACTACCAGAACACAGCAGATGGCTGAGAGCCTAGTAGTCTCCATTCAGTCCATACTGTACTCAAGGCTAAAGCCAGAATGAAACTGTGGCAACGTGGTTCTGATTCCATCTGCAATCCTTTGATTTCCTAGATAATTTCACATGCCTATCTAGATAAAATGAGTTAACAATTGATGGGCAATATCAAACATATATGGCAAGAGAAGCCACAATCTGCATGCCGATGAAGTGCTAGAAAAGAAGATTCGACCCTTAATCTTATCTGTCAAAGATTTTCTCCATGAACAGATAATGCTCACAGAGTGATTATTAGCTTTCTTGACCCACTTCTCTTACTATTTTTATACTTAAATATTGTGCTCATTTTCCAAACAACCTCACTGGTCCATGCTAATGCAAGGTAAATAAATAAAAACAGATCACTTAGATAAGAAGCATTCAAAGGTCCCAAGAATCCTTCATTAGCTGTGAATTCTTTCCAGAATAACCTTCCCATTCTCTACCTCTCCCCAAACTCCATTCTCTGGCTCTTGTTTCCACAGCACCCTCATCACCAAAGAAGACCCATCTCAACCATCCTCCAATAGAAATTGTCCATACAACGTCTCCCTTCATTATTTCAGAGTTGAGGATAACCATTTATGAATAATTATAGCAAATAATTAATATATTTCATAATTTCATTAGTAATTCATTTTTAAATTGTCATAAAATGTTAATATTTGATAAAAATAGTGTATGTTCAAGGTATATAACATGATTTAATATACACATGACATTGTCTACTGATTACCATAGTCAAATTAATGAGCACATCCATCATCATCCATAGTTACCATTTTTCTGTGTGTATATGTGATGAACACACTTAAGAATCTGCTCTTATCAAATTACAAGTAAAGAATATAGTACTGTTATCTGAAGTCTCCATATACATTAGTTCCCAGAACTTATTCATCTTATAATTGAAATTATGTACTCTTTGACCAACACGTCCCCATTTCCCTACCATTCTACTCTCTGGCAACCACCATTCTACTCTTTCCTTCTTTTTTAGATTCTACATACATAAGTGAGATCATATTTGTGAGTATTTGACATTCTATGCCTGGCTTATTTCATTTAGCATAATGTCTTTCAGGTTTGTCCATGTTGTTGCAAATGGCGGATTTCCTTCTTTTTAGAGCTGAATAATATTACATTATGTTCAGCCATGAAAATGTACTATATATATATTCATCCATCGATAGACACTCAGGTTGTTCCCGTATCTTGTCTATGATGAACACTGTAAAATAAACATGGAGGTACAGATGTCTCTTTGAGATACTGATTTCATTTACTTTGGATATGTAGTAAGAGATATTCTTGATAAAGCCAGTATCACCTAAATTACATTTTACAGAAAAAAAAAAAACAACCTAGTAAGACAAAAGATATTCAAAGAAGACTGGCAAATACAGTAATCATTAACTCCTTTTGATCTACACTGTCCAGTACATTAGACACTAGCCACACATGGCTACTGAGCAATTGAAATTGGCTGGTCTGAATTGAAAAGTGCTTTAAGTATAATGCATACTGGGTTTAGAAGATTTTAGTACCAAAAAAGAATGTAAACTATCTCATCAATAATTTTTACATCAATAATATGTTGAAATAATATTTTTACATATAGTGGGCTAAATACAAATATAATATTGAAATTGATAACATCTGTTTCCTTTTCCTTTTTTAAATGTATCTACTAGATAATTTAAAACTATGTTTGTGGCCTGCATTTGAGGCTCATGTTATATTTCTATTGAACAGCACTGCTCTTAACCTTATCTAAAGCTTATCATTCTATTAAGCTAGGTTTCCAAAAAGCTAGTTTTCTCTCAGTATCTGCAGGGGATTGGGTTCAGGATCCCAACCCCAAAGGTATCAAAATCCAAAGATGCTCAAGTCCCTTATATAAAATGGCATAGCATTTGGATACAACCTACACACATCCTCCCATATACGTTAAATCATCTCTAGATTACTTGTACCTAAAACAATGTAAATAGTTGTTGTGCTATTGTTTTTCAATCTCTATTATTTTTATCGTTGTATTGCTATTCTTCTATTTTTTCACCTTCATTATTTTTGATCTGCAGTTGGTTGGATCCAAGGAGGGAGAACTCAAGGATTTGGTGGGCCAACTGTATGTCTGGACTATATTCCTCTGACTTCCCAAAGAAATGCCTTTATTTTAGTGATAACTTGATTAATAATATTCTGCTATGTAAATCAAAAGAAAATCTTTGGGATTTGTAGTATGATAATTACGTATGTAATAAAAATAGTTTAAAGTCTCACATATTCATGTTATTAGTTGGGATCTCTGTTTGCTTGTTTTAAATGAGTGTCAGGCAGGACTAAAATGTATTAATTATATGCTACCCAGTTTTCAAAGGAGATGTGTAATAAAAGCATCTATAGTTGACCCTTGAACAACATGGAGATTAGGGGACAAACCCTCAGGCAATAAAAAATCTGCTATAACTCTTGACTCCCCCAAAACGTAACTACTGATAGACTACAGGTGACTGGAAACCCTACTAATAACATAAGTAATGATTAACAGGTATTTTGTATGTTGTATGTATTGTATACTATATGCTTACAATAAAGTAAGCTAAAGAAATGCTATTAAGAAAATCATAAGAAAGAATATATTTACGACTCATTAAGTGGAAATGAATCATCACAGAAAGGTCTTCATCCTCGTCATCCTCATGTTGTGTAAGAAGGCTGGGGAAGAGAAGGGATTGGTCTTGCTGTTTTAGGTGTGGCAGAGATAGATGAAAATCTGTGTGTAAGCATACCTGTGCAATACAGACCCATGTTGTTCAAGGACCAATTGTAATACGGTAAAAATTAAAACAAGAGTAAAAAGATAAGAGCCAGATTAAATGGGTAATGGAGTGGGAGCTGGCTGTGGAACGTGATGATTGTATCAGAAACTTCAGTTTAAAGGAAGAAAGCTACTTCAGGTGAGCACACAACTCATCCGTAGGCAGAAAGGCAGGGAGGCAATAGGAAAACCCCTGAGTTACACAGCTTATTGTCTGTTAAAAGGAACTATCTCTCTTCCTTGGAAAAAGCAAACGTTTTCCTAACGTAAAACTCTGAGAGAAATGTACTATGTAAATTGTTATGTAATAACACTAGTCTTTATAGCAGATTTAAAGGTATGTGCAGATAATAGTGTTTTTAAAAATTATTTTTTGAAATTACAATATACATAAAATATACCATTTGGATCATTTTTAAGTGTACAGTTAATGGCATAAAGTACATTCACACTGTTATGCAACCATCACCCCATCCATCCACAGGATTTTTTTCTTTTTCTTTTTTTTTGAGACAGACCCTCGCTCAGTCGCCCAGGCTGGAGTACGGTGGCGCCGTATCGGCTCACTGCAACCTCCACCTCCTGGGTTCAAGCGATTCTCCTGCCTCAGCCTCCTGAGTAGCTGAGACTACAGGTGCACACCACCATGCCCAGCTAATTTTTGTATTTTTAGTAGAGATGGGGTTTCACCACATTGGCCAGGATGGTCTCAATCTCTTCACCTCGTGATCCACCCACCTCAGCCTCCCAAAGTGCTGGGACTACGGGCGTGAGCCACCCAGCCTGGCCAGATTTTTTCATCTTATAAAACTGAAATTATCTGTTAGCTCTCTGCTTTCACAATGTATTTTAAGTTGCTATTTTTTAAAGACCATTTATGGTCAAAGTGACCCAAGCATCTATTGACAGAATAATGAATAAACAAAAGATGGTATATCTGTACAATGAAATATTATTCTGCCTTCAAAAGAAAGGAAATTCTGACACAAGTTACAACCTGGATGAACCTGGAGGACATTATGCTAAGTGAAATAAACCAGTCTCAAAAAGACAAATGCTGTATGATTCCACTCAACATGAGGTACTTATGAGTAGTCAAATCCATAGAAACAGAAACAGAATAGTGGTTGCCAGGGGCTGGGGGTGGTGGGAAAGAGGAGCTATTGTTTAACGGATACTTTCAGTTTTATAAGATGAAAAAACTCTGTGGATGGATGGGGTGATGGTTGTGCAACAATGTGAATGTACTTTATGCCACTTACTGTACACTTAAAAATGATCAGGGCCAGGAGCAGTGGCTCATGCCTGTAATCCCAACACTTTGGCAGGCTGAGGCAGGGGGAATCACCTGAGGTCAGAAGTTCGAGACCAGCATGACCAACATGGAGAAATCCTGTCTCTACTAAAAATACAAAATTAGCTGGGTGTGGTGGCGCATGCCTGTAATCCCAGCTACTCGTGGGGCTGAGGCAGGAGAATTGCTTGAACCCAGGAGGCAGAGGTTGTGGTGAGCTGAGATCGCGCCATTGCACTCCAGCCTGGGCAACAAGAGCGAAACTCCATTAAAAAAAAAAAAAAAGATCGAAATGGTATATTTTATGTATACTTTATTATAATTTCAAAAATTAATTCTTAAAAAGGCTATTATCTGCACATATCTTTAAATCTGCTATAAAGAATAGTGTTATTAGTAGAGCCAGGGAATGGAGAAAAATGGGCTATTTTAATGAGTATGAAAGGCAAAATCATGACATTAAAAAAATTTTATAATCAGGCTAATAACATTGACATTAGCATTTCATTGTTTAGGGGTTTAAGATGCTCAGTACAAATTTGAATCTTAAAGGCTCATATTTAAAAAACCTTGGATTAGGCTACTTCCAATGATGTACACATAAAATATCACAGAAATTCATTTTTTAAATTCTACATGTTAGAGTTCTAACTCAGACAAGTCTCTAATCCCAGCTTAGCCCAAAATAACAATACTTTATTTACTCCATCATTATTCTATGTGAAATCTTAAGCACAGTTTTCAGTTTCTATCTTTAAAAAGAAACTATAAATAATACAACCAGAAATTCTGTAGAAATATACTGAGTACTTGACAAAATAATACTTAACCTCATTTATATGAATATAAAACTGCAAAACACTTATTTGAAAAAAATCAATGCATACAGTAAACTCTTATCTGGATATTTACTAGCCTTTGTATATACATATATCACAGTGTAAAATAACTCTATTCATAATTTTGAGCATGAGGCAATGCTAAATTCTGAAGAACTTCCCAACCTGTGTGTGTTTGTAAGTTTGTGTATATATGTAAATAGCTGAAGTGTTATAGGACTTAATGAATTCTAACTCTTTGAGGTATATCAAGCATTTATTAATTTTGATACCCTAACTTCCTACCGGTATCAAATAGCAGAGTTTAAAGTCATGATTAAACAACCTAATTGTCTCACACTTCAATCCTATATTGTTGGTATGTATACAGTCTTAAAATTCAAGTTTCAAACATCATATGCAAACATATCATAAAAGACCTACCACAAAGCAAAAAAAAAAGCTAATTTTCGCTACTTGAGTTGCAGTAAGTTTCCCCACAGTTTTCAGTATGGATTCTTGTTCTTTCACAGGATATGACATGCGAGACAACTTTGCTTCCAATGCATGACTTGACGGAAGCTGTCGAATCTCCATGATATTACTGAACCTCACACGAGACTTTTTGGGGGCTTAAAAGGAAGAGCATAATATGAAATAATTAAATAATTCCTCTCCAACAAAAGTCACAAGTTTTAATTTACTGATAAATGTATAAGTTCATCTATGATCAGAGTAAGACAGTCAAAGTAAACCAAAAAGAGGTATATCATTACCTGAGACAACTTTGTTCACTTAAAAGAGTTAAAAGGAAAAATGATTTCATCTACAAAAATGTTGTAAAAGGTTTAAAATGAGACCAATATTCAAACAAGGTTTCTGCAATTGTGTACTGTATATACATAACTGCCTATTTCAGGATTTTAGTTTGATTTACTATTTTAGTATTCCTAGTAAAACTTTATTTGGATTTTTCCTCACGCATACCCAATTTACGAGAATTAGTTTCTTGGGCAAGCACGCAGAACAATTCTCTATAGGTCCATTCCTTGCAAGGGAAATTAAGGATAAATACTGCACCTTATGTTAAAGGTGGCATTCTTTACTAAATTCACAGAATCAGCAAAACTCTTATAATTTGCTATTAGGCTCTTTGAGGGCATATTTAAGAGGATATTATTTGTTTATATATAAGCGTGTGATGCATGTGTGTATGTGTGTATACATATATATGATGAAACCATAGAGATTTATGGTATTTGGAAATTATTTCCAGTTGAAATAATACAAAAATGATTATACTATATTAGATTCACAATCCAGTCAAACTTCTAGAAGACTATAGGCTGAGTCAAGACCACATGGAGCAGAACTGCTACATGTTTCAGTCAACCCACATCATCACTAAGTTCTGAAGTGGCTTGAATAAAGGTAAACTTTCTACCCATTTCCAAGTTTTGCTTACTTTTTTCAGTATCAATGTTTGTGCTCTCAGGTTTTTCACTTGGAAGATCATGGAATTTCACAGGCACATACAGAGGTTCACTCTGGAATGTAACAGAAAAAAATATAAACAACAAATATAAAAGCTAACATAGTGGTTAAAATTTAAATGGATAGTACGTAGACACAAATACCATCTAAAACGTGGTTGTTCACCACCAAGTTTAAACAGCAATTTTCAAGACTTAAAAAAGGAAACTCAACAGATCCATACAGCTACAATGACAGAAAAGAATCAGTTTACAGTTTAGCAATGTAATGTAACAGCATTGGCATATTATGATATCTAATATTTAAATGTCATAAAAACATATCTCTTTCTTAGCTAACAGATTCCATCTCAGCTAACAGATTCTCTCTCATTCCTTTTCATTCATTTAACAAATGCTCATAGTAGGAGTCTGAGCTCCTACTATGTCAGACGCTGTTCTAAGTCCTGGGGATAGAAGGGTGAATAAAAGCAGTCTCTTCCTCAGTGATCATGCAGTCTAACAGGCAAGGCAGATAACAAACTGATAACCAGGTATATAGTATGTATTTATATTTACTAAATTGTCTCCTCTTATTATGTAAAACTCAATAAAAAACTAAAATTCTTGAAGACCTTTACACAAAATAGCTACTACTTACCAGTTCTTACTGTGTATTGAGTACCAACTCTAGAGCAGTTAAACATATATTTCTCATTAGTACTCACAATAATTTTATAGAATATGGCCGGCACAGTGGTTCAGGCCTGTAATCCCAGAACTTTGGGAGGCGAGGCTGAGGCGGGCAGATCACTTGAGGTCGGGAGTTCGAGACCAGCCTGGCCAACATGGTGAAACCCCATCTCTACTAAAATACAAAAATTAGCTGAGCGTGGTGGTGTGTGCCTGTAATCCCAGCTACTCATGAGGTGGAGGTAGGCAAATTGCTTGAAACCAGGAGACGGAGGTTGTGCAGTGAGCTGAGATTGCGCCACTGCACTCCAGCTTGGGTGACAGAGCGAGACTCCATCTCAAAATAATAATAATATTTATACTTTTAGAGAATAAAGCTGAGGTATAAAGTAATCAGGTAGCAGACAAAACAATTAAAGCCAGGTTTGTCTAACCATGCTCCAAAGGTCCATATTTTTAGGTAGTTATAAATTCCTCAACTGTTTTTGCAAATGTTCTTCAGATGATCTATATTTAAGGTACAAATCTCCAACTAGGCTGATTCTTCAAAATTAACAGAACTTTTTTTTATTTCTTTGATTTCTCTTTTAACTCCTGGTACAGAGCTCTACCAACAACAAAAAAAAATTCAGTAAATGAAGGGACAGTGGGTCTGGAAATAGACATAATCTCTTTGTTACACTGAAGTTTTCATTACGGCATCTGGCCTAGAGCAATTTGACATATCCATCTTACAGATAATAGTAAGAATTAGTACAAGAGTAGCCAGAAGAGCAGGCTGCCATCTCAACTTTGCCCTCTGTACTGATAGAGACAAATGATATTAAATTATTTTATTGATGCTTAAGATCCCAGGAAAAAAAAATTCTTCATAGTATCTATTAACCTACTCTGCATGCCATCGCAGTTCTAAAAAACAGAGAGACAAACAAGAAACTGTGCTGTGAATAAGGTCACCAAGCCAGTGCTTCACAAATTGCTATTAAATTTTAGAGTAACTAAAATTTTTCTCAGATAAAATGCCATGTTTGGAAAGAAAACAAGTATCATTAAAAATACATTTTAAAGAGATGCCACCCTGAGCAACATAGCAAGACCATGTTCCTAAAAAGTAAAAATAAAAAGTTAGTGGTGGAGTATGCTTGTATTTAGGAGGCTGAGACAAGGTGATTGCTTAAGCCCAGCAGTTGAAAGTTAGAATAAGCCATAATTGTGCCACTGTACTCCACCAGAGGCAATAGACCAAAACCCTGTCTCTAAAAAGAAATCTAAAAATAAAAAATAAAAAAAGAGATGCCTGAGTGATCATCTTAAAAAAAGATTTTTATATACTACCTCTCCAACTAGATTACAAATACTTAAAATAAGTGACTATGTCAATTACTTTACTTGCTTATTACCTGTCCCCTCGCAAATACGCACACACTCACACACTAAAACAAAGCTGTATCTTCAGAGCCTAGAACGTGTTTAACACAGATTTGTCACTGTAAAAAATTTGTGGAACAAACGAATAATTTGCCTATATAGTCTCAGTGTCAAAAATATTTGTTTCTAAATGATAATAATAATGTGCATGAAGTGAAAAAGTTGGTTAGTAACAAAGGATTGTCCTTTATTATTTTCACTCCTGAACCAGTTTTCCCTTCCCCTCTCTCTTCAGAGGCAGCTAAATTGCTTACCTCTAGGCCCCAGGTAACCCTAAGGAGAAAAAAAGTACCAAATTACAATCCTAATGATGGGCACCCAATATTGAGCCATATCTATGTTGTAATACAGCTTTGCTGCCATCAAACCTGTTTCAGTTTTTCCTACCATGGCTCAACCCCACCTCTCTATTCCTGACAAGAAAAGAAGCACTTACCAAAGAACTATTCATAGTTGTATCTGTTGTGCAAGCAGCAAAGTAACCTTCAGCATCTGCAAACTAAATACAGATAACAAGATACAAAATTCAATGAAACTTACATTATACTGTAGGACTAGTCAGACGTAACTCAGATAAATAGAAGCAAAAATCCAGAATCAACCTGTAAGACTAAAACTGTTACTAATAATAATAGCAGCTAATGCCACATATTCACCATTGTGAGGTAGGTATTATCTTCATTTTATTGATGAAAAATTTGAGGCTGAGAGATTTTTAATCCTGACAGTCAGGATTAAAACCCAAGTTAGTCTAAAACCAAAGCTTATGCCCTTTTCGGAACACTACTATAACATTTCAGATAAGTAGGGAAAAGAGGGATGGGTTAGTTAAAAAGGCAAGTAACAGGCCAAGGCTGGTGGATCATTTGAGGTCAGGAGTTCAAGACTAGCCTGACCAACATGGTAAAACCCTGTCTCTACTAAAAATACAAAAAAATTAGCTAGCAGTGTTGGCAGGTGCCTGTCATCTTAGCTACTCGGGAGGCTGAGACAGGAGAATCACTTTAACTCTGAAGGTGGAGGTTGCAGTGAGCCAAGATTGTGCCATTGCACTCCAGCCTGGGCAGCAAGATTACGTCTCAAAAAAAGAAAAAAAAAAAAAAAGGTAAGAAACATCTTGGTATTATTATGAAATTAATTTTGACCTCAAAAACCTCTGAATGAGACCAAGCACGGTGGCTCACACCTGTAATCCCGGCAGTTTGGGAGGCTGAGGTGGGTTGATCACTTGAGGTCAGGAGTTTGAGACCAGCCTGGCCAACGTGGTGAAACCCCATCTCTACTAAAAAATGCAAAAATTAGCTAGGCACAGTGGCGCATGCCTGTAATTCCAGCTACTCAGGAGGCTGAGGCAGGGGAATCGCTTGAACCAGGACGTGGAGGTTGCAGTGAGCCGAGATCACGCCACTGCACTCCAACCTGGGCCACAGAGCAAGATTCCGTCTCAAAAAAAAAAAAACCCTGAATGAATTTCAAGGTCTGGATCACACTTTAAGAATCACTGCGCTAATGCTATGTAAATATGATTTCATTTCATATCCACAGCTAGTCTATCATTATCTCTGCTGAAAGTCTGAAGAGGTTAAAAAACTTGCCCAAGATCAAAAACTGGAGAGTGATAGAACAAGATTCAAACACTAGAGCCCATGCTGTAAAAGAACCCTAACAAATCAGTAATAAAAAGGGAGTCAATGTAGAAAAATAAGACACAGACAACACACACAAGAGTTCTACTTCCCAAAAAATATATGAAAAAGTAACCAAAAACATGCACATTAAACAAGCTATCATCATTGTTCACCTGTCCAGTTGGCAAATGATGGGATGTTGGTAAGGGTTCAATCATGAGATTTAATGAGTGTTTAACAAGGGTTTAATTATATACTGCTAACAGAGATAAGAATTAATGCAACCATTACAGACAGTAATTTAGCAATAAGAATTACAAGCTTTAAAAATGACATTATTTGGCCGGGCGCAGTGGCTCACGCCTGTAATCCCAGCACTCTGGGAGGCCGAGAGGGGTGGATCGCTTGGGGTCAGGAGTTCAAGACCAGCCTGACCAACATGGTGAAACCCCGTCTCTACTACAAATACAAAAATTAGCCGGGCATGGTGGCGGGCACCTGTAATCCCAGCTACTTAGGAGGCTGAGGCAGGAGAATCACTTGAACCCAGGAGGTGGAGGTTTCAGTGAGCTGAGATCGCGCCACTGCACTCTAGCCTGGACAAGAGAGTGAGACTCTGTCTCAACAACAGCAACAAAAAATGAATGAAGTACAGAAACACTACAATATGGATTAACCTTGAAAAGAATTCCATTTTCATTTTTATTTTATTTTTTTGAGACAGTCTCACTCTGTCACCCAGACTGGAGTGTAGTGGTTCAGTCTCTGCTCACTGTAACCTTCACCTCCCGACTTCAAGCAATTCTCATGCCTCAGCCTCCCGACTAACCGGGATTACAGGAGTGCACCACCACGACTGGCTAATTTTTTGTATTTTTAGTTGAGACAGAGTTTCACCATGTTAGCCAGGCTGGTCTCAAACTCCTGGCCTCAAGTGATCCACTCACCTCAGCTTCCTAAAGTGCTGGAATAATAGGCATGAGATACCGCACCAGGCCCAATTCCATTTTTGTAAAAAATAAAAAATACACACATGAAAAGAATGGCAGGATATATGTCAAAATATTATCAGTGGTTATTCCTTGAATGGTAGCATTTATTTTCCTCTTTTTGTTTCTCTGTAGCGTCTAAATTTTCAACAATATACCTATACTAATACACATACAATTTATCCCTACATGTGATATTATGATGTATATATAATTTCTACAATGTATATGTATTACTTTTGCAAAGTAAAAAAATACATACTCATATTTTTGGTAAGTTAAATTTGTGTGTGTACATGAGTATACATTTGCAGGCTTCACCTACATTTAAAAAATTGTTTTTAATTGTTTTTTATTTATTTATTTTGAGACGGAGTTTCACTGTCACCAGGCTGGAGTGCAGTGGTGCGATCTCAGCTCACTGCAGCCTCTGACTCCCAAGTCCATGCAACTCTCCTGCCTCAGCCTCCCGAGCAGCTGGGACTACAGGAGTGCGCCACCATGCCCAGTTAATTTTTGTATTTTTAGTAGAGACGGGGTTTCACCATGTTGGCCAAGGATGGTCTCGATCTCCTGACCTCATGATTCGCCCCCTCGGCCTCCCAAAGTGCTGGGATAAGAGGCATGAGCCACTATGGCCCAGGCAGGTCTTGAACTCCTGAGGCTCAAGAGATCTGCCTGCCTCGGCCTCCCAGCATGCTGGGATTACAGGCATGAGCCACCAAGCCCAGCTTTAAAAAACAATTATTGAAAGCCCCTGACTGCTGGGTGCAGTGGCTCAGGTCTGTAACCCCAGCACTTTGGGAGGCCAAGACGGTGGAATGCCTGAGGCCAGACTTTGAGATCAGCCTGAGCAACATAGTGAGACACTGTCTCTACAAAAAATACAAAAATCAGTGGGGTGTGGTGTTGCATGGCTACGTACTCAGCTACTTGAGAGACTGAGGCAAGTAGACTGCTTGAGCCCAGGATTCAAGGTTACAGCAAACTGTGATTAAACCACTGCACTCCAGCCTGGGCAACAAAGTGAGACCCTGTCTCTAAAAATAAATTAATAATTTTAAAAAGGATGTACTTATTAGATAAGACAAGAAACAATACTATTTTAACCCACAAAAAATAATACACACGAAAGAAAAAGATTAAGAGAGACAGAAAATAATACAGTGGTTACTAGGGTTTGGAGGGAAGAATGAATAGTGGTTATTTTTAAGTCTGTGTACAGACTTTCGGTCTAGGATGATGAAAAATTCTGGAGCTGATGGTTATAGAGCAAAGTCAATGCGCTTAATGCCACTACTATACATTTAAAAATAGTTAAAATGGTGTATTTCACATTATATATATTCTAACATAATAAAGAATTTTTTAAAAGGATTAACATAAGAAAGTTTTATAATTCTTCATTCTCAATAATTCAAAATTTCTACTTCTATAAGGAAGATATATCATTATATAAACTCATATTTCTTTCAACACTATGAATGAGCATATTATATTATATTACATCAATCAAAGAATATAATTTGATTAGCCAAACATCTAAAATACGTCTGGAAATATGATATTTTCATTTTAATACATAAAACTTTGAATTTTTTTGTTTCCAGAATCCACCTAACAATTAGAGGATACTCATCCAATCTGCAAATGACAGACTCTTGATATTCTTCTTATTCCTTACTTTCATCTTCATTGCCACATTAATTGATTTGGGCTAATTCAAGAATTTTTAACAACTCAGAAAATGTCATGGAGTAAGAGTTCTCACAAACTATTCTGATACTACTTAATTAGAAGAATAAATTTAAAATTTTGGACAAGAGCCGGTTTTCTTATATCATCTTCACTCACTTAACTGAACAACTTAAAATATGACCGTCCTTAAAGAAACTAATACATCTTTAAACTTTGAAAAAACGTATCTATACCCCCTTCCTAACAGACAGTTAAAATTAAAAACTTACAAAAGCAGCATGCTTTCCGCGAAGTCCTCTTGTACACTGTTGTCTCCATGGCTTCCAAATAATAAAGCCCAAAAGGTACAAAACAAACATAGATGTTTTTGCAAAGGTGCTGAAGAATGGTTTGTTGTACTGGGTAAAAACATACTGTAGAGGAAAAAGTTACACAGACAACTCTGAGATGACCTTAAACCTTATTACTCATCTCCAAAATAAAGTCACTACATGATTTTTAACTCTTCAGAAGTTCACTTGGAAAGAAAAAGTCAAAGCGATTACAAAAGTATTTTAGATCCATTTCTGAAGACTGTATCGGCCTTGCACACAGAAGGGCACCACCAAACAAAGCAGCAACAGCTGCTAAAAGAAGTTGGGTTTACCATTCGTTGGGACCTACCACGAAACAGTGCCTACACTAGGAGCTAAAGAAAAGTAAGACAGGGCCAGGCGCGGAGGCCCAAGCCAATAATCCCAGCACGTGGGGAGACCAAGACAGGAAGATTGCTTGAGCCCAGAATTTCAAGACCTGCCTGGGCAACATGGCAAAACTCCGTCTCTGCAGCAAAATAGAAAAATTAGCCAGGGTGGTGGCGTGCACCCTCAGTCCCAGCTACTTGGGAGGCTGAAGCGGGAGGATCCCCTGAGTTCACAAAGGTTGAGGCTGCAGTGAGCCATGGTCAAGCCACTGCACTCCAGCCTGGGCAACAGAGCAAAGACCCTATCTCATAAAGAAAAACAAAAGAGAAGGAAGGGAAGTTATCCTGCCCTTGGGGAGCTTAACATCTAATAGAGGAGACATATATATGAAGAGAATACAGCATCATGTGCCAAGTAACAAGAGACGGGTTCAGGATGCCACGGAGCACCAAAAGGAGACTGACAAATTTCAAGGTTATGGACGTTTCCCAAGGGAGACTGTTTTTTTGTTTGTTTGTTTGTTTTTAGTGTATTGTGAATATAAACTCACAATTTTTTATATCCTAAGAAAATTCCTAGTTATATCCACTAAAAAGGCATAGAAAAAAATGACAATCCAGGAGGAAAGTGCAACTCTAGGACGTAAATGGTGGTCCACGCCATTTTACACTAAAAGAAACAATGGCTCTGGCCAGGCACAGTGGCTCACACCTATAATCCCAGCACTTTGGGAGGCCGAGGCGGGTGGATCACTTGAAGTCAGGAGTTTAAGCCCAGCCTGGCCAACATGGCGAAACCCTGTCTCTACAAAAAATACAAAAATTTGCAGTACATGGGGGCACCTGCCTGTAATCCCAGGTACTCTGGAGGCTGAGGCAGGAGAATCACTTGAACCCAGGAGTCAGAGGTTATAGTGAGCCAAGATCATGCCACTGCACCATTCCATACTGGACAACAGCGTGAGACTCTGTCCCCAAAAAAGAAACAATGGCTCCTATAATAAATGGCCAAATCCAGGTATGGAGCAGAAAATGTACAAGATGGGCCCAGGGCATCTTGTGGTGGAAAGAAAATGTTAAAGATTAATAAGATGTCAGGCACAGTGGCTCACGCCTGTAATCCCAACACTTTGGAAGGCCAAGGCGGGTGGATCACTTGAGGTCAGGAGTTCAAGACCAGCCTGGCCAACACAGTGAAACCCAGTCTGTACTAAAAATACAAAAATTAGCTGGGCGTGGTGGCAGGTGCCTATAATCCCAGCTACTCAGAAGGCTGAGGCAGGAGAATTGCTTGAACCTGGGAGGCGGAGATTGCAGTGAGCCGAGATAGTGCCATTGCACTCCAGCCTGGGTGACAAGAGCAAAACTCTGTCCCATCTCAAAAAAAAAAAAAAAAGATTAATAAGGCCATATTAAAAAGACTTAAAGAATTCCAGCTAATAAATACAGAGGGAATAACTCAAAAAAAAATCACCATTTTGCAACCCCTAATGAAATACTTTATCTAGACAACTTAAACGTGGATATTCAACTATTACCTAAAAGTTGGTGAGGAATTTTATAGTACTTAAATTGGCATCATCTAAAGTGAGACTTGCAGTCATTATGTATGTCATGCTGGAATGTTACAGGAAGTACTCAGTACCCCAAAGTATTCTTTCCTGAAAACTAAACCTAAATCAAGACTTTACACCTAACTACCACTTTACAAGAAATAAGAGAAAAATAACAAGTTAAATGATACCCCAAGGAAACAATCAGCCAAATCCAGAATGTGTGATACATCCAATAGGAAAAATGACCCAGTTTCTCCAACAAATTTATGGTATTAAAAAAAAGGAGGGAAGATACAGTTAAGGAGTAAAAGATACCACAAATGCAATGCGTGATCTTCATTTAGATCCTAACAAACTTAATGGGAAAAAAAAGTGCTTGACACCACCGGAGAAAACTGGACTGGAGAAAACTGAACATAGACTGGATATCAGATGATCTTAAGGAATTACAGTTAATTGTGTTAACTATGTTAATGGCATAGTGATTATGTTTAAGAAAATTAAAAGTCCTTTTCAGTTTAAAGTAAATAGGAAAGAAATCGTGGGTGAAATGGCATGTGACATATGCTTTAAAATATGCTTTAAAATGCTCCAGGAAAAAAAGTTTTGAGGAGAGGTTGATAAGGTTGGCAAATTTGGTTAAGTGCTAAAGCTAAGTAACGAATACATGGAGACTCATTATAATATTCTACTTTGTATATGTTAGAAAATAACCATAATAAAAAGACTGATTTTCTTTTTGAAATACACACTTTATCTCCAAAGTTTGTTTTTCTTTTTTTTTTTTTTTTTTTTTTTTTTTGCTAAGGAGTTTCACTCTTGTTGCCCAAGCTGGAGTGCAATGGCATGATCTCAGCTCACTGCAACCTCTGCCTCCCAGGTTCAAGCGATTCTCCTGCCTCAGCCTCCAGAGTAACTGGGATTACAGGCACCCACCACCACACCCAGCTAATTTTTGTATTTAGTAGAGACTGAGTTTCACCATGTTGGCCAGGCTGGTCTCGAACTCCTGACTTCAGGTGATCTGCCCACCTGATCTTCCCAAAGTGTTGGGATTTCAGGCGTGAGCCACTGCGCCTGGCCCTATCTCCAAAGTTTAATGAGCATAACTGGTTGAAGAAGTAGAGACATTACATACATTCTTGAATAATGAGATTGTAAAACATCCTCTTACTAAAATATTTTACTTTAAAAAAATTAAGGTAAGTTGAGTTTTTTCCTCCAGTTTCATCAAAGTACAACTGACAAACACCAAATATATGTATTTTTTACAACATGGTGTTTCGATATATGTATACATTGTGAAATGATTACCACAAACAACAAATTGTTTTTTCCTTTCTACTTTGCTTAGATATGGTTAAATGATAATTTAACCAGGTGCTATTTTGTCCTAAATTTTATTAACTAATATATAAAAACAAACTATTTATTTTAAATGAAAATAAAATTTAAAAGATAGGTTTAGTTCCCTGTCAATATCAAAGACATTTCTTTGAGGTAGAAGTACAAAATGTTCATCTAAAAGAAGGTTAGAGAAGAGTTTTAAAGCAAAAAATATATGGTCTATTAGATTCCAGAGATTAATTCTGAAAAGCATAAAAACTTATATACTTGGCCAGGTGAGGTGGCTCACGTCTGTAATCCCAGCACTTTGGGAGGCCGAGGCGGGCGGATCATGAGGTCAGGAGTTTGAGACCATTCTGACCAACATGGTGAAACCCCGTCTCTACTAAAAATACAAAAATTAGCCTGGCGTGGTGGGGTGTGCCTGTAATCCCAGCTATTCAGGGGGCCGGGGCAGGAGAATCCCTTGAACCCGGGAGGCGGAGGTTGCAGTGAGCCGAGATCGCACCATTGCACTCCAGCCTGGGCGACAGAGCAGAGCAAGACTCCATCTCAAAAAAAAAAGAAAAAAAAAAAAAAACTTATATACTCATAGGATACAATGCCAATGTCAATATTTACTTAGCTACAATATGAGACCTGAGTATTAAACTGCTTCTTTTGAAAATTAGGTTCATTTTATAAATGCCAGTTTCCTGCTGTATATTCGCCTTAAAATTGCAACGTAGAAGTTGAAATGCAGACTTCTGAAAATAAAAGTTGCTTTTTATAGGGATCATTAACCAAGCAGAATAAAGTATACAAGTAGAAAGAAAAACTAGCTTGCAAATTCAAAATGCCACATTACTACCAATAGGTCATCAATAAAGACACAATTTAACTGAAGGAAACTGTCAAGATACAATTTAACTGAAGGAAAATTATGAGGTATACCATGCATCTTATAATAAGGTTTGAGTCAGCAAGCATAAATGTGGATGCAACCACTCATGGGCATTGTAACAGTGACCTATACATGAAAACTCATTATTTTTACTCATTTGTCCAAAAGCACTCTGAACCTTCTACTAAATGGTGACATTGTTTTGCATCCTGACAGTTATTTCACTAGAAAATAATATTTACAGAAAGAATTTGAATTTAGAAAAAAAGCCACGAGTTACACTTTCAAATGTAAGAAAATATGCATAGTCTCTCTAAGTAACCCTCCCTAAAAGATACAAGAAAACTGTATGAAACAATAAAAAGGATCATCCTTTCAGTTTTAACTTCAAGTGGCAATAATTCAACGTTTTTTAAAAATTCAATAGTATTTAAGATACTGCTTTTAGAAAGCAGGAGATTGTAACGGCTAGAGTTACTACAGGTTAAGAGTTAACATTGTGGCTGTAATGTAACATCATTCCTGGACCAAAGGTACATACCGAAGTAAGTTCAGAGGAAGCAACCCATATCACATCAACAAGCAGAAGAATAACAATCCCAAGAGCCATTCGCCTGCGCTGAGTGAAACCACTGTTCTGGGAATTCATTCGGTTCATGACAAATACACACACCATTTGCAGTCTGTTTTTTAGAAAATACAGATCACATTAGAGATGATTTTAGAAAAACAACCATTAAAAATGAGAACATTAGTATAACAGAAACATTTGACTTTTGTTAGCTAATGTTCAGTGTGAAAGTTACATAGAGGATAAACGTGGAATCTACCTTGTCTTAAGAGCCCTTCTGAGATCCTCAAGAGCAATGCCGGAAAACTTGGCAGATCTCAGTCTAAAAGGAGGTGAAGAACTCAGCACCCCTAAAAACAACCATGAAATTATGCTATGAAAACGTGAATAACTCAAGGTAAGATTCATCACATCGTTTTTTACTCTTCATCTTCAAACTCAAAGCAAATCAATGAAAAGGACCAAAATGTGTTAAACATACTTGCCACCTTTCTCAGTACTTTCATGGTATCCACTGCACGCTTCAGATTATACTTAGAGAGATACGCGATACGGGGCGGGCAGGGAGGGGGAGTAATATACAACATACGGCACATTTAAGAACAGTTAACTACCAGAAAATAGCTTCTCTGAGTTTCACAAATACGGAACTCCATTCACCTCTCCATCCAGAGGAATCCATCCCTGGGGACAGCGTCTAGACACTGTTTCTAAAAGTGTCTTTTCTGTCCCTGATCTGCTGGAGTGGAATTTGGTTATCGGAGAGTAAGTGATTTGCTGTGGGTCTTGAAGGCACCTTTCCAATCTCTTCAAGTGGTAAAAGAAAAGGATTCTCCATGCTCCTCCACCCACCTCTATCAAAACATCCAGTCATTTTAAAAGAAACAGCTGGGAAAAGAAATCATCCTTCTGTTTTGGAGCGGGGAAGACAGTTAAGGCAGCGACGCCTCCCCGGGGAGCCGAGGCGAGGGCGCACGCACGGCTTCCTCAATTGCCAGCGGTGGGCGCAGGGCTCCGGCGCCCCTGTCAGCTCCCGCTCCCTCCGCCCCTAGAGACCTTCACGGTTTCGGTCAAGGCGCTCCTGCTGCCACCGAGGGCAGGAGGTGGTGCTGCTGGTGGGCACTCCGTCCCGGTTTGGGCTCCGGTGATGTCGGGGCCCTTCCCTGCCTGCCTACCTGGCCTTCCTGCCCCGCGATGGCGTCGTGGCGGCACCATGAGCGGACCGGTCAGGCCCCGCAGCCGCCCAGCGCCACGGCCGCGGCCTCGGACTCACAGAGCTGTCACCGCGCCTGACATCGCGCCGCACTGGAGGCCCAGCTCCTGAAGACGCGGTGCCCCTCAGGGAGAGGCTCCCGACACCACCCAACTCCACTCGGCCCAGGAGGGCGTGGAGCGGGTGAGGGGAAGGGACGGCACAGTCAGCTATGGCCGCGGAGGCCCGGAGATCTGCTCTGGCCCCGGCCCCGCCCCCGGCTTGCCCTCCGCGCGGCCCCGCCCCCAGTCCCCAGCCCGGAAGCGGTGGCGCGCGGGTGACGTCATAGGGGCGCGACGGCGGACTGCGCGCGGTCGCGTATGCAGCGAGGCTTGGCGGAGCTAGGGGAAGTAATGCGAGGCTCTGGTCGCCGAGCGAGGGCTCGCGGCGGCGAGGCGAAAGAAGAGAGAAGATAGGAAGAAGGGAAGTAGGGCGAGGTGGAGGAAGAAGAGGAAAGCGAGCGTGGGTGTCTGGGGCAGAGCAAAGGACGAGGGAGTGGCTAAACCTCCGCCCGCCTTAGAACGAAAGCTGGCCGTTCCGTTTCACAAACTGCGAACCTGAAACTTCGGATATCCCTTTCTCGATGACAGCCGAAACGCAAAGTGGCTTAGAGTACTTTTGATTCTTGAAACCTTTTGTATATAAACAAGATCTCAGCTCTAGGAGTTACAACCTACATCCTAGGCCAAGCTACTTCAACTTCTCTGGTCCTCGGTTTCCTTGTCTACGATAATGATAGTACCTGCCACATTGGTTTTTTGTGTGTATGCTAGGATTGCATGAGTTTACATATGTGAAGGACGTAGATCAATTCATGGCACATAATAAGAACCTCACAGACGTCAGCAATTTTTTGTTCGTTCGTTTGTTTTGAGACAGGGTCTTTCTCTGCCACCCAGGCTGCAGTGCAGTGGCACAATCACAGCTCACTGCAACCTCTGCTTCCCGGGCTCAAGCGATTCTCCAGCCTCAGCTTCCAGTGTAGCCGGGACTACAGGCGCAAGCCACCAATGCCCGGCTAATTTTTATATTTTTTAGTAGAGACAGGGTTTCGCCATGTTGGCCAGGCTGGTCTCGTACTCCTAGTCTTAAGTGATCCGCCCGCCTCGACCTCCCGAAGTGCTGGAATTACAGGCATGAGCCCTGCCAAATGTTGGCAGTTATTAAACTGTATAGATTTGTTCCTTAAATATTTTGACTATTCCATGAGAAAGGTTTGTCCAGCATCTTGATTTCTATCTACAAAACAAAAACAAGACTAAAGGGTTCAGTAATTTAACATCTTGGTCAGATGGCGTGAAGAAATTAAATTTTCTTACTCCTATAGTCGCGATGTAGTGTACCTCTTACCTTTTAAGTCTCGTTTCAGTGAAGTTGAATGCATATTCTAGCAACTAATAAAACAATACCAATGAACATTTTTTAATTGATCGAATCAGTTTCAAACTATCAGCATCAAACACCTCTAATAAGTCATTCAGAAACCTATTGTGCAGAGTAAAAAAAAAAACCAACCAGGCCGGTCGCGGTGGCTCATGCCTGTAATCCCAGCACTTTGGGAGGCCGAGGCAGGTGGATCACGAGGTCAGGAGATGGAGACCATCCTGGCTAACACGGTGAAACCCCGTCTCTATTAAAAAAATGCAAAAAATTAGGCGGGGGTGGTGGCGGGCGCCTGTAGTCCCAGCTACTCGGGAGGCTGAGGCAGGAGAATGGCGTGAACCCGGGAGGCGGAGCTTGCAGTGAGCCGAGATCGCGCCACTGCACTCCAGCCTGGGCAACAGAGCGAGACTCCGTCTCAAAATAAATAAATAAATAAATAAATCCTTAACCAACTACTTGGTATTACTACTTAGGGGAAATTTGGTTGCAGACATTAATCACATTAGTCTGGCACCAGTTTGTTTTTTATTTCATTAGCATTCTTTAGGGTATCAGCCCATAATACGCCTAAGAATTCTTTATGCTACATATTTGATGTATAGTCTTAAAAAATAAGAGCATTATAAATCTCTCTCAGAATCTAAGAGTCAGGAAAGCTGGATACCAATGCTTTATCTGACTACAACTTGTTATGTAATCCTGAGGATCATTCCACTCTCTACTGTGCCTTAGTTTCTTCTATAAATATGGGTTTCTGAATTAAAATATTGTAAATGATAGTACTTTGTTAAGTTACCATTATTACCACCTGTTTCCAGACCATCTGTTAAAGGACAAGCTGTGGATATTCTTGTAACGGATAAAGTAATTCTGGCAGACTGTCTTCAGCGAGTCTCAAAACATAGTTCAACTTCCATTAATGTCTTTTCCCTGGGTTCTTTAAGGGAAATTCCACTGGACTGCTGTAACATAGGCCCTAGTGTGTTTCTGTGCTTTGGCACCATCCTGAGCATCTCAGGCATTCCTTTTTTCATCCTTATTTCTCTGTGTTACCCAAGGCTAAATCTTCAGCTGTATAATTTCAAAGATAAGTTCCACAAGAGCAAGGATTTTGGTCTATTTTGTTCTTCACTATTATCCTCAGCATCTAGAATAGTGCTTACTATTCTCTAGCTGGCAGTCAATGTTTGTTCAATGAACTTGAACATCCTGCTGTCTCTTGATCTTTTCCTCATACTTAATTCCTTTCTGAAGTCTCCATTTCTGTCATTTAGTAGTGAGAAAAGAAAATTATTTTTATCTGAGGAATGTAGTTATTTTAAACTGTCAGGCCCAGAGGGACATTAAAAGGAGACAACAATCACATCCTACTTCTCCCTTGTGCTATGTATTCATCTCTTGAAACTACTTGCTTATGCCACAAGTAGCTATAAATTAACCTAATGTCCCATTGGACAGTATAACCCACATCCTATAGCTTAACAATGTAACCAATCACTAATAAATGTTATTTCCATAAACCAATAAGAATTTCTGTACACAACGTGGTATCAGCCCACTCCTTGTTCCCTTTTTTGCCTTTAAAGATTCCCTTGTGGGCCAGGCGCAGTCGCTCACGCCTGTAATCCCAGCATTTTGGGAGGCCGAGGCAGGCGGATCACGAGGTCAAGAGTTCAAGACCAGCCTGACCAACGTGGCGAAACCCTGTCTCTACTAAAAATACAAAAATTAGCCAGGTGTGGTGGCACGCACCTGTAATCGCAGCTACTCAGAGGCTGAGGCAGGAGAATCTCTTGAACCTGGGGGTGGAGGTGGCAGTGAGCCGGGATGGTGCCATTGACTCCAGCCTGGGCAACAGAGCGAGACTCTGTCTCAAAGTAAATAAATAAATAATAAAGATTCACCTGTGGTGGCTGCTAATGGTGTGTATATTCAAGGCAACTTGAATATATGCTCCTAGGTTGCAATCTTCAAGCTTGACCCAAATTAACTCTACTTATATTAATTTTGCTTCAGCTTCTTCCTTTTAGGTCAACAGAGTAGCACTATTTTTCTAAGTCCCACAGGCTTAATCTTTTAATTTTATTAATTTCCTCTTTACTCTTCAAAGTCGATCACTCTTGAAATTTCTCAATAGCAGGCCCTGAAGATACATAAGGTGTTAAGTTCAATGCCTTCCAAAATAATCCCCCAAAATACACTCTAGAGAATATAATTTCCCCAGTAAGGTGCATGTGTCACAGTGTGAATACAAAAGCAAAATCATATGTGTGTACAGGGCAGTCACTAACTGCCATATATCAGTCTCAAATAGTATAATTCAAATCCCAGCCCTAATAAAATTATAAATGACTATATCTTGAGTCTTTGGGGGTATAAATTAATAATTGAAACCACCTATAATAATTCTGTAATTCCAAGAGCAGAAATAAATGGAGAACACTCAAATGAGTACAAGCAAAGGATATTTATTCAAAGCTTGCTGTAGCAAAGCAGTCAGCCACCATCACTTGTGTTTTTCAGAGATCGGAAGGCAGGCAGGAGAGTGTGAAAGCTTTATAATGTGAAAAAAGGAAAGACTTCAGGTATGCCCTGATTTGATGTTGCTGGCTGGAGGCAGGTTAAGTGGAAGCACGGCATCCTATGTGGTCAGTTGAGGATACATATTTGGCTTTCTCTGGTTGGTCCTAAGTTGGAAACAGGACAAAAACTAAGGAAACTGGCAGTTGATCAAGTCCTGGGATGATTAATGCAGAAATAGCTGTTGTCTTTCTGGACTAGTTCCTGGAGAGGTTGTAGGTCAGAGTTCTATTTTTATATATGTTCTGGTCATTGTCCATTTCTATATTCAGTCTGTCACAAGAGTACTCTATATCATCTTATTTTCTGCAGTACCTACCAGAATGCTGGGCACATGATCAGCTTGACAAATGCTTGTTGATTTGATTTCCTTCTAAGATGTAATTAAATGGATTGAGGTTGACAATTTTTAAAAATTATCGTATATAAAAGACTTATTTTGAATTTGAACCTTACAACGTTTTTTTGTTTGTTTGTTTTTGTTTTGTTTTGAGATGGGATCTCACTCTGTCACCCAGATTGGAGTGCAGTGGCTCGATCTCGACTCACTGCAACCTCCGCCTCCCAGGATCAAGTGATTCTCCTGCCTCAGCCTCACGAGTAGCTGGGATTACAGGCATGCACCACTATCATCCGGCTAACTTTTGTATTTTTAGTAGAGACAGGGTTTCACCATGTTGGCCAGGCTGGTCTCGAACTCTTGACCTCAAATGATCTGCCCACCTCGGCCTCTCAAAGTGCTGGGATTACAGGCATGAGCCATCGCTCCTGGCCACCTTACTACATTTTATGGAGTAAATCATGCTGTAGTGAACGTCATAAACTTGGGAGGTTCTGAGATATCTAAAGTATTAAGGGTTATTGCATGCAATCAAGTCATAGGTTTCAAGGGGTTTACTGGCAAGTTGGAGGAGTAATATATTCACAGAGATTTGAATAAAAGTTCCCAACATCCATAGAATAAGCATCCCTAGGCAGTGTTTGCTTGAAGGTGGCTGCTAATCAGTGTGTATATTCAAGGCAACTTGAATCTGTGCTCCTCGGTTGCAATCTTCAAGCTTGGCCTAAATTAACTCTACTCACATTAATTTTGCCCCAGCCAACTATGTACCCCACTTGTTGTCATGCCCATGAGGGGATGGACCAGAGTCCTGGAGTGACCTATTCAGGTAGATACTGATAGAGAAGACTTTTAAAAAGTGGTGAAATCTGAGCTTGATTTCAGTGATGGGTAGGATTTTAATAAGGGGGGAAAAGGATTTTTTTCCAAGTGAGTAAAACTATGATGACCAAGACAAAAAAGGTGTGTTCATAGGCAAGTGTAAAACTGGTTTGGCATATATGTAGAGAAGCAGTGGGAAATAAGACAGGTCAGGTGAGTTCTGGGGAGACTGAAGCGTGCTTTGGAAACTAGGCAAGAGAGTTTTTAATTTGTATGTGATGAAAACCTAAGGGCATTTAAGTAAGGGAGAAAAGCTTTCAGTAGATTAGAAAGTATTGGCTGGGCACGGTGGCTCACGCCTGTAATCCCAGCACTTTGGGAGGCCAAGGCAGGCGGATCACCTGAGGTCAGGAGTTGGAGACCAGCCTGACCAACATGGAGAAACCCCATCTCTACTAAAAATACAAAATTAGCCTGGCGTGGTGGTGCATGCCTGTAATCCCAGCTACTCAGGAGGCTGAGGCAGGAGAGTAGCTTGAACCCGAGAGGCAGAGATTGCCGTGAGCCGAGATTGTGCCATTGCACTCCAGCCTGGGCAACAAGAGCGAAACTCCGTCTCAAAAAAAAAAAAAACTATTGAGTGTCCACTTGATGTCTACCAGTGTGGTGGTATTGTGGAACTACTACAAAAGACATGAGGTCTGCCCTTAGGGAAATCATGTTATAGACAAAACTGATTATCAAATTGGGCAGGTATTTGCTAAGTTAGCAGATACCGAAACTAAATGCATTTCTCTAGTATCCTCCGTCAAAGTAATATATTTTGAGGTAAAATACTTTGAGTTCTTTCAAGGCCCACTATCTGTCATGTGATGCCATACTAGAGTCAGGCTGAAATTTGGTGTCTTATTGCTACAAAAAGTGTGTTTCATCAGTCTTAAGATCTCTATTTTAATGTTAATGCTGGTCAGCTGTGCCTGAATTCCAAAGGGAGGAGGGTATAATGAATCATGTCTGACCCTCACTTCCCATCACGGCCTGAAATAGTTTTTCTGGTTAACTTTGGAATGTCCTTGGCCGAGAGGAGGGGTTGATTCAGTTGATCAGGGAATTTTATTTTTGGTTTACATCTCTTGGTACTCTGTACCATGCTGCAAACCAAATCAATGGTGATTTTGAAAATGATCTCACTTGGGTATCACTTCCTATTGTATCTTGTTGTTGAAGGCATAATTGGTAGGGAATTGGATAAGAAAGCAAAAGGCCCATCTGACTGGCTCCTGAGCAATTTAAAATGGCACTGTCTATGCCCAACCTGTGCCTTCAAGCAGCTGACCAAGCCCCCTGCCAGATTAGTGGCCCATGCCAGCCAACTAGGGCATGGTAATGAGGAGCTCATTGACAGCCACACCCACTTCCCAATGTGGTCTTGACCTCAGCTTCTAACTTGTTCCCTCATCTCCCATCTTTGGTGGATTAGTTCATTTTCACATTGCAATAAAGAACTACCTGAGACTGGGTAACTTATAAAGAGAAGAGGTTTAAGTGACTCAGTTTCACAGGCTGTACAGGTAACATGGCTGGGGAGGCCTCAGAAAACTTTCAATCTTGGTGGAAGCTGAAGGGGAAGCAGCCACGTCTTATATGGCTGGAGTAGGAGGGAGAGAGCAATGGAGGAGTTGCTACCCACTTTTAAACAACCAGAGGCCAGGCGTGGTGGCTCACACCTGTAATCCCAGCACTTTGGGAGGCCAAGGCGAGTGGATCACTTGAGCTCAGGAGTTTGAGAACAGCCTGGGCAACATTGCAAAACCCTGTCTCTACAAAAAACGCAAAAATTACCCAAGCATGGTAGCACATGCCTGTAGTCCCAAGGTATTAGTCTGTTTTCATGCTGTTGATAAAGACATACCTGAGACTGAGAAGAAAAAGAGATTTAATTGGACTTACAGTTCCACATGGCTGGGAATGCCTCAGACTCATGGCAGGAGGCGAAAGGTGCCTCCTGCCTGGTAGCAGCAAGAGAAAATGAGAAGGATGCAAAAGTGAAATTCCCTGATAAAACCATCAGACCCTGTGAGATTTATTCACTACCATGAGAACAGTATGGGGGAACCACCCCCATGATTCAAATTATCTCCCACCAGGTGCCCCCCACAACATGTGGGAATTATGGGAATAAAATTCAAGATGAGATTTGGGTGGGGACACAGAGCCAAACCATATCACCCAGCTACTTGGGAGGCTGAGATGACAGAATTGCTTAAGCCTGGAAGGCAGAGGTTGCAGTGAGCCCAGATCATGCCACTGCACTCCAGCCTGGGTGACAGAGCCAGACCCTGTCTCAAAAATAAATAAATAAGTAAATAATAAATAAACAACCAGATCTCATGAGAACTCACTTGCTATCACAAGATTAGCAAGGGGGAAGTCTCCCCCCATGATCCAATCACCTCCCACCCAGCCTCTCCTCCAACACCAGGGATTATAATTCCACCTGAGATTTGGGCAGGGACACAAATCCAGACCATATCATTCGCTCCTGGCCCTTCCCAAATCTCATGTCCTTCTCACATAGCAAAATACAATCATCCCTTCTCAACAGTTCCCCAAGTCTTAACTCATTTCAGCATTAATTCAAAAGTCCACAGTCCAAAATCTTATCCGAGAAAAGGCAAGTCCCTTCTGCTTATGAACCTATAAAATAAAAAACAAGTTAATTACTTCCAAGATATAATGAGGGTACAGGCAATGATTAAATAAACTCATTGCAACAGGGAAAAATCAGCTAAAATAAAGGGGCTATAGGCCCTATGCAAGTCTGAAAGCCAGCAGGGTAGTCCTTAAATATGAAAGCTCCAAAATAATCTCCTTTGAATTCATGTCTCACATTGAGGCCGCACTGATGCAAGGGGTGGGTTCCCAAGGCCTTAGAAATCTCTGACCCTGTGACTCTCCAGGGTGCAGCTCCCTCGGCTGCCTTCATGGGCTAGCATTGAGTGCCTGCAACTTTTCCAGCTGCATGATGCAAGCTGTCGATGGATCCATTCTGGGTTCTGGAGGATGGCTCCACTTGGACTCTGTGTGAGGACTCCAAGCCCACGTTTCCCCTCTGCACTGCCATAGTAGAGGTTCTCCATGAGGGCTCTGCCCCCACAGCAGACTTCTGCCTGAACACCCAGGCATTTCCATGCATCCTCCGAAATCTAGGCAGAGGCTCCCAAGCCTCAACTCTTGCCCTCTGTGCACCTGCAGGCTTAACACTATATGGAAGCCACCAAGGCTTGTGACTTGCACCTTCTGAAGCAGTGGCCTGAGATGTATCTCGGGCCCTTTTAGCCATGGCTGAGACCGGAGTGGCTGGGATGCAGGGAGCAGTGTCCTGAGGTTGCTCAGGGCAGTGGGGCCCTGGACCTAGACTGTAAAACCATTTTTCGCTCCTAGGCCTCCAGGCCTGTAATGAGAGAGGCTGCCATGAAGGTATCTGAAATGCCTTCAAGGCATTTTCCCCATTGTCTTGGCTATTAACATTAGGGTCCTCTTTACTTATGCAAATTTCTGCAACCAGCTTGAATTCCTCCCCAGAAAATTGTTGTTTCTTTTCTACCACATGGCTGGGCTGCAAATTTCCATACTTTTACACTCTGCTTCCCTTTTATCTCATTCCAGGTCATTGCTTTCCTCATGAATATAAGCATAGGCTGTAAGAGGCAGCCATGCTATGTCTTGAACATTTTGCTGCTTAGAAATGTCTTCAGCCAGTTACTCTAAATTATCACTCTCAAGTTCAAAGTTTCACAGATCTCTAGGGCAGGGGCACAATACTTCCAATCTCTTTGCTAGTGCATAACAAAAGCGATCTTTGCTCCAGTTCCTGGTAAGTTCCTCTTCTCCATCTGAGACCGCCTCAGCCTGGACTTCATCGTCCATATCACGCTCAGCATTTTGGTCACAAGAATTTAACAACTTTTTAGGAAGTTCCAAACTTTTTCTCATCTTCCTGTCTTCCTCTGTGCCCTCCAAACTGTTTCAACCTCTGTCCATGACCCAGTTCCAAACTCTGCCCCTTACCCAGTTTGAAAGTCACTTCCACATTTTTAGGTATCTTTATAGCAATGCCTCACTCCTCAGTACCAATTTTCTGTATTAGTCCATTCTCGCATTGCTATAAAGAATGACCTGAGACTGGGTAATTTATAAAGAAAAAAAATGTTACATTGACTCACAGTTCCACAGGCTGTACAGGTTAACATGGCTGGGGAGGCTTCAGGAAACTTTCAATCATGGTGGAAGGCAAAGGAAAAGCAGGCATGTCTTATATCACTGGAGTAGGAGGGAGAACTTCTAGAAGGTACTACACACTTTTAAACAACCAGATCTTGTGACAACTCACTCACTATTGTGAGAAGACCAAGGGGGAAATTGTCCCTATGATCCAGTCACCCCCCACCAGGCCCCTGTCCAACTGAAGATCACAATTTGACAAGAGATTTGGGTGGAGACACAAATCCGAACAATATCGTTTGACTTCTACTCTGCTCCTGATATCAGATACCACTCACCCAGTACAACATTGGCTCTTTCTCGTAATTTGCACTGAGGGAAACCAAAATATTTCACCCCAAAACAGAATTCTTTAACATATTTCAAGATGGCTATTCAGAAGGGCTGGAAATACGAGAACAGTTGAAAAGCTGTCTTTTTGTTGGGGAGAGTTGCATCTGTAGAGAAAATCTGCATTGATATAGCCAGGCTTTCTCAGAGGCCCTCTCTTGTCCAAATCTAAGGAAGAGTAACTGAGAATCTGATACCTCTAAAGATCTGCAAGAAATATTTACCATCTATTCTCTCTGAGGGCTGCTATCTGTGAGATTTCCTCTACATAACAAGACTATCTTTTCTAGCCAGTCCTCTTCTTCCCCAACTATAACCTATTTTGCCACCAAAACCTCTTTTGCCACAATCAAACCCTCCATTCTTTCTGTAAACTTAAGAGGTTCTATAAGCTTTTGTGCCCCATTTTCTGCTTGGGGTAATCACTCTGTGATTCTTTACATTACCATGCTGTAGTCTGCTGGCATGGGCCACTCAAATGGCAGGCAGCTTGGTACATGTTAATACATTTGTATGCCATTTCACCTATTAACCTGTCTTTCGTGAGTTGATTTTTCAGTGAACCTTCAGAGGGTAAAGGGGAAGTTTTGCACCAGCACTTAAACGCCTATCTGCTTCTTGTCACTAAGTGAACAACTCAGCCTGAGCCTCATACTCCCTGGGACCCTTCCCCAACCCCTGTGACCAGTGAACATCCCAGATTGCCTTAAGCCCCAAGGAAAAAGATTTGGAAAAAAAAAAGACTGAGGCCGTGATATGTGTAACATGTTATTAGATATGACTTTTCTTTTCTTCTGCTTTGAACAGAGTCCCTCAAAGTGTAGTGGCAGGACCAGCCCAAACTAGGTCTACTCTGTTGATAATAAAATGTTGAGTTACCTTATAGGTATAACAGAGCCAAAAACTGAAGGTCATGTTGCCTGGGCATGCACAGTAGAAAAAGCTTTGACCTTAACGATACCTGGAACCAACGATTTCTCTCCTCAGACCATCAAGACTGGGACATGACCTGAACCTGAATGCCATAATTTGGTAAATGGTCAAATTTGAAGCCTTCCAATCAGACCCTGCCAAGCCAACATTTCCAAATCCCTTTGCCTTGCTCTCTGAGCCCATAAACTTGCCCCAAACTCCAAATCAGGGAGATGGATTTGAACTTGGCTCTTATCTCCTTACTGGCCAGTTTGTAATAAAGCCTTTCTTTTCTCAAAAGCCGGTGCCATGGTTATTGGCTTCCATGTGCATCAGGCAGCAAGCCTGTTTGCTTAATAATGAAAGCACAGA
This sequence comes from Homo sapiens, assembly GCF_000001405.40. NCBI lineage: Eukaryota > Metazoa > Chordata > Mammalia > Primates > Hominidae > Homo > Homo sapiens. The sequence continues at coordinate 113,767,470 of NC_000002.12, forward strand.
ACAAAAAATAGTTAGCAAATATAGTCATAGTGTAACGTGAGGTATTAGACTATCTATGTGGGACTTATAAAAAGTGTGTCTCAGCCAGCTTTACCATCAGCACAGCACGCATATCCAGCCTGTATATGTAGACTAAGCACCCATAAGAGGAGTTGAAGAGATGGGTAAGTATGAATTTATCTGAAGAGTTATCACATGATCTGAATATCACTATCAGTATCCCCACAGGGATTTGGGTGGTATGCTTCTTCCCTTCTCAAGCCAAGCAAAGCAGGAGGTGGGCACTTTGAGAGAGCATACAAAGACCTTGGCATATATTCTCTCAAGTTTAAGGGACACTGGTGCCCCAGTCTTGGGGTGAGGCTACAGCTAGAGGCTACAGGAGGCTTGCTACACTGACAGCAGGATAAGGAAATGGAACTTGGATGGGAACGGCCTGTACTTCCAGGCAGGGCAAATGAAGATGAATTTCTCATGGGCCAGAAGTGGATCTTAGAGGAAAGAGCCATAATGGGTTTCTTATGACATGAGGGATTCTGTCCACTAGGGCTGCCTAGAGGGATGCAGTACCCCTAACAGAGAATGACTCAATGGCCAGGTAAACCAGACAGGATCCATGTCCAGTGAACTCCAGGAAACATATTTCTCAGCAGAAACATCCTGTGAAAACAGAGATCTGTATTTGGAATATACCATATTTCCCAGCACGAGCATTCCATGAGAACATAAATTTGCATTTGGTATTCCAGTAAAGATTTCACAACCAGATCTCTAGGAAAACAGCCCATATATGAAGTGTTTCTGATGCCTGCGTTATGATTCCACGGTTCTTGACTCCCACCAAGGCCAACTTCAAGTTACTAATGTGATGTCACTGAACATGGAGTTGAGAAAAGATGCACAACAGAACATCATTATATGGAGTATTTCCACTCTGCATCTACAATTAGATATAAGTAAACTCAAGATAAGAGCATAGGTAATCATAAATGTGTTAAATTATTGGAGGTAATGAGTATTTATTATTAATGAGTAGAATACATTTATTTAATTATAAGTTTATATGTAATTTCATTGTTTTTTGTTTTTGTTGTTTTGGTTTCCTTTTTTTTTTTTTTTTTTTTGAGACAGGATCTCACTCTGTCACCCAGGCTGGAGTGCACAGTCTCAGCTCACTGCAACCTCTGTCCCCCGGGCACAAGAAATCCTCCCACCTTAGCCTCCCGAGTAGCTGGGACTACAGGCATGTACCACCACACCTGGCTAATTTTCGTATTAATATTTTTTGTAGAGACAGGGTTTGGCCATATTGCCCATGCTGGTCTCAAACTCCTGGGTGCAAGTGATCCACCCGCCTCACAAAGTGCTGGGATTAAAGGACTGAGCCACCATGCCTGTCCTTGTCATTTAATTATAATGATGGCTGGATTTAACCTCCTTGCAAAAATCCCTGATTTAACTAATTTAACTGTCAGCTCCTATGAGTCAGTGCAGGCCAATTCCCACATACCACTGTTCCATTTCCAGAAGGCACAAAAGCCAGATTACAGCCAAAGCAGTCAATTAAGGCCTTTCCTGATTCTTACCTGGCCTCCTTTCTCTACTCTGACTCCTACCCATGGAGGCATCAGAGATAGCCTTGTGAGTGGGGGAAAAGTAATAGAGCAAGATGTGAAATAAAGAGGTGAGCCAAGTTTTCTTCCCAACTGCAGGCTTTTAGGCCTGAAATAGGCCTTGGCTGGCAGAGGAGTGTAGTTTAATTGAATAAGAGTTAGAAGTTATAACTTTTAGACTAAAATGGACTTTCTAATATCTAAGCGTATTCAGAAAAGTTAAGCAAGTTCCTACTGTTTCATCCTGGGACAGCAAAGAACAAATAGAGCAAACAAGTTTATAGGAGAAAAGGTAATAAAGAATAACATTTTCTGTTTGTGCCCTACAAAGTCCAGCTCATTCAAGAAACAAATATACTAGTTATATATTTCTGTGTAACAAACCACTCTGAAAGTTAACAGCTTAAAAAATTATTTTAAAATGTATGTGGGCCAGGAATTCAGGGTGTAGCTCAGTGGTTCTGGCCCAGTCTCTTTATGAGGTTTCAGTCAAGATGTTGCCTGGGCTGCTGTCATCTGAAGGCTTGGCTGAGGCTGGAGGATCTGATTCTAAGATGCCTTCCTTACATGGCTGTCAGCAGAAGCCCTCAGTTCCTTTTTTTTTTTTTTTGAGACAAGGTCTCACTCAGTTGCCGAAGCCGGAATGCAGTGGTGCAATCATAGCTCACTGCAACCTTGAGCTCCTGGATTAAAGTGATCCTCCCACCTCAGCTTTCCAAGCAGTTGGGACTACAGGCACACACTGCCATGCCTGGCTAAGTTGGTTTTGTTTGTGGGTGTGTGTGTGTGTGTATGTTTGTGTTAGAGATGGGAGTCCCGCTATGTTGCCCAGGCTGGTTTCAAACTCCTGGCCTCAAGCTATCCTCCCAACTCATCCCCCCAAAGCACTGGGATTACAGGCATGAAGAACTGTGCCCGGCCCTTACCCAGGCTTTTTGAGTAGCTCCATCACTTGGTGGTTTGCTGGCTTTCCCCAGAGCAAGAAGTATCAGAAGGAGAGCAAGAAAGAAGCCTCAAAAGTCACACCATCATATTCTATTAATTAGAAGAAAGTCACTGAGAATGGCGCATATACAACAGGAGAAAAATGAGGCTCCACTTTTTGTAGCAAACAGCGTCAAGTTTCTGGACTTTTTTTTTTTTTTTTTTTTTTTTTTTTTGAGACTGAGTCTCGCTCTGTTGCCCAGGCTGGAGTGCAGTGGCACGATCTTGGCTCACTGCAACCTCCACCTCCCGGGTTCAAGCAATTCTCCTTCCTCAGCCTCCTTGGTAGCTGGGATTACAGGTACGTGCCTCCATGCCCGGCTACTTTTTGTATTTTTTTAGTAGAGACGGAGTTTCACAATGTTGGTCAGGCTGGTCTTGAACTCCTGACCTCGTGATCCACCCACCTAAGCCTCCCAAAGTGCTGGAATTACAGGCGTGACTTTCTGGACATTTTAAAACAATCTGCCTTAGTCTGTTTGTGTTGCTATAAAGGAATACCTGAGGCTGGGTAATTTATAAAGAAAACAGGTGGGCCAGGCATGGTGGCTCACACCTGTAATTCCAACATTTTGGGAGGTCAAGGTGGGCAGATCACTTGAGCTCAGAAGTTCAAGACCAGCCTGGGCAACATGGTGAAACCCTGTCTCTACAAAAAATACAAAATTAGCAAAGCATGGTGGTACATATGTGTAGTCCCAGCTACATAGGAGGCTGAGGTAGGAGGATCACCTGAAGCCCAGGGGCACAGATTGCAGTAAGCCAAGATCGCACCACTGCCCTCCAGCCTGGATGAAAGAGTGAGACCCTGTCTCAAAGAAAAAAAAAAAAAAAAAAAAAGGTTTATTTGGATCACAGTTCTACAGGCTGTACAAGAAGCATGGCATGGTACCAGTATCTGCAACTGGTGAGGGCTTCAGGGAGCTTCTACTCATGGCAGAAGGCAAAGGGGAGCCAGTATATTACAAGGAGAGAGAGGATGAGAGAGAGAGGAGGCAAACCTCTTTTTAACAAGCAGTTCTTACGGCACCAAGCAGGTCATAGGGATCTGCCCCCATGATCCAGTCACCTCCCACCAGGCCCCGCCCCCTGCATTGGAGATCAAATTTCAACATGGGATCTGAAGCAGAAAATATCCAAACTATCACCACCACAACCAAAAAAACATGCCCGAATAAATAAATAGACATTTATTAGTTATAGTCAAATTATCTCAAGTCAAGATGTAGCCATTTATGAATTTACTGAAGACTTAATTGTGAACCTTTCTATCTCTGTGTAGCTGGGGCTCTAGCTTGAGTCTAATAATTCAATGGTATTGGCTGGTAAACTGACACCTGTGGCAAAGGAAGACTGAGATTTTGCTGGAAAACGACTCATCCTAAGAAAGAACTAGGAAGCAATAGTGACCTATAAGAAAGCCTTGGTCCTTAGAAAAAAGGAGAAATTCTATGTAAAACATTGCATTGGTCTCATTCCTTTCGTCTCAGGCTTACTGAAGACCAGTGGAGAGAGGAAAGTAAGAAAGAAAGAGCTGCTTCCTTTGAAAATTTCTTACAGAATTTTCTTTCTTACTTTCCTCTCTCCACTTGTCTTCCGTGAGCCTGAGACAAAAGGAATGAGACAAATACAATGTTTTACATGGAATTTCTCCTCTTTTCTAAGGACCAAGGCTTTAAGAATACAACCCAAATCACAAAATAAGAACCACACAACCTGGAACCACAAGGTACCATCGAGGTCACTGGTGGGAGTGCCCAGGTGGGCAATAACGATGCCAAGAGGTAGACTCTGTGGTCCCCCATAATACAGTGGCTTCATCCAGGAAGAGAAGGCCTTGGTACATGTACAAACTGTTCATAGCAGCATTATGCAAAATAGCCAAAAGGTGGAAACAGCCCAAGTGTACATTAGTGGACGAAAGGATAAACAAATTGTGGTACATAAATACAGTGGAGCATCATTCAGTCATACAAAGGAATGAAGTACGTCTATATGCTACCACATGGATGTACCTCAAAAACGTTATGCTAAGTTAAAGAAGTTAGACATGAAAGGTCACATTCTGTATGATCTATTTACATGAAACATCCCCAATAGGTAGCATAACTTGGTGATTTCCAGGGAATACGAGGAGGGAATTGGAAGAGGACAACTGCTTAATGGGTATGGGATTTCCTTTTAAAGTGATGAAATCTTTTGGAACTAGATAGAGGTATTGGTTGCACAATATTATGAATGTACTAAATGCCACTGAAGTGTTCACTTTCTTTTTTTTTTTTTTTCGAGACGGAGTCTTGCTCGTCGCCCAGGCTGGAGTGCAGTGGCACAGTCTCAGCTCACTGCAAGCTCCGCCTCCTGGGTTCACGCCATTCTCCTGCCTCAGCCTCCTGAGCAGCTGGGACTACAGGTGCCTGCCACCACGCCTGGCTAATTTTTTTTTTTTTTATATTTTTAGTAGAGACAGGGTTTCACCATGTTGGCCAGGTTGGTCTCCATCTCCTGACCTCGTGATCCTCCTGCCTCGGCCTCCCAAAGTGCTGGGATTACAGGCGTGAGCCACCGCGCCCGGCTGGTTGATATGTTATGCTAATTTAACCTCATAAAAATTTTAATAAAAATAAATTACTTTTTAAAAGAAGGCTTATATGCGAGAACATGTGAAGAGCATCTAGGGAATCCAGAAATAGTTGGAGGGAAAATAGGAGATCTGTGGAAGTCAGGCATTATGTGTGTGTGCAGGTGGGAGTGCAAACAGTGAAGCTAGAGCTACAGTTGCTACTATGAACTTGTACCCATTTGAAAGCCTGAGCAAATTCAGATTATAAGCAGAGGGCCCCTGAATAGTGCCCTTCCTATGAGCTGTCTGAGCTTTACAGTTCATTCACGAAAGCTCACTTTGTCTGGTACCCATTTGACTTTTGAGAGCCATTTGTCAGGTAGAGGCAGGGTTATGGTCTGAAGGCATGAAAAAGCCCCCACTCTCTTCTTTGATAAAATTAATTAGGTCATCAAAAGAGTCAACCTACTAATACTAGGAACCCTGAGAAAAAGGAGAATTTTATACTTGGTGACCCTGCAAACAACTGACCCCATTTCTTTTTCTTTTTCTTTTTTTTTTTTTTTTTTTTGAGACGGAGTCTCACTCTGTCACCCAGATTGGAGTGCAGTGGTGCGATCTCTGCAAGCTTCACCTCCCGGGTTCACGCCCTTCTCCTGCCTCAGCCTCCTGAGTAGCTGGGACTACAGGCGCCCACCACCACACTCGGCTAATTTTTTGTATTTTTAGTGGAGATGGGGTTTTACCATGTTTGCCAGGATGGTCTCGATCTCCTGACCTTGTGATCTGCCCACCTTGGCCTCCCAAAGTGCTGGGATGACAGGCGTGAGCCACTGCGCCCGGCCCAACTGACTCCATTTCTTAATAGCAGTTTTCCATGCAGCCTTCTGACCGTTTTAATTTGTCTAGTTTATTTCTGAAAGTGTTAGGTGGGTACAAGAAACAAACATCTCACCTCTCTACCTACTCTCAATCAAATGAGACAGTGCTTCCTAGGACGTGATTCTCTTGAAGAGGGCTTGCTTCTGTGGCCAAAATTACATCCCCTGAGAAATCCTAAGATGACTCTGGGACCTTTTGTTCAGGCAAATCTGCAAGGGCCTGGTTTTGCTCCTGAAGTTCACAAAAAGACATGGTAATAGCAAAGTTCATTCATGGACGTAATATTTTTAAGAAATATTTAGACTGAGCATGGTGGCTCACTCCTGTAATCCCAGCACTTTGGGAGGCCGAGGCAGGCAGATCGCTTGACGGCAGGAATTCAAGACCAGCCTGGCCAATATGGCGAAACCCCGTCTCTACTAAAAATACAAAAAAAAAAAAAAAATGAGCCGGGGGTCATGGTGGCACATGCCTGTAATCTCAGCTGCTCGGGAGGCTGCGGCAGGAGAATTGCTTGAACCCGGAGGCAGGGGTTGCAATGAGCTAAGATCCTGCCACCATATTCCAGCCCCAACAGCAAAGTGAGACTCTGCTCTGCCTCAAAAAAAAAAAATTAAAGTGCCTTCTTATGCACAGGACACTTTTAAGAAAGTGTTGCAATACAGGTTTGTGCAAACGTGTAGATAAATTATTTACTACCTTAAAAATTTTATACTATAAGCTTGTATCACTGTAATTCCTAGTAACTCTGAAGAGCAAAATTTTATAGAACTTAAAACATATTGTAGAACTCAAAACATATCATAAGTCTGAAAGGTATTGTTTTCTATCATGGGCCCTCATATGGCAACTGATCAAAACATATTTATTGGTGCTCTCTTCTATGACCAGCAAGCATTGTACTAGACAATATGGAGGATATATTCATTGGCTCTACAAATATTTGAGTGCCCGCTGTGTGTCATGTTCTACTGAAGGTACTAGTCTATCTTAGAATGGCCTTAACTTCAAGGCACTAAATATCTAACAAAAAGCAAAACAGGCCAGGCACAGTGGCTTGCGCCTGTAATCCCAGTACTTTGGGAGGCTGAGGTGGGTGGATCACCTGAGGTTCGGAGTTTGAGACCAGCCTGGCCAACATGGTGAAACCCCATCTCTACCAAAAATATACAAATTAGCCGGTCATGGTGGCATGCACCTGTAATCCCAGCTACTCAGGAAGCTGAGGTGAGAGAATTGCTTGAACCTGGGAGGTGGAGGTTGTAGTGAGCCAAGATTGCACAACTGCACTCCAGCCTGGGTGACAGAGTGAGACTCCGTCTCAAAAACAAAACAAAACAAATAAGACTCTGACTTTCTAGAGCTTATATTCTAGAGGGAGGAAGTAGATAATAAATAAACAAACATGGCCAGGTGTGGTGGCTCATGCTTGTAATCCCAGCCTGGGCTACGGAGCGAGACGCCATCTCAAAAACAAACAAACAAACAAACAAACAAAAATACTCTCTTGATCTGGTGCGGGATGTTGGTAGTGAGGAAAGTTGTGCATGTGTGGGGGCAGGAAGTATATGGGAGCTCTGTATTTTCTGTTCAATTTTCTGTAAACCTAAAATTGCTTTTAAAAATAAGTTCTATTGAAAAAAATATTATCTAACATTTGCTAAGATGTTAATGCTGGGTTTCGTGGACTCTATATTTTTCAAATTTTTCTATTTTGTATTTAACATTCTTCTCTTATACTTAATGACCTCAAAAGTCATACTGTCTCAGTGATAAAAGCTGCTCCAAGGAGACATTAACGAGGCAAACTCCTGCAGGGGAGACCTAAAGTTAAGGTCATTCCAAGATGAGTATTTTCTGAGAGATTTGGCTGCCTGGTCTTCTTACCATCTATATATTCATGATTTTGAAAGTACCTCTTTTATGTTATAATTGAACTGCAGTTCAAATCCCTTGAAAGCACAATAAAGGAGACTTAGCAAGGTGAAGCACCACTCTAGGTATTTTAGATTTTGCAAGATTTACCTTTTAAAATGTAGCCTAATAGGCCGGGCACGGTGACTCCCACCTGTAATCCCAGCACTTTGGGAGGCCGAGGTGGGCGGATCACGAGGTCAGGAGATCAAGACCATCCTGGCTAACATGGTGAAACCCTGTCTCTACTAAAAATACAAAAAATTAGCTGGGCGTGGTGGCGGGCGCCTGTAGTCCCAGCTACTCGGGAGGCTGAGGCAGAAGAATGGTGTGCACCCGGGAGGCGGAGCTTACAGAGATCGTACCACTGCACTCCAGCCTGGGCGACAGAGTGAGACTCTGTCTCAAAAACAAACAAACAAACAAACAAACAAAAAAAGGAGCCTAATAACAATTGCATATGCAGTAGCTTGCTGCTTAAACAAATGAGGCCTAGAGATATAAATGTACCTTTTAGGGGGCAAATTAAGGACATTTTCTACAGGATTTATACTCCCCTATCTCATGCAAGGTGGTTTTTTTGGTGGGTACATCCTATCATTTGTTGGTTCTTGACACATCCCATTTCCCAGCTTGCAGCAGCACTGTGTTCTGCTTTGTCACCTGTTACGCTTACCCTATGTCTCACCTGCCCCTAATCTGGAACCACTAGTTTTATCTCTGATATTCTCTAGTGGCTATCATAGATAACACACAGAATAGAATTTGATAACACTATTCTGCATTTATTGTTCAGTTCCTACATTTCTACATCCTCAACCAGTTTTTTTTTTTTGTTTGTTTGTTTTTTTTTTTTTTTTTTGGAGATGGAGTTTTGCTCTGTCGCCAGGCTGGAGTGCAGTGTCGCCATCTCGGCTCACTGCAACCTCTGCCTCCCGGGTTCAAGCGATTCTCCTGCCTCAGTCTCCCGAGTAGCTGGGACTACAGGTGCATGCCACCATGCCCAGCTAATTTTTGTATTTTCAGTAGAGACAGGATTTCACCATATTGGCCAGGCTGGTCTCAAACTCTTGACCTCATGATCCACCTGCCTCGGCCTCCCAAAGTGCTAGGATTACAGGCGTGAGCCACTGCACCCGGCTTCAAGATAGTATTTTTAATGTAATGATTTTACACACAATTTTTCCATACCTCTCTTGTCTGACAAATATAAGTTAAATGATTGCTTTGGCTGGGTGCAGTGGCTCACACCTGTAATCCTGGCACTTTGGGAAGTTGAGGCAGGTGGATCACTTGAGGTCGGGAGTTTGAGACCAGCCTGGCTAACATGGTGAAATCCTGTCTCTACTAAAAATACAAAAATCAGTCAGGAGTGGTGGCACACACCTGTAATCCCAGCTACTTGGGAGGCTGAGGCACGAGAATCGCTTGAACCCAGGAGGCAGAGGGTGCAGTTGAGATCATGCCATTGCACTCCAGCCTGGGCGATAGAGCGAGACTCTGTCTCAAAAAATAAAAAAAGATTGCTTTTCACAGTGTGCATTTGTTACAGCTAAGATAAGAAAGGCCTCTGATAGTTCAGCATGAATGAGCCTTCAACCTTCCTCACAGACCAAGTGGATAACTTACCCAGAAGCATCAAAACCAGACCCCTGCATAATACACACAGGCTTTCCCTGTGTGGTGAATCAATTGCCTTCATCCCGTCAGCTTCCCTGCCAGACTTAAACTGTCAGTGATCGTTTTTCTTTTTTCTTTTTTTTTTTTTGAGATGCAATATTGCTCTGTTGCCCAGGCTGGAATGCAGTGGTGTGATCTCAACTCACCACAACCTCTGCCTCCCGGGATCAAGCAATTCTCCTGCCTCAGCCGTGCAAGTAGCTGGGACTACAGGCACATGTCACCATGCCTGGCTAATTTTTGTATTTTTAGTAGAGATGGGGTTTCGCTATGTTGGCCAGGCTGATCTCAAACTCCTGACCTCGTGATCCACCCGCCTCAGTCTCCCAAAGTGCTGGGATTACAGGTGTGAGCCATTGCGCCTGGCCTTTTTTCTTACATAAATAAAGAAACTTTCTAAAACTAACTGCATGCTGTGCTGGATTTATGTATTTATGCTGTATAATTAGGACTTTGAACTTTGACTGAAATGCAGTTTCATCACAAGATTCCATGAAGCTAACCCAACCCTTCCTTGTTCAATCCCTGGGAAAACTTGTGGTTGATACAATTCAATACAAACATAGTAAGGATACTGAACAAATTAGCAGAAATCTAGTGCTTTGGTTGATTAGCTCTTTATCAGGCACCAACTGTGCCTGATATGGTACTTACCATGCAATAGTAAGTAAATCAGAAATCCTCTTTGTTATTGAGCTCAGTCTCAATGTAGTGGCTCTCGATTGGTTGATTTTACCCCTCAAAAGACATCTAGCAGTTTCTGCAGAAAGTTTTTGATTGCCACAGTGGGGAAAATGCTACTGGCATCTAGTGGGTAGAGGCAAGGGATGTTGCTAACCCTCCTACAGTAAAATACAGAGGACGGTCCCTATGGCAAAGAATTATCTGGCTGAAGATGTCAATAGTGCCAATGCTGAGATGCCTTGGTCAATGAATATAAACACAATATTCACAGATGTGCCGCACGGTAAACTCAAGTTTCCCTGGATGGTTCTACTTGCCAGGAATCCTCACTTAAAAATGAAGTGCTTGAGGTCAAGGTAAACATCTCAAAACTGAAACAGAAATACGTAAGCCAATATTAATGTATACGGATGAGTACTGAAAATGATAAAACATAAATCATTTTATGTTTTAATCGGGCGCAGTGGCTCATGCCTGTAATCCCAGCACTTTCAGAGGCTGAGGCTGGAGGATTGCTTGAGCTTAGGAATTTGAGACCAGCCTGGGCAAGATGACAGAACCCCATCTCTACAAAAAATACAAAAATTAACTGGGCATGGTGGCATGTGCCTGTAGTCCCAGCTACTTGGGAGGCTGAGGTGGGAGGATGGCTTGTGCCTGGGAGGTAGAGGTTGCAGTGAGCTGAGATCATGCCACTGCATTCCAGCCTGGGTGACAGAGGGAGACCCTGTCTAAAAAAGAAAAATAAATAAATAACTGAAGAAGACACAAATAAATGGAAATACATCCTCTGTTCATGGATTAGGAGAATTAATACAGTTAAAATCTCCATGCCACTAAACATGAACTACATATTCAATGCAATTCCCATGAAAATTCCAATAACATTCTTCACAGAAATAGAAAAAAGTCCTAAAATTCATATGGAACCACAAAAAACCCCAAATAGCCAAAGCAATGTTGAACAAAAAGAACAAAGCTGGAGGCATCATACTATCTGGTTTCAAAATATACTACAAAGATACAGTAATGAAAATGGCATGGTACTGGCAAAACAAACAAACAAAAAAACTGGATGCATAGACCAATGGAAGAGAATAGAGAGCCCAGAAATAAATCCACTTCATTTATAGTTAATTGATTTTCAACAAAGGTGCCAGGAACACACAATGAGGAAAGGAGAATCTCTTCAGTAAATGATGTTAGGACACTCGATATCCACATACAGAATGAAATTAGACCCTTATCTCTCATGTCATATTAAAAAATCAACTCAAAGTGGATTAAAGACTAAAATGTAAGACCTGAAACTATAAAAGTATTAGAAAAAAATAGAGAGGAGGGGAACCAGGCATGGTAGTTTACATTTGTAATCCCAGCACTTTGGGAGGTGGAAGCAGGAGGATCGCTTGAGGCCAGGAGTTGGTCCAAGACCAAGATGTCTCTACAAAAAATAAAGAAATTAGCTGGGTGTGGTGGCACATGTCTGTGGTCCTAGCTACTCAGGAGGCTGAGATGAGAAAATCCCCTGAGCCCAGGAGTTCAAGGCTATAGTAAACTATAATGCATCACTGCATTCCAGCTTGGGCGACAGAGTGAGACCTTGCCTCAAAATAACAAAATAAACAAACAAAAAAACCAGGGGGAGAGCTCCCTGACAGTGGTCTGGGCAATGTTTTTTTGGATGGAAACCCAAAAGCACAGCCAACAAACCAAAAATAGACAAAGAGGGTTATATCAAACTAAAAACTTCTGCACAGCCAAGGAAATAATGAACAGAGTGAAGAGACAACCTGTAGAATGGGAGAAAATATTTGTAAACCATTTATTTATGAAGGGGCTATATGCAAAATATATAAGGAATTCAAGCAACTCAATAGTAAGAAAACAAGTAACCTAATTAAAAAATGGTCAGGCTGGGCGCAGTGGCTCACACCTGCAATCCCAACATTTTGGGAGGCTGAGGCGGGCGGATCACCTGAGGTCAGGAGTTTGACACCAGCCGGGCCAACATGGTGAAACCCCATCTCTACTAAAAATACAAAAAATAGCCAGGCGTGGTTGCAGGCAACTATAATCCCAGCTACTCAGGAGGCTGAGGCAGGAGAATTGCTTGAACCTGGGAGGCAGAGGTTGCAGTGAGCTGAGATTATGCCACTGCACTCCAGCCTGAGTAACAAAGCAGATTCTGTCTCAAAATAAATAAATAAATAAATAAAAATAAAAATAAAATAAATAAATAAAAAATGGGCAAAGTGCCTGAATGGCATTTCTCAAAAGAAAACACACAAATGCTCAGCAGGTATATTTTTTAAGTGTTCAACATCATTAATCATTATAGAGATGCAAATTAAAACCACAATGAGATATTATCTCACACCTACTAGAATGGTTGTTGTCAAAAAGACAAAAGTTAACAGTGGTAGAGAGGATGCAGAAAAAAAGGAAACCCTCACCCACTCTTGCGGGAAATATAAATTAATACAGCCAATTATGGAAAACAGTATTGAGGTTTCTTAAAAAATCAAAAATAGAACTACCATATAATCTGACAATCTCACTACTGGATACATATCCATAGGAAATTAAATCAGTAGAGTTGTCCCTTGGTGTCCTCGGGAGACTGGCTCCAGGAACCCCTGAGGATAACAAAATTAGCAGATTCTCAGTCTCTGATATAAAATGGAGTAGTATTTGCATGTACTTCTAAGTCAACTCTAGATCACTTCTAATACCTGTATAAATCCGTTCTCACACTGCTATAAAGAACTTCCCTGAGACTGGAAAATTGATAAAGGAAAGAGGTTTAATTGACTCACAGTTCCACGTGACTGGGGAGGACTCAGGAAATTTACAATCACGGCAGAAGGGGAAACAGGCACCTTCTTTACAGGGCAGCAGGAGAGAAAGAAGTGCAAGCAGGGGAAGTGCTAGATGCTTGTAAAATCATCAGCTGTCATGAGAACTCACTCACCATCACAGGAACAGCACGGGGGAAACTGCCCCCATGATCCCATCACCTCCCAACAGGTCACTCCCTTGACACGTGGGGGTTATAAGGAGTACAATTCAAGATGAGATTTGGGTAGGGACACAGAGCGAAACCATGTCAACACCTAATACAGTGTAAAAGCTAGGTAAATAGTTGTTACACTGTATTGTCTTTTTATTTTTATTATATTGCTATTTTTATTGTTTTGTTTTCTGAACATTTTTGATTTATGGTTGGTCGAATCCATGGATGTGGAACCCATGGATATGGAGGGCCAACTTTATGGCAAATACATATTCTGTGTTCCCATGTTCATTGCAGCATTATTCACAGAAGCCAAGATATAGAATCAACCTGTCTCCATCAACAGATGAATACATTAGACAACGTGGTAGGTATATACAATAGAATACTATTCAGCCTTCAGAAAAATCTGTCATTTGTGACAACATGGATGATTCTGGGAGACATTATGCTAGGTGAAAAAAGTCAGGCACAGAAAGACAAATGCAATATGATCCCTCTTATATGTGAAATCTAAAGGAGTTGAACTTAAAGAACCAGAGAAGAGAATCGTGGTTACCAGGCGCTAGGGGGAGGAAGGGTTGGGGAGCTGTTGATCAAAAAACACAAAATTTCAGTTAGACAGTAAGAATAAGTTCAAGCGATCTACTGTACAACATGGTGACTAGAGATAATAACAATGTATTATGTTATTGAAAATTACTGAGAGTAGGCCTGGCACAGTGGCTCACGCCTGTAATCCCAGCACTTTGGGAGGCCAAGGCAATCAGATCACAAGGTCAGGAGATCAAGACCATCCTGGCTAACGTGGTGAAACCCCATCTCTACTAAAAATACAAAAAAATTAGCCAGGCATGGTGGCGGGCACCTGCAGTCCCAGCTACTAGGAAGGCTGAGGCAGGAGAATGGCGTGAACCCCAGAGACAGAGCGTGCAGTGAGCCAAGATCGCGTCACTGCACTCCAGCCTGGGTGACAGAACGAGACTCCACCTCAAAAAAAAAAAATTGCTGAGAGTAGATTTTAAGTGTTTTCATCACAAAAAATAAGTATGCAAAGTAATGCATATATTAATTAGCTCAATTTAGCCATTCTACAATGTGTACATATTTCAAGACAACATGTACATGATAATTAAAATAAATATCAATTAAAATAAATTTTAAAATGTTTTCTAAAAAGAACATTATAGAAGTAATTGCTGGAATTTGAATATGGACTGTGCATTAGATGATAATATAGTATCCAAGCTAAATATACTGAATTTTATCAGTGTTCTGTGGTTAAATAAGAGAATATCCTTGTTCCTAGGAGACACATCAGGAAAGGGGAAAGGGTTATGGCATCTGCAACTTCCTCATCAAGGGTTCAACAACACTAGTAGTAGTAATAATAATATGTGTGTATGTATTTTATTATGCATAGATATAAAGGGATAATGGTAGAACAAATACTGCAGAATGCTAACAATTAGAGAATTGAGACAAAGAGTGTATGAGGGTTCATCATACCATTCTTGGCAACTGTTTTATAGATTTAAATTTTTCTTTCTTTTTTTTTTTGAGACCGAGTCTCACTCTATTGCCCAGGCTGGAGCGTAGTGTCGCAATCTTGGCTCACTGCAATCTCCACCTCCCGAGTTCAAGCAGTTCTCCTGCCTCAGCCTCCCAAGTAGCTGGGATTACAGGCATCTGCCACCACGCCCAGCTAATTTTTGATTTTTGTATTTTTAGTAGAGACGGGGTTTCATCATATTGGCCAAGCTACTCTCAAACTCCTGACCTCAAGTGATCCACCCCCCTCAGTCTCCTAAAGTGTTGAGATTATAGGCGTGAGCCACTGTACCTGGCCTTATATTTTCAAAGTAAAAAAATTTTTAATTACATATATCCAGCCGGGCGTGGCTCACTGTAGCCTCCAACTCCTCAGGCTCAGATGATCCTCCCAACTCTTAACCCCCGAAACTCTAGATAAACCCTACTATGATCTAGAATGACTCCAGACTATTATATACTCTTATTATCTCATACTAGTGAAGACATAAACAATTGATCATCCTCATCACCCCAAGTTGGAAACATCATTAATTGTTTGATGCATTGATTCGTTCAATAAGCATATAGTGAGTGCTGAACCCTCTCCTCCACCAGCCTTTCATGATCTCAGTAAAGGAAACTCCAAAGCATATGCTAAAGTAAGGAAGGGTCACTCTTTATTCACCTCTGTTCCTCACACCTTAGTACATCAACCAATTCTGCCAGCTCTTACCTTCCAAAAACCTCCTGAGTCAAACTGTTTTTCACAACTTCCACCTTGATACTCTGGTCCCAAACTACCATCACCTCTCGCCTTGACTACCAGAACTGCTCCTGATGGAATTGCTTCCATTCTTGCCCTATACAGTCTGTTCTCAAAATTAGAAATGTCTAGAAAGATCTTCTAAAAATGTGAATCAGATTACATCATTCTCATTCTCAAAAGCCTCCCACTGTTCCCAGCACAGTGAATAAAATCTATATTTCTTATTGAAGCCTTCAATAAGTCCTAAATAAACAGCCCTCTACCTACCTCTTCTCCCACTTAATCCCAGCTCACAAGATTCCAGCCAAAGCACCTTCTTGCTGTTCCTTCATTATTCCTTGCCTAGGACATTTGCATTCTCTTCTTTTACATTATTTCCAAAGTGTGCCAACATTACTTCCTCAGAGAGGTTTTTCCCAATCCACCCAATCTAAAATTACTTCTCCTGGCCGGGCGTGGTCACTCACGCCTGTAATCCCAGCAGTCTGGGAGGCCGAGGTGGGAGGATCACTTGTTGTCAGGAGTTTGAGACCAGCCTGGCCAACATGGTAAAATCCTGTCTTACTAAAAATACAAAAATTAGCTGGGCATGGTGGTGTGTGCCCGTGGTCCCAGCTACTCAGGAGGCTGAGGCAGGAGAATCGCTTGAACCCAGGATTTGGAGGTTGCAGTGAACCAAGATCATGCCACTGCACTCCAGCCTGGGTGACAAGAATGAGACTCCATCTCAAAAAAAATAAAATAAAATAAAATTACTTCTCCCAGCCTAGTGTGCACAGGTGCATGCCCCCACCCCCAACACACTCCCATCACTCTTCATTCTCCTACCTTCCCATATTCTCTTTAAAATAGCACTTATGGCCAGGCATGGTGGCTCACGCCTGTAATCCCAGCACTTTGGGAGGCCGAGACCGGCGGATCACCTGAAGTCAGGAGTTCGAGACCAGCCTGGCCAACACGGTGAAACCCCGTATCTATTAAAAATACCAAAAAAAAAAAAAAGCCAGGCATGGTGGCGGGCGCCTGTAACCCCAGCTACTCGGGAAGCTGAGGCAGGAGAATCTCTTGAACCCAGGAAGTGGAGGTTGCAGTGAGCTGAGATTGCACCACTGCACTCCAGCCTGGGTGGCAAGAGCAAAACTCTGTCTCAAAAAAAAAAATATCTATCTACCTACCTATCTATCTATCTATCTATAGCACTTATCCCTAACTGGAACTACTCTGTGTGTGTGTGTGTGTGTGTGTGTGTGTGTGTGTGTGTGTGTGTATGTGTGTGTGTTTTCCCACCAGAATATCAGCTTCATGAGGGCAGAAACTTTTTCTGTCTTGTACAGTGTTGTATTTCCAGCACCTAAATCAGTGCCTAAGCATAGAAGAAGCTCAAATAATATTTTTTGTTTAATTTTTACTTTTTTACTTTTTTAGAGACAAGGTCTTGGTCTGTCACCGAGGCTGGAGCATGGTGGCACAATTACAGTTCACTGCAGCCTCAAACTCCTGGGTTCAAGCATCCTCCAGCCTCAGTCTCCTGAGTAGCTGGGACTACAGGCGCACGCCACCATATCCAGCTAATTTAAACTTTTTTTTTCCAAAGGGGTCTTGCTATGTTGCCCAGGCTGGTCTTAAACTTGTGGCCTCAAGTGATTCTCCTGCCTTGGCCTCCTAAAGTGCTGGGATTACAGGAGTGAGCCACTGGGCCTGACCTCAATTAATATTTATTGATAAAATAAATGTATGACAAATGTTTCCTGACAGTTTTTTTTAAAGAAGCCCTCTGCTCCGGTGTAGCTAGCTTCAATTGATGTTGTTGGAACCATTATCCTCAACTTTTCAGAGCTCTTGCTGTTCCTGCTCCCTTGTCCTCCTAGGAGCTCTTAAAAGCCAGGAATATGAGAGGGCAGAGAGAGAGAGAGATTCAGTTTGGAGGAGATCCATTCACTTTTCAGCTTCGCATTACACATTGGTGACAGAGTAGGTGTCTGAACACACAGGATTATTTGAGACAACAGGAAAGGCAACTGTGATTTTAAAAAAAAATACCTTCTCTCCTGGACTATCATCACATCTGAAATTCTACTCTTAAGGATTAAATTATTAAGTCATCTACATCAAGATATTGATTCTTCTTCAATTATTCAGACCATTAACCAGTTCTTAAGAAATGGTGCTCTCCCTTTTCAGTGCCTAGCACATGCCTTGCACAGAGGTATTCAATAACTATTTGTTCAACGAGTGAACAGACTCCCCTTTCTGAATTGACTACCTCCTTTTCCTCACCATTCGCTCGAATCTCTATTCTGCATGTCTCGGCTTTACCACTCTGAACTCTGATAGTTGTTTTCCACCTTTAATCATACTCCTAGACATTTTGCCACAATAAATATGCTAGCTATTGGGTAACAGCAAAGACCTTGGCAGCTGACATGAAGGGCACAGATGCTTTTCTGAAATCTAATCTCTCCAGCCTAACATTTAAACTTGCCAAGAAACTGATTCCAGCCCATGTGTTCCACACGTAATCTGCCCAACTTCCTCATCAGAACCCTCTGTTCCAAGGTGGCTGGCCTCCTCACTGTCCTCCGAGGCATTTGTACCTCCACCTTTATAACTGCTTCCATGTTTCCTCACTCCTTTTCCTTCTTCTGCCCATGGAAATGACACCCATTCTTCAGGGTTTGGATCAAGGAACAACTTCTCCATAAATCCACCTCGGACCATGCTAAGCTAATGCATCTCACTTTCTTCCGAAATCCCACAGTGATAAGCATTAGTATCACTTGTTTGAACACATAATTACTTATTATCCCGGGTCATAATTTAATTGTTCCCACATTTATCTTGTTTCTTCATCTTGTCTGTATAAGCAGAGAATATATTTTATTTTTCTTATCTACTTCTTCTGCATTTCATGTAGAGCCCAGCTGGTTGCTTTTACTCAATGCTAGAGCCCAGTTAGTACTTTTTAAAATTGAATGAACAATGAATTAAATACATTTGACTATAGAAGAGATGTAGCTGTTGTCACAAAGGTCTGGCTAAAGCCAAAGATGAATTCTAGTGATTGGCAGTGATCGCAAGACGTCACATAGAAGAACCCTGTTTCAAGACTGAGGAGGGATGAAGGCTGATAGGAAACACGACAGAGATCTTTCTGTGAAGTCAGCCCCCACAAATATGGCCTGGCTTTCCTTCTGAAATACAGTAGAAATAACTATACTGCCAGATTAAGTATGTTGAATTTTTACAGCATATTTTTATACATAATTCATCCTGGTAACCAAATTACTTAATCTTTCAAAAGTAACCTCTTTTCAGATATAGTAAAAAGTAAGTTGACCCTTCCATCACTGGATCTACCTCTACATTGTAACATTAAGTGCTGAATGCCTGATTTCAGGTCTGCAATATCCTGTCATACCAGAAGCAAGGAAACTATCAAAGTAGACTGTGGTCATGTCAAAAAGATTCCGAAACCTCTTCATGAGGCTCCTCTTGGCAAAAGACAGAGCAGTTTTACCAATAATCAGAGTGGTAATTGCCATAGATTAAAATATATCAAATATATTTAAAATCCATAAATTAATTTTTTAAAATACTTTAAAAACTCATTTGTCACCTTTCTGGGTTTTGTTTGTTTAAAATCCATAAATTAATTTTTTAAATTATACTTTAAGTTCTAGGGTACTTGTGCACAACTTGCAGGTTTGTTACATATGTATACATGTGCCACGCTGGTGTGCTGCACCCATTAACTCATCATTTACATTAGGTATATCTCCTAATGCTATCCCTCCCCCCCTCCCCCTACCCCACAACAGGCCCCGGTGTGTGATGTTCCCCTTCCTGTGTCCATGTGTTCTCATTGTTCAGTTCCCACCTATGAGTGAGAACATGCGGTGTTTGGTTTTCTGTACTTGCGATAGTTTGCTGAGAATGATGGTTTCCAGCTTCATCCATGTCCCTGCGAAGGACATGAACTCATCCTTTTTTATGGCTGCATAGTATTCCATGGTGTATATGTGCCACATTTTCTTAATCCAGTCTATCATTGGTGGACATTTGGCTTGGTTCCAAGTCTTTGCTATTGTGAATAGTGCCACAATAAACATACGTGTGCATGTGTCTTTATAGCAGCATGATTTATAGTCCTTTGGGTATATACCCAGTAATGGGATGGCTGGGTCAAATGGTATTTCTAGTTCTAGATCCCTGAGGAATTGCCACACTGACTTCCACAATGGTTGAACTAGTTTACAGTCCCACCAACAATGTAAAAGTGTTCCTATTTCTCCACATCCTCTCCAGCACCTGTTCTTTCCTGACTTTTTAATGATTGCCATTCTAACTAGTATGAGATGGTATCTCATTGTGGTTTTGATTTGCATTTGTCCATAAATTAATTTTAAAGATACTTTAAAAACTCATTTGTCACCTTTCTGGGTTTTGTTTGTTTGTTTGTTTTTGAGATGGAGTCTGGCTCTGTCATCCAGGCTGGAGTGCAGTGATGCAATCTTGGCTCACTGCAACCTCCACCTCCCAGGTTCAAGCGATTCTCCTACCTCAGCCTCCCAAGTAGCTGGGACTACATGCAGGTGCCACCATGCCCAGCTAAGTTTTGAATTTTTTTTAGTACAGTCAGGGTTTCACCATGTTGACTAGGCCAGTCTCAATCTTCTGACCTCAAGTAATCTGCCTACCTCAGCCTCCCAAAGTGCTAGGTTTACAGGCGTGAGCCACCATGCCCGACCATTTGTCACTTTTCTAAAGTGCTAAACATTAGGTAACCATTTTGAAAAACTTGTTAGTTTTTTCTTTCTAGAAATATTGTTGCTATTTAATAAAGGAAGAATAATAGTGGACTATCACTGACTCTGAAATATTATGATATTGACATAATTCTCCAATTTCAGTGTCCATGCCTCTTTCTTTCCTTTTTCTTTCTTTCTTTCTCTTCCTTCCTTCCTTCTCTCTCTCTCTCTTTCTTTCCTTCTTTTTCGACAGACTCTCACTCTATCACCCAGGCTGGAGTGCGGTGGCGTAATCTCAACGATCTCAGCTCACTGCAATCTCTGTGTGCTGGGTTCAAGTGATTCTCAGGCCTCAGCCTCCCGAGTACCTGGGACTACACGTGTGCACCATCATGACCAGCTAATTTTTGTATTTTTAGTAGAGATGGGGTTTCGCCATGTTGGCCAGGCTGGTCTCAAACTCCTGAGCTCAAGTGATCCACCCACCTCAGCCTCCCAAAGTACTGGGATTACAGGCCTGAGCCACCACACCTAGCATGTAACTTTGTTTCTATGTAGCTTTCCCATGTAACTCCCTCCTGCAGAGCTGCTAGGTGTCAAGGTGGTCAGTTAGGACAAGACTAACTTAAAGTAACAATTAAGCCTTATTCACTTACTGTGACAATGCAGGCAAGAGACAGAAGAGAAAGGGACCACCTCCCCAGTGTCCCAGTTTTCCCAGTGAACATCACCAGACTAGGGTCAGGTGGGTACAGCATAGACAGTAGGAATCATTTCACTGCTGAGGAACCCTGAAAAAAATGGAGTAAGGGACTGGAAGGAGGGAGAGAGGGAAGGGCTCAGAGTGCAAAAGTACTGAGTCAAAGTACAGAAAAAGGCCTCAGTCAAGACTCCCCATAAGGGGATCTTGGAAGATGCACAACGGAAGTGCCTTAGCTGAGGCCCCCCCAATAAAGAAACCTTTGAATGGAGACACCTAAGTTAGGAATGCAGAATGTGTAAGGACATGGCTGGTCTGCAGAGAGGGCCATGGGTCCTTGACTGTAATTTCCTCCAGAGACTGCAATGCACTGGCTGTGCACCAAGTGTGGTGTGAAGAGGGCAGCTTCCCCCCATGAGTCTTGCCAGGTAAAGCTTTCTAATTCCCCATCATCAGGTCTGGAAGATCATGCATAAGATTTTGGACTGGAAGCTGACTCCTCACCTTCCACTCGAGGCAAGATTACTTTGCTACCTCTTGACTTTGGATTTGGCCATACGACTTGCTTCGGCCCACAAGATGAGGTGAAGGTGATGGTAAATAAGTGAAATAAATATTTATTATTGTATGCTGCTGAGATTCTTTGATTCTTTTCTTATGCAGATATAGCTAATTAATACAATCTTCATTTTGCAACCCAAATTAATTGATGGATCAAGGCAATGATTGTCAATGGCTGCAAACATCATAGAACAAGAGACAATCTGATATGATGTGTCTCCTGATGGAAGTAAACACCACCACTGTGAAATAGCCTTGCCAAAGATCAAACGTGAAATGGACCAAGGCTCTAGATCCAACTACCAACTTACAGGAGACACAGGCGATAGGAGAAGGTGTTAACAATGCTAAAATCCAGGATGGGTGCAGTGCCTCACACCCGTCTGTAATCCCAGCATTTTGGGAGCCTGAGGAAGGCGGATCACTTGAGGACAGTATAGGAAAACCCTGTCTCTACTGAAAATACAAAAAATTAGCCGGGCGTGGTGGTGCATGCCTGTAGTCCCAGCTACATGGGAGGCTGAGGCAGGAGAATTGCTTGAACTTGGGAGGTGGAGGTTGTAGTGAGCCAAGATCATGCCACTCCACTCCAGCCTGGGTGACAGAGCAAGACTCTGCTTCAAACAACAACAACAAAACAATACTAAAATCCAGATTACGGAAAATTCTGAGGACAAATTATATAGTTTCTTAAATAATTTGAAACAAAAAAAGGAAGAGGAAACTATTAAAAGAGACTTAGGAAATATAAAAATCAGCGGGGCGTGGTGGCTCATGCCTGTAATCCCAGCACTTTTGGGAGGCCAAGGAAAGCGGATCACTTGAGGTCAGGAATTTGAGACCAGCCTGGCCAACATGGCAAAACCCTGTCTCTACTAAAAATACAAAACATAGCAGAGCACGGTGGTGCACACCTGTAGTCTCAGCTATTTGGGAGGCTGAGGCAGAAGAATTGCTTGAAACTGGGAGATAGAGATTGCAGTGAACCAAGATTACACCACTGCACTGCAGCCTGGGCAACAAAGTGTGACTCCATCTCAAAAAAATATATATATAAAAATCAATCACCATGTATGGACCTTGTTTAGATCCCACTTAAAACAAAATATTCAAGATAATTTTGAAACAAAAACAATTATTCGTAGCTAAGCATGATGGCTCACACCTGTAATCCCAGCTCTCTAGTGAGCTGAGGCATTAAGATCTCTTGAGCCCAGGAGTTTAAGACCAGCCTGGGCAATATAGTGAGACAGTTGTCTCTACAAAATAGTAATAATAATAAAATTATTCCAAAAGATTAGTTGTGATTTGAACAATGGATATTTGATATTTTAGGGAATTATTGCTAATTATTTTAGGAGTGCTAATGGTTCTGTGGTTGTTCCATTTTATCTGTTGCAGCGTAACAGTGGCTTAAAGCAACGACCATTTTATTACATCTTACAACTTTGCGAGCCAGGAATTTTGAATAGGGTTCAGCTGGATGGTTTTTCTGCTTCATCATGGTACTCACTTGGCAGATGGGCAGATCTAAAAGGTCTAAGATGATTTGACTTACATGTCTGGTGCCTTGGAAAGGAAGACTGGAAGGCTAACCTCAACTGAGACTTTATACTAGAGCACTGACCTGTGATCTCATCAGCGTTTCAGGGTTTTCAGATTTCTTATATGGAAGCTTAGAGTTCTCAAAGGATGTATCCCAAGAGGTCCAGATGGCAGCTTCAAAGCTTCTTAAGACTTAACTTCAGAAGTGCTTAAATAATACTTCTGCCACATTCTACTGATCAAGCAAGTCTCTATGACCAGCTGAGATTGAAGATGAGGGGAATTAGACTTCCCCTCTCAAGAGGAGAAGTAAAAAACATGTAAGACCATCTATAATCTACCACCATGCTTATATTTTTAAAAGATTCTTTTATCTTTTAGAGGTGTATACTAACTAAAGTATTTATAGAAGAAAAATATGTGGTCTGAGATTTCCTTTAAAATATTTGGGGTAGTAAGGGGATGGAGTATAGATGAAAAAGGATTAGCCAAGAATTTAACATAGTTGGAGCTGGATGATAGGTATATGCGGAGTTCATTATATTATTCTACTTTTATGTATGCTTGAAATTTTTCATTAAAAGAGATTTCAGAGCTGGACACGGTGGCTCACACCTGTAATCCCAGCGCTTTGGGAAGCCAAGGTGGGCGGATCACAAGGTCAGGAGGTAGATACCATCCTGGCCAACATGGTGAAACCCCGTCTCTACTAAAGTAAAAAAAAAAAAAAAAAAAATTAGCTGGGCATGGTGGCACATGCCTGGAGTCACAGCTACTCAGGAGGCTGAGACAGGAGAATTGCTTGAACCCAGGAGGTGGAGGTTGCAGTGAGCCGAGATCATGCCACTGCACTCCCACCTGGTGACAAAGCAAAACTCCGTCTAAAACAAAAACAACAACAACAACAAAGAAATTTCAAAAAAAATAAAGAGTTTTTCCCCCAAAAGCTATGTAATGTGAAAGACAAGGCCACCAGAAACACCTCTGATGCCATGAATTTGGTATATATCTTTACTGTTATTGAACATTTAGAGAGCCTGAATAAATTACTACTATGGTAGTAAGAATTTGAGGGAGAAAGTTTCATTTCCTTAAATTACTAGTATGCAATTATATATATGGTTTGAATTTACAGATGCTTTGTATTTGATATATTGTTAGTAATTTTAGAGTTCCATAAAATGCTTTCAGTACCTAATACAACACAAGCCTCAACTGGGTGCTGGTTATGTGGCTTAAAAAGTTTACTTTTAAATAGTTGCATTGCTCACATCCTTCCAGGAAAAGAGTCAGCTATTTTTCAGTTAAAAATTAACATGCTTTAATAACCACATTTTTCCTTAAGGCATGATACCATGACTGAATTTTTTTCCACTCTGGTAGACTTGCCACTTACGGTATCTCTAATCCAGGCACAACTCAAATGAATAACTAAATGAAAACAAGAATTGCATGACATCTGAATGCGTAAAAGGCATGCAGCACTTTCAGTTTCCCTAAACTCTGGGTAACCACTTATTTTCATGTTCACTGTGTCTATTGTTGAACAATGTGCCACTCTAGATAATCTGATTCTTGCTGATCTCTCTTTATGCATAAAAATAGACAGGCCAGGCCACTAACACTTACATTACTAACTATGTGACCAAATGCCCATAACTACCACATTGGTATTGTTGTACCTTATGGAGGATTTCAAATCCACACAGTCTCTGGATTTGATGCCAACACTTTATGTTACACTGTAGTGAAAGGAAATCCTAAACAGTAGGTGGGGAGGTTCCAGCCCCGTTTAACAAACATATGGTGATTTAGAGGAAAAACTGCTTGGGGAGAAGACAAATGAAGTGACATTGGTGCCATGTTTAAGTGTAGCAACTCCCGTTCCCATCTCAACACTATGAAAGCCCTATCTGGAAGCATCTCCTTCCCACGATCCTTCCACAGGATGCTAAAGTAGGAAAACTAGAGAATGTATTAGATGAATTAGCCATGTGACCTGGAGGAAGACATTTACTCTTTCTATGCCTCAGTTTTTTTGTTGTTTTGTCTTGTGTTTTTGAGACGGAGTCTTCGTCTGTCACCCAGGCTGGAGTGCAGTGGCACAATCTCGGCTCACTGCAACCTCCGCCTACTGGCTTCAAGCGATTCTCCTGCCTCAGCCTCCCGAATAGCTGGGACTACAGGCGCATGCCACCATGCTCTGCTAATTTTTGTATTTTTAGTAGAGATGGGGTTTCACCATATTGGTCAGGCTGGTCTTGTACTCCTGACCTCAGGCGATCCACTGGCCTCGGCCTCCCAAAGTGCTGGGATTACAGGTGTGAGCCACTGTGCCCAGTCTATGCCTCAGTTTTATCATCTATATAATAAAGGCTACAATCTCTGTTTCACCTATCACACAGCACTGTTAGGACCATCAACTTGTATAATGTTCTCTGAAACAATTTTGAAAACCTTGTAGCTCTCTATAAGTTATTATTAGAATTAGTATTCAATATATATAAACATTTTTCTACTAAAAGAAATCTACAGCTATTTTACCCCTCCCAAAAAAACTTCTTCCTTTCCAGTCCCTCTGGTATTCTCCACCATTTTCCTTTAGACAATTAAATGCTATCACTTTTAAGATTAAAAGAAATAAAAAGGCCGGGCACGGTGGCTCACACCTGTAATCCCAGCACTGAGGTCTGGAGTGGATCACCTGAGGTCTGGAGTTCAAGACCAGCCTGGCCAACATGGTGAAACCCCGTCTCTACTAAAAACACAAAAATTAGCTGGGCATGGTGATGCACGCCTGTAATCCCAGCTACTTGGGAGGCTGAGGCAGGAGAATCGCTTGAACTCAGGTGGCGGAGGTTGCCGTGAGCCAAGAACATGCTATTGCACTCCAGCCTGGGTGACAGCAAAACTCCTGTCTCAAAAAAAAAAAAAAAAAATTCTGCTACTTTTGCTACCATTCAAAAAAGTCATAAGTACATTTTTTTTTTTTTTTTTTCTGAGACGGAATCTCGCTCTGTCACCCAGGCTGGAGTGCAGTGGCACAATCTCGGCTCACTGCAACTTCTGCCTCCTGGGTTCAAGCAGTTCTCCTGCCTCAGCCTCCCTATTAGCTGGGACTACAGGCGTGTGCCATCACGACCAGCTAATTTTTTGTATGTAAGTACATATTGATTAGATTCTTTAAAAAAATTTTTTAAATAGTTGTTGTGCATAGTAATATCACAGGATATATCCAGTGCTTCTACATCATCTTTCCCACAACCGGGAGCTACTATTTATTAATAATATTCACAAATATCATAAAAATGCATTTATTAATTCAACACCTTAATTTTGTGTAGGACTCTGTGCCTGTTTCTATTTATCTTCACTTGTTTTGTGTCATGTGACCAGAGCTGAAACCATTTCCAGACCAAAGACAACTAGTTATAGGTTGAGCTGGCCTTGCCCAGAAGATCAACCCAACTGGAACATTCTGTATCAGAGGTCAACTCAGAGATTCAGATACATTTTCTCTTCAGAAGATACAAATGCAAAAGAAAGAATAATTGGGCTGGGCATCGTGGCTCACACCTGTAATCCCAGCACTTTGGGAGGCCGAGGCTGGTGGATCACCTGAGGTCAGGAGTCCAAGACCAGCCTGGCCAACATGGTGAAACCCCATCTCTACTAAAAATACAAAAAATTAGCTGGGTGTGGTGGTGCGCACTTGTAATCCCAGCAACTCGGGAGGCTGAGGCAGGAGAATCGCTTGAACCCGGGGTGCAGAGGTTGCGGTGAGCTGAGATCGGGCTGTTACACTCCAGCCTGGTGACAGAATGAAAGTCCATGGAAGAAAGAAAGGAAGGAAGGAAGGAAGGAAGGAAGGAAGGAAGGAAGGAAGGAAGGAAGGAAGGAAGAAAGGAAGGAAGGAAGGGAAAGAAGGAAGGAAGGAAGGAAGGAAGGAAGGAAGGAAAGAAAGAAAGAAAAAGAAAGAAAGAAAGAAAGAAAGAAAGAAAGAAAGAAAAGAAAAGAAAGAGAAAGAAAGAAAGAGAGAGAAAGAAAGAAAGAAGGAAGGAAGGAAAGAAAGAGAGAGAGAGAAAGAAAGAAGGAAGGAAGGAAGGAAAGAAAGAAAGAGAAAGAGAGAAAGAAAGAAAGAAAGAGAAAGAAAGAAAGAAAGAGGGAGGGAGGGGAAAACAGTTGAAATGGAGGTCGAGGAGAGGAAGACATGTACAGAGAGAAAAGCTACATTGCAATTACGGTGAGGTCATGAGAATAAGAGTAGTATGTCTGCTTCTGAGGTGGCCACAAGCTTACTGGGCAACACAATTACTGTGCAACCCTCAATGATGTTCGATTTTACATGCAGTCAGTATGCAGAGCTGCAGAGAGGTTTCCTCGCCAATTTTGTAAACTTATAAGAAATGCCTCCTATCTGACATGTCTGTGCCGTAGAATATAGTGGATGCTGTTGTGAGATGTAAGATTACAGTGGATGCTGTTGTGGGATGTAAGATTCATCTCTCCCCTCACCTGGTACCATCTTTTCAGAAATACATCACTCATTTTCCTAGCTGCTGGGAGTATTGAAGGCTGACAGCTCTCAGCTGAATCACCAAAGCTGCCTCACTCAAGGTCACTGCCCTGGAGGCAGCCCTTATCTAAACATGGGAGGTGGGAGGATGAGAGGAATGAAAGCCCAGCATGCTTGCCTCTGCTGGGGACAACTTTATAGGTCCACAGTGCCTCCAGGGATCAGTTGAGTCCTTTATTGTCACTACACAGCAATTCATCATTTCCCTCTGCTTATTCCTGTGTCCTTCACTCCCCCTCATATACTGATGCCCAAAATACCCACCATGCATCAGCCCCTATAGACTCCCTACATGCAAATCTCAGATTCCCAATGTCTGATTTTCAGGGAACACAGCCTGCAGCCCAGATTAACACACACTGGTCCTTACGCCAAATAAGACAAGCAGTCCAGCTGTTTCTGTCACCCTCCCACCAATATCTCTGAGAGCTCCTGCCAGGCTTGAATTAACAACCATCACGCTCCTCTTCCCAAACACAACTCAGTCATCAGCACTGGAAAGTACAGCCAGCTCAGCCTCAATAAGGTTCAACTCTAGAGCCACGGAAGGTATTTCCTGGATCATGCAATGATGCAGAAAAGCAGCCACTGCCTTCTCAGCTGCCTTTTCCAGGGTCCATTTGAGGCTCCATTACCACTGGCTAGTTAGAGATTGTGAATGTACAGCTGCACAGGGCACAGCAATTAATGTTTCGGGTGTGGATGCCACAGACCTGAAATGCTCTTCTGACATGGGTGTGGCCACCAAATAAGAAATCTTGGTGGGAATGGCTTTACTTGAGCCAGAGGTCTGCATTTTGTTTCTGGTTGTCATCTTTAGGGAGATGTCTGCAGCACTTGCAGCTGGAAGCCCAAACTGGAGAGACTCTGCTGCCACAAATAAGAATGGCAGACTGGCCATCTGACTGTGACCATGCAGATGAGCAGGAGGGAGATTCTTGTGGGATTCCAGCTAAATTCAAAATTTCAGTGCCAATGTGATGTGTTTAAAGGTAAGCCAGGAACTTTATCTCAGCCCCAAGCAGCAGACATTAACAGTGATGGTGTTAAGGAAAAGACATTGGCTATGTGTTATGAATGAGTATCAGTGCACAAAACGAGTTATTAAAAAAAACTACACGTCTTTACGAGTGCAATGGCGCGATCTCGGCTCACCACAACCTCCACCTTCCGGGTTCAAGCAATTCTCCTGTCGCAGCCTCCCAAGTAGCTGGGATTACAGGCATGCACCACCATGCCTGGCTAATTTTGTATTTTTAGTAGAGACGGGGTTTCTCCATGTTGGTCAGGCTGGTCTCGAACTCCTGAACTCATGATCCTCCCACCTCGGCCTCCCAAAGTGCTGGGATTACAGGTGTGAGCCACTGTGCCTGGCCAATATTTTCAAGACTGTTTTATGATCTACTTGGCAGACTACTTAACTTGCACTTAACATGAAAGGAGAAAAAACATAAAGCCATTCATACTTCTGCAAGTTGACCTTAAATATATCGTCAAGCCATAAATTGACTTCTAGAAGAGGACAAAGGGAAACACGCCTATAAAAATCTTAGGACAGCCTGTATGATTGTCCAATTGTGAAGATTAAAGCAACTCCATCTTGGACGCTAATCTGCTATGTTGACTTCTGATTGACCCCTGTTCCAGGAATGCCTCTAAGATTTCTCCTTTATCTACTGTTACTATAAATCCTGCCCTTTGTTCAAAACGACCTTTACCATACATCCTGCGTTTAGGTAGATTCACATTGCCTTGTTGCCTTTCCCTGAGGGGTCAGCTTTAACTGTCCTACACATTCCTTCCCTATGGTATATACCCTGAGTCTGGGTGGAAATGGCCTGGGAATCCGCCATCTCTTCTGTGGCTGCCTAGGACATAGCTTCTGTTCATAACTCCCTGTTAAGTGTTTTTTTCTGAGGGAGTGGATTTGTCAGCCTCATTCTTCAGACTCTCAGCTTCCTTGGCCTTTGGGGTTAGGTTTGCATAGACTTGCTCACTGTGGAACATCAATAAACCTACAAATTCACCTGCCTGAGTCGTATTGTAGGAATTACAGCAGATAAATGAACAGAACATTGTCAAATGAAATAATGCTCTGTGCATGATTAATTATTTTAACTAGGTATTTAGTATCTTTTTGTTGTAATATATAGTATACTAATAAAAACTAACAGTAGGATATTGAATGGGAAAGCCTTATTCAGCATAAAATTGGTATTTTAAAAAACCCTATCATATGTTTGCAAATATACAGGTGGAAAGCCTTTAGAGAATTTAAGTTGTCTTTTCAACTTCAATGTGTCCATGGAAATGTTATTGCTAATGACTGCAATTGGCCTCTTCTGTCAATAGAGTCAGCAATGTGTTTTTAATTCCATGAAACTGCTGCATTGTTTTACCCACGTTTATCCTTTTTGGTTACTGTGGCAGCGCCTCCTGATTACATTTCCTATACTCCTTTGCAGTTAGATTGACTATATGACTGAGTTCTAGTCAATGGAATGTGAAGTTATGTCTCCATTATGTTTCTTCTTTTCCCTGTGTCCCCATCAGATGGATACAACAGCGGGGAAGCACCAGAAAATTCCCACAAGATAGAAAAGCCTGAATCCCTAAATTACCCTGTGGAGAAAGCCATGTTCAACCAGGAACCCCTCATTGGACAGTTACATGCACAAAAAATAAATTTATATTATGTTACGCCATTGCAATTTTAGAGTTTATTTATGACAGCAACCAGAGTTACTCTGATATAGTGACCTAAGCTAAGGAGTTTCCCACAATACTGGGTAAAACACACACACATATACACACACATTATATACACACACATACAAATATACACAAATACACAGGCACACTTTTCTTTTTTTTGTTTTTTGAGACAGAGTCTTGCTCTGTTGCCCAGGCTGGAGTGCAGTGGTGCGATCTCAGTTCACTGCAACCTCCGCCTCCCAGGTTCAAGCAATTCTCCTACCTCAGCCTCCTGAGCAGCTGGGATTACAGGCGCATGCCACCACACCCGGCCAATTTTTGTATTTTTAGTAGAGACGGGGTTTCATCATGTTGATCAGGCTGGTCTCCAACTCCTGACCTCGATATCCACCCACCTTGGCCTCCCAAAGTGCTGGGATTACAGGCATGAGCTACCGTGCCCAGCCTCACTTTGCTTTTTTAATAGGGCTATAAAATTCCACAATCTTTCTGGAATACAATTTGACAGCACTTATCAAAACTTTTAAATTATATACTTACCTATTTGTGCTTAATTATGTGATTACCTTTGACCTACTTCTAGGAATTTATCCTGAGTAAACAATCACCATTGACACACGCAAAAGATTTAGCTCCAATGACTTTCAGTGTAGCATTTTTTTGTTTTTGTTTTTGTTTTTTTTTGAGACGGAGTCTTGCTCTGTTTTCCAGGCTGGAGTGCAGTGGTGCAATCTTGGCTCACTGCAACCTCCACCTCCCGGGTTCACGCCGTTCTCCTGCCTCAGCCTCCTGAGTAGCTGGGATTACAGGCGCATGCTATTATGCCCAGCTAATTTTTGTATTTTTCGTAGGGATGGGGTTTCACCATGTTGGCCAGGATGGTCTCCATCTCCTGACCTCGTGATCCACCCATCTTGGCCTCCCAAAGTACTGGGATTATAGGCATGAGCCATGGCGCCCAGCCACATTTTTTTCTATATTATGAAAAAATTGGAGACAACAAAAATATCCAAGACTTAGTAGATGATCTGAATATTTTTTGGCACATTATACAAGGGAATATTTGAGATAATTAAAATATTATAGAAGATTACTTTAGGATAGAGAAAAGTGGCAATGATACATTGTTAAATGAAAACAGCAAGTGATAATATGTTATATTTGTATAATTTGGCCCAATTAATTGTTTTAAAGTGTGTACTCTGTGTGTGTATATGCATTTTTAAAAATCCCCCAAAAGACTGAAAGGAAATCCCACAAAATATTATTAGTATTAATATCTAGATAGTGAGACTAAAGGTGATTTAAAAATCTTGCTTTTACTCCCATATCTTCTACATTTTCTTCAATGAATCTACACAGTTTTGTTATAAAATTATATATATTAATATATGTTTTATATATAGTACATAAATAACTAGGGGCGGGGGGATGATAATCCTCCTGCAGAATAGGCTTTCTCCCAGAATAGAAAATGAGGAATCCAGATCTCTGGTAGTAGTAGAGACTGAAAGAAGGAAGTGGTTTACGAAGAAAATGAAAAGGACAAAGAAGCACTCAGTAGAAATCATTCCACATTAAGTTGATTCTGCAGAGAACTACAGAGGGCACTAAAAGAACACTGAGTATTTTGTATTATAAAACTTTAAAAATTTTACTGGTCCCCACAGCACTCATGTGGTGATTCTGGCCTAGCATCCATGAGTTAGTCCCCTCCTAACCGCTATTTCACAATACTGCAAAATGTACGCCTCTGTCCCGGAGAACAAAAGTTATCATGGCAAATGTATATTTTGTGTTTTAATATCCCCCCACTTCCTGCTTCTTTGTCCTTCTGTTCTCTGTATTTTCTCCTATTTTATAACAATATTTCATAAGTCATTTGAGACTTAAACTCTGCTAACCCTAGCTTCTTTCATATTGGACATATGATCTTGAGAAAGTCACTACACCTCTTGGGACGCTGTTTACCTTATTCAGTGAAGGAATTAGATCAGGGTCCCCTCCTACTAGAAGATATGGAGATTCTGTGGTAATGAATAATCATCTGATAACTGATCTTGAAATTCACCCAAGGTCCTTTTTCCCAAGTCTCTGTTTCCTGCCCTAAAATATACCTAGTGCCCAAAGACCTGCAAGAAAGAATCTTCCTCTCTCCCTCCTTCTTTCCTTCCCTTCCTCCCATCCTTTCTTCTTTCCTTCCTTTCTTTCTTCCTTTTTCCCTTTCTTCCTTCCCTCACCAAACACTAAAAACAATGTGTGAGGTATCTGGTCAGATCTTTTGTCTACTTCTTAATTGGCTTGTTTGTCTTTTTATTATTGAGTTGTAAGAGTTCTTTACGCATTCTAGACATATATCCCTTATCTGATAAATAATTTGAAGAAAAAATCCATTCAGTAGGTTGCCTTTCCAATTTTTTCTTTCTTTCTTTCTTTTTCTTTTTTTTTTTTCTCAGATGGAGTGTCGCTCTTGTTGCCCAGGCTAGAGTGCAATGTGGCATGATCTCGGCTCACCACAACCTCCACCTCCCAGGTTCAAGCAATTCTCCTGCCTCAGCCTCCCGAGTAGCTGGGATTACAGGGATGTGCCACCATGCCCAGCTAATTTTGTATTTTTAGTAGAGATAGATTTCTCCATGTTGGTCAGGCTGGTCTCGAACTCCCGACCTCAAGTGATCTGCCTGCCTCGGCCTCCCAAAGTGCTGGGATCACAGGTGTGAGCCACCGTGCCCGGCCGTCTTTTTAATTTTTTATGGTGTCTTTTGAAGCATAAGAGTTTTAAATTTTGATGAAGTCCAATCAATCTCTTTTTCTCTTGTGGCTTGTGTTTTATTTGTCCTGTCTAAGAAACCACCACCTAATCCAAGCTCTGAAGATTTATGCTTATATTTTCACCTATGAGTATAATAATTTTACCTCTTACGCTTAGGCCTTTAACCATTTCTGGTTAATTTTTATATATGGTGTCAGGTAAGGGTCCAATTTCATTTCATTACACTTGAATACACAGTTGGTCTCCCAGCACCATTTGTTAAAACGGACAGCATTTTGTTTGGATTTATGTTGATAATTCAGTGGCCTATATGTGCTTTCTGTTGGCCAGTGGCCATCATTTCCCTTTGAATCCCCTGAAATCTTCTACAGTAGTGGTCTTGATTTTTTCTCTCAAACCTCTAGAGAAGGTCATGAAACTAACTTAGTGATTCATAACCAACAAAGTAGAATAGGAAATAGAATTTTAAAAATCAGGCCAGGCGCGGTGGCTCACGCCTGTAATCCCAACACTTTGGGAGGCCGAGGCGGGAGGATTACTTGAGGTCAGGAGTTCGAGACCAGCCTGGCCAACATGGTGAAACCCTGTCTCTACTAAAAATACAAAAATGAGCCGGGCATGGTGGCATGCGCCTGTAATCCCAGCTACGAGGGAGGCTGAGGCACGAGAATGGCTTGAACCCAGAGGCAAATATTGCAGTGAGCTGAGGTCGCACCACTACACTCCAGCCTGGGTGACAGAGTGAGACTCCATCTCAAAATAAATAAATTAAGTAATGAATTAATTAAAGTAGATACATAGGTACAAGCATTAGCATAGAGGTCTCCAGGCCAGGCACAGTGGCTTATGCCTGTAATCCCAACACTTTGGGAGGCTGAGGCAGGTGGAAGCTGCTTTAATGAGGTCTCAGTTATGAAACCATAATTCGTTTATTAATTCAGTCATCCATTGAAAATAAACTGAATGCCTACTTTGTGTCAGGTAGTCTTCATGACAAAGTCTCTGCCTTCAGGAAGCTCACTTTTAGTGGGGGTGACAGAATATGAATTATTAATGAAAACTAATGATGAAGGTCTTGCAAAGATTATTGATATGGAGCAGAACTTTGGGTCTTTGGTTAATAAGCATTTATGAGTGTGGTTACACCTTTATAGATCAAAAATATAAGTGGAGTAGAGTATGACACTCCCAATTCCAGATCAGCTCATCTTCCTCCATTCTAGGTCCATTCTTCCTCCATTCTGCGCCCAGAGATTGGAAGATATTAAAAAGATTTAGTTTCTTCCTTGTCCCGGGGCTACTCTGTCTCTCCACATTGAAGGATTTAGTAAGGGAAAGTACATCATAGGCCATAGAATGCCTCAGATGAGTAGGAACCAAACTGCCTCTGTGAGTAGATTTACCTTTTTTTTTAACTCAAAAAGCATAAATATTTGTAAAGCAAACAGCAACAATAACAACAACAAACTGTACCCTCCCCCTACAAGTACCCTTTTTCATTTTGTCTTAACAATATCAACCACCCCTAGGAGGAGGGGAAATACTGATTAGTGACACTGTTGTTTAAAGAAGTGGCACATAGAACCCATTAGAAAAAGATTTTGAGCAGTTTCAATTGATATGGAAAATTTCCCACAACAAAAGAAACAAGCAACAACAAGCAAGCTAACAAAAAATTGTCAAACAGCTTCTCCAGTCCTGGCAATTCCAGAGTTACTGGTTTGCTGCATCAGTCTCTTAATAACCTCAACAGGATGAGGCTGCTTTCTTGAAAGGTGACTTAGCAGTGACTTAGGAATCAAGAAGCAAAATCAAAATTTAGTATTGAAAGACCATGATTACAAAAGCAAAGACCTATCTACTTTTCTACAGGGTTGAAATAACTGATGCATGGTAAACATTTTATACTGAGTTAGTTAGCAAAAGTATTAGAATTTGCAGAGAAAAAAAAAATCTTCATTCCAGCCCTAAATAAGGGATTTAGATTCCAGCCTTAAATCCAAAGATAATCCCTTGGATAGAAGTTACTGGCTCACACCTGTAATCTCAGCACTTTGGGAGGCTGAGGTCAGGAGTTGGCTGACCAACATGGTGAAATCCCATCTCTATTTAAAAAAATACAAAAATCAGCCAGATGTGGTGGCAGGCACCTATAATCCCAGCTATTAGGGAGGCTGAGGCAGGAGAATCACTTGAACCAAGAGGGCAGAGGTTGTAGTGAGCCAAGATTGCACCACTGCACTCCAACCTGGGCAACAGAGTGAGATTCTGTGTGAGAAAAAAAACAAAGAAGAAGAAGAAGAAGAAGTTACTTAAATTTACCAAGCATACAATTTTTCATTTATAGAATGAAAGTAATAATACCTGCCTCATAGATGTGATGGAATAATATACATTGTTAAGTACATCATACAGGTATTCAGTACAGTACTGGGCATAGGACTAAGCAATCAATAACTTTTGCCATTAGAAATCACATCAGTAACAATAATAAAACAGATTCCCACTGGGGGAGTTAAATCACCCAAGTTACTCCAGACTCACTCTAGGAAGGGCTTCTGAAAACCTCACATAACTCAAAATACGCATAATTTCAGACAGATTTTTCCCTTAAGAATGAATGTAATGCAAGAAATAGCCTCCGTGCACATAAACCTAGGGCATTGTAGTGCATTTCTTATAACAAACTTACTATTTAATGCAGAATGAACAAATTTTAGTGTGAGGAATTTACATTATTTCAACTTGTGTGCATAAAGTGAGACTTTAATAATATTTTTCATCTCTCACTGTTTCGAATTTGCTAATTCAAATTAGTGCAAAATATGACTGCACTGTTTATTCAGAGGCCACTCAATATCAGTGGCTATCATCTGTATAAGAAATGAGGCACAGGGGAGTGTATCATAGTATTCGGAAATATATACTCTAAGTAGAGGGGAAACAGTCGGAACTGTAAAACCTGAAACACCCAGAACTTAAATTATTGGAATTTCTTTTACAACTGGGAAGCCCATAAAAAGACACATTTTATCTGCAAAGAAACAAACAGAGGAATGCAAAACACTAAACTAAAACCCCTTCCTTCATTCCCAAGACACTTGCTGTGATGGGAGAGGAGAATACAAAAGCACGGGACAAGAGGGTCTCCTTACCAACTTCATGAGCAAAGCCCAATTTCTCGTAAAGATTTATGATTGTGGCTGCAAGTTTGGATTTATGTGCTTACACTTCTGCCTCTTAGAGGTAGACAAAAAGCCCTACCTGGGACCTTATGTCCAGATTCCACACTTAAAGCCAGATTTCCACTCACATGCTAGTCTGAAGATCACCATAGCGTGATAAGGCTTTACTGCCGCAATTCCAATGTCAGAAACTGGAAAAGAGAGAGTTTGGGTTTTGTTTTTGGTTTTTATTGAGAGGAAGGATTTCTTTTAGTTTATGATTCAGAGGGCTGGGCACGGTGGCTCAGGCCTGTAATCCCAGCACTTTGGGAGGCTGAGGCGGGCGGCTCACTCGAGGCCAGGGGTTTGAGACCACCCTGGCCAACATGGTGAAACCCCGTCTCTACTAAAACACAAAAATTAGCAGGGCGTGGTGACACACACCTGTAATCCCAGCTACTCTGGAGGCTGAGGTAGGAGAATCGCTACCTCAGAATTGCTCCCACAGAACCCGGGAGGCAGAGGCTGCAGTGAGCCAAGATCGCACCAGTGTACTCCAGCCTGGGTGACAGAGTGAGACTCCATCTCAAAAAAATTTTTAAAAAATTATGAGTCAGTCTTTGATCTTTAGTTATTCCTATTTTGGTTTTCAAAATGGGATGTGAATATATAATTTACATGGCAGTAATTATATTCAGGAGATAAGGTCCTGAAAACCTCATATAACTCCAAACTTGCCTAATTCTAGACAATGTATTCCTCCAGAGGAATAAATATAACATGAGGAAAAGTATTCTTAGAACACATAGGCCTATAACACTGTATAACATTTCTTAGAGCAAATATTTAAATGCTTAAAAAAATAAACTTCTCATTTTGGAATAATTTTAGACTTATAGACAAGTTGCAAACACAGTATAGAGAATTTCCACATATTCCTTCACCCAGTTTTCCCTGTTGCTGATATTTTACATTACCCAGGTACATTTGTCAAAACTAAGAAAACAACATTGATAAAGTTAACTGAACTCTAGATCTTATTTGAGTTTTTCTAATTTTTCTGCTTTCCCATTAATGCATCTTTTTTTGTTTTGGTTCTAGAATCCAATCCAATTTTAGTACTTTTGGTTTAAGGAGAATTCACATTATTTATAATTTGCACAAACTAATAACATTTTTATATAGCGCTGTTTCCAATTTGCGAAATTTAAATTGGTATGAAATGTAATTGCGCTACGTATCAAAGACTTTTCGTTGGTTTGAACAAAAGAGTAGTTGAAGAATTAGCCTACTACAGTGGCTTGAGCCAGTGGTGTTCAAATTAAAGTGGCAGGGGAGATGTGTTTTGTACTGGGTTTCAGCTGAAGATTCCATTGAAGAAAATCACCAGTAGAGAAAATCCAAGGAAACTATTCAAAATAATTTAAGAAATGCTAAAAATGAACAAACTCAAAACTGGATATGATGGCGTTATAAGAAACACTCAGAAAATTTTCTAGCCAGGCATCATTTTTATACCAATCGTTTAAGCTCTTTACTGCAAAGAACACACAAGTAAACTATGTAGTCATACATATTGCAAATTATCCTCCATTTATTATTACTATTATTAAAATAGTAAAAGCTCCTATAAATCAATAGAAAAATGGACTGAGGGTACAATCAGTTTATGACTAATAAGCATATGAAAAAATGTTCAAACTCATTTTCAAAGAAATGCATATTAAACTGCAACGCACGTATTTTTTAATTTGTCAAACTGGTGATGGTAATTCACAGTGTGGGCTTCTGTTGAAAGAATAAGGCACTCCTATGCATTGCTAAAGGGAGTAAAACTTGATACAGCTTTATTTAATGACAGCTTGGCAATATATGTTTCATTTTATTGCTAATTTAAGAACCACTCCAGGCTGGGCGTGGTGGCTCATGCCTGTAATCCCAGCACTTTGGGAGGCTGAGGCAGGTGGATCACGAGGTTAGGAGATCGAGACCAACCTGGCCAACATGGTGAAACCTCGTCTCTACTAAAAAAATACAAAAATTAGCTGGGCATGGTGGTAGGCACCTGTAATCCAGCTACTCAGGAGGCTTTGGCAGGAGAATCACTTGAACCTGGGAGACGGAGGTTGCTGTGAGCCGGGATCGTGCCATTGCACTCTAGCCTGGGTGACAAGAGCAAGACTCCATCTTAAAAAAAAAAAAAAAAAGAACCACTCCAAAATATAGTGGCTTCAATGCACAACAATTTATTATTTCTCATATTTCTCTGGATTGGTGAGGTGGTCTTCTGCTCCATGTAATGTTGGCCAGGGTCCCTAATACAGCTGTACTTAGCTGGGAGCCAGTTTGAGGCAAGAATGCCTAAGGCTCCTTCCTTTTCTACTTGTCCTTTCTTTCCATTCGGCCTCTCATCATTCATGAGCCTATCTTGAAGATCCTTCATGTTGGGTGGATTTCAAGGAAGCAAAAATGGAAGCTGACAGAGCTTCTCAAGGACAAGGTCTGAGAGTGGTGACATGCTGGAGCCAATTTGCACAGGCTCCTGAAAGCCAGCTGTGCTTGTCTATTCCCAACTCCATGGTCGGTGATATCACGCTGATAGCTTGAAATCAGCCGTGGTGGGAGTATTTACACCACAGAAATAGGCAAGTGATCTAAATTAGGGCTTTAACAAATTTTTTTATAGATCTGGTTTTCCAGAACACTATTGTCTGAAAGTCACACGGCAACTTTGTTGCCTTCTGTTTGTCCAAGCAAGTCACAAGGCCAGCCCAGAGTTCATGAGAGGGTGGGGGTGGCGGCAAATAGACTCTGTCTCTTGTTCAGAGAAGTGGCAATAAAACCATGACCATCTTGAGTCAACGACAGTCTGCCCTCTGGCAATGAATTATTTACATTCTTTCAACCCCTCCCAACATACTGCAAAGTCTTATCCTATCAAAGCATCAGGCCCAATATTCACGATCAGTTATATGTCCAGATGTGGATGTAGCTCCTCTGGTACAGCTTTCCTGGATCTAAAGACCTGTAAACTGTTTTCTGATCCTCCCCAGATACCCCTAACTCCCTCATCCCCACCAGGAATGCAATAGTTAGAAAGGGAAAGGAAACCCACAACAGACGTTCCATTCAGTTGCAGCTGGAATATATAAAATCACTTCTCATCTTCTAGGGCTTCTCCAGGTGACCTCTCTTCATTCAGTAGTCCAGCCCAAAGTTCTTTATAGCATAGTGGCTGGCTTCTGGAGGGCAAAAGGAGAAACTGCCAGGCCTCTTAAGGCTACCCCTAGAACTAGAAGAGTGTCATCATACCTAGGGTTGCCAGATTTAATAAATAATAATACAGAATGCCCAGGTACATTTGAATTCCAAATAAACAACAAATTTTTTTTTAGTATAAGTATGTCCCAATTTTCTGTTTACTTGATATTCAAATTTAACTGGTAAAAGAAAAAACTATTTTTCTGTGCTACTCACACAACACTTCTGACACCAAATGTATGGGTTTTTTGTTTCCGCACATCAACCAATTCCTCAATTCTTAGTGTACATTGACTGAGCATCTTACAATTTCTTTTTTTTTTTTTTTTGAGATGGAGTTTCACTCTTGTTGCCCGGGCTGGAGTGCAATGGCACGACCTCAGCTCACTGCAACTTCTGCCTCCCAGGTACAAGCGATTCTCCTCCCTCAGCATCTTGAGTAGCTGGGATTACAGGCCTCCCCCACTACACCAGGCCAATTTTTGTATTTTTGGTAGAGATGGGGTTTTGCCATGTTGACCAGGCTGGTCTCGAACTCTTGACATCAGGTGATCTGCCCTCCTCTGCCTCTCAAGTGCTGGGATTACAGGCGTGAGCCACTGCGCCTGGCTGCATCCTACCATTTAACTCAATTCTGACACTAACTGCCCAGAGTTAGTGCAAACCCCATAGCTTAAGGGCTCAGTCCCACAAAACCACCCCCATCCACCCACACTTCAGATGCCAATCACAAGTGATGGGCACTTATCCACAACTTCTGTATGACTTGGCTACAAATCAAAGGCTCCCACAACCACCTCTTCAGGTTCAATAATGAAACCACCTTTGCAAAATTATGAGAGTAAGAGCAATCTGACATAGTGTGCTTCAGCTAG
Organism: Homo sapiens; assembly: GCF_000001405.40. NCBI lineage: Eukaryota > Metazoa > Chordata > Mammalia > Primates > Hominidae > Homo > Homo sapiens. The sequence continues at coordinate 113,808,020 of NC_000002.12, forward strand.
CTTCTAACCTCCAAACTGTACTTGGTTATTCCTGGGTGTAGGCCAAGATAACTTTAGGAGGAATTTAGTTTATAGCTTAACCTTAAAGATGATAATAGCCTTTCCCAAAACTAAACCCCCTTTGTAAAACTAATGAAAGTCCACAAGGTTATGGTTATGAGAGAGGCCTGAATTCTGCTAAGATGTAAGCATAAACAATAACCAGCCATTGCTCCATAGGTCACAAGATTTGTAACCTCCCCAATTATTGCTGTAGATAACATCACTATTGTATTGTATTGTAGATCCTAAGATTGGTTTTTGAGATGTCTTTTCAGACTTTGGCATTTCTTTTTTTGTTTGTTTGTTTTTTTGTTTGTTTTTTGAGATGGGGTCTCACTCCGTTGACTAGGCTGGAGTGCAGTGGCACGATCTCAGCTCACTGCAACCTCCGCATCCTGGGTTCAAGCAATTCTCCTGCCTCAGCCTCCCAGGTAGCTGGGATTACAGTTGCCTGCCACCACGCCCGGCTAATTTTTGTATTTTTAGTAAAGACTAGGTTTCACCATGTTGGCCAGTCTAGTCTTGAACTCCTGACTTCAAGTAATCCGCCTGCCTCGGCCTCCCAAAGTGCTGGAATTACAGGCATGAACCACTGCACCCAGCAGACTTTTGCATTTCTTATCCACCCTAACCATGGGGTCCATGGCCCTCACCCAAAGGCCACACCCATATCACCTTATCTTCAGCCAATCAACATTCCCCACTCCCTAGCCCCCAACACCAAACTATCCTTGAAAAACCCTAACTCTGAGCCTTTGAGGAGACTGATTTGAGTAATAACTCCACCTACTGCAATGCTGAAGTCTCAGTGAGTTGATTTTATCTGTGCACCCATTGGGCAGTTACAATAATTTGCTAGAATGGTTCACAAACCTAGGGAAAGCTTATTTACTATTCCTGATTTATTACAAAAGAAATTTTAAAGGATATATATATAAACAGATGGAAGAGATGTGAGAAATAAAATAAAATCCTAATCCCTCCAACCAACAAAATGGACCCCCTCTTGGCCAAGAGTACCCCCAAGAAACCTTGAAAATTGAGTTTCTAGCGATGACTCGATGGGAGATAGGACACATCTCATTATACCCCCTTCCTTGCTAGCTGCCGTTAGGCTTTCTTCCCTAAGGGTTAAACAGAAACCAACCCTTTCAAAAGACTCTTTGCACCACTGATTTCAACCAACCATCTGACACTGCTCCTCCCTTTTTGGATTTTGACAAAGCAACTGACCAGCCTTCCTTCCTGATAAGACACCACTGACAACGGAGTGGTTCTGGCCAGTCTATGGAGAATGCACAATAAGGGTTTTCATGTCCCGTGCTTCACCTTTTGACATAAGAGGGCTGAAAACTCCATCCTCAGATTATGCTAATGAGGCCATTTTTTTGAACAGGGATCCCATGAAGGGACATGAAGCTCAATTGTGCATGCACACATTTCTCCTTTCATAAATATTCATGTCTCCTCCTATAACTTATTAAATATGTATATTCAGCCACCCTGCTCAGCATAAATTCATGTTCCTTTTGCCACTCCCTCAAAATGTCTGTTTCCAGCTTCTGCCCAGAGGCTACATTTCTCAGCCTGCCAGAATAGCCACCCTCAGGCTGCAACCCTTTATAAAGAATAAAGCTCTCCTTTACAAATTTATGAACCTCATCATTCTTCAGTTGACAGATGCATGGGACAAGGTATAGAGGTGGGGTATGCAGCTTCTATGTCCTCTCTGGGTTACCACTCTCCTAGCACCTCCATGTGTTCATCAACCTGAAAGCTCTCCAAAACCCTGCCACATAGGGTTCTCATGGAGGTCCATCACATTGCCATAGCATAATTAATGAAATCATTGGCCGTTGGTGATTGAACTCAATCTCTAGCCCCTCTCCCTTCTTTGCAGGTCAGAGGATGAGCTGAAGGGTCCAACTTGTTCAAGCCTCAATCACCTGGTTAGTTCCCTTGACAAACAGCTCCTCATTCTAGGGCTTTCCAAAAGTCTTTTCCCTTACAAAAGACGCTCCTTTTCCTCTATAAGAAATTTCCAAAGGTTTTAAGAGCTATGTGCCAGAAACTGGGGATGAAGACCAAATATATATATCTTATTATATCACAATATTATAACTGGGTATTTTATTTGGTGGCCCTACTTCCACCATATTCTACAGGCAAGTCATCCAGGGATAAGGGAGTGACATCACCTTTTGATGGGATGAGTGGCTTGCTTGTACAGGGAAGAGAGGAGTTAATGGTGTTCAACTTTGCAGACTACCACCCTATAGCAAGAGCCTTGAAAATGTATACTTCACTGTTAAACCAGTGATTCTATTTCTAGTGATTTACTTAAGCACATGAGTAAATATGAGCCAAAGATTTAGCTACATGGATGTTCATTGTAGAAGTGATTATAATAGTGAAAAATAGAAAACAACCTAGATATACAAAGAGACAAATTTATTTACTAAATTATAGTATATCCCTAAACCAATGCTATGTAACTGTTAAAAGTTATGTAGAGAGTATCCATTTCTTTATTCTTTTTTTTTTTTTTTTTTTTTTTTTTCTGAGACAGAGTTTCACTCTGTCACCTAGGCTAGACTGCAGTGGCGTGATCTCAGCTCATTGCAGCCTCCACCTCCCGGGTTCAAGCAATTCTCCTGCCTCAGCTTCCCAAGTAGCTGGGATTAGAGGTATGCACCACCACAACTGGCTAATTTTTGTATTTTTAGTACAGACAGGGTTTCACCATGTTGGCCAGTCTGGTCACAAATCCCTGACCTCAAATGATCCACCCACCTGGGCCTCCCAAAGTGCTGGGATTACAGGCATGAGCTACCTCACAGGCCTCTTTATTCTTTCTTATAAAACAAAAAAATGTATTGAGCTCCAAATATGTGTAAAGTACTGTGTTGAGCCTTGAGGATACAGTAAACAATGCAGCAAATTTCTGGCTTCAGGGATCATAGAGGCCAAAGAAGGAAGTTTGACGTAAAAGACATAATCTGACTAATTGACTATAAGTGGGATAATTACTCAGAGAGAAAACTATTAGGTGTTATGAAATCATCAAGGGACCTAATGTACTGGGGGCTGGTCTAGGAATAGGGGCAGGAAATGAAGGCAAAGGATAGGGGGAGAGAGTATGAGGCAGAGGAAAGAGCAACAGGATTCTAAATGTATATTCATTTACACTGAAAGATGATCATAATATACAGTTTGGTATGAGATGCTAATTAGACACCCAAGTACAGATGCCAAGTAGTATTTAGATACAGGGGATGCGACTCTGGGGAAGATTACAGTTTGATATTGATATAGTTTGGATCTGTGTCCCCACCCAAATCTCATGTTGAACTGTAATCCCCAATGTTGGAAGTCAGGACTGGTGGGAGGTGATTGGGTCATGGGGGCGGATTTTTCTCAGAAATGGTTTAGCACCATCTTGTTGGTGCTGTTCTTGTGGTAGTGAGTGAATTCTTACAAGATCCGGTTGTTGAACATGCATGCAGCCCCTCCCTCCCCTCTCTTGCTCCATTCTCATCGTGTGATGTTCCTGCTCTCCCTTTGCCTTCTGCTATGATTGCAAGTTTCCTGAGGCCTCCCCTAGAAGTGGATGCCACTATGCTTCCTGTACAGACTACAGAACCACAAGCCTCTTTTCTTTGTAAATTACCCAGTCTCAGGTATTTCTTTATAGTAACGCAAGAATGGCCTAATATAGATATATACATTTGAGAGTTACTATCCTGCAGTCAATAAGTAGACAGTGCTATTAAAAAAAATCAGGAGAGTGGGGTATTATGTAAGCCAAGATAAGAAAGAGTTTCAAGAGGTAGAAAGTGGTCACTTGGGACAAAGGCAGCTGAGGTGTTAAGACGAAATCAGAAAAGTGACCATTGTATTTGGTGACATGAAGGTCACTGGCTAATCTCTTAGAAGTTTCAGATGTAGTGGGGAGGACAGAAGTCTAATTGAAATGGATTGAGGTGAGAGAACAGGTGATGTCATGGGGAAAACCATTCATTCAGCAGCTAGACAGGAATGGGAAATCAGGAGCAAGTTTATTTGCTGGTGAATACAATCCCCTGGAGAGGGAAATCAAGAATGCAAGAGAGAAAGGTCGATTTGTAGGAGTAAAGTCCTTCATAAGTTACAAGGAGGTAAGATCCAGAGTAGAAGTGAAGGGTTAGCCTTAACTAGGAGCAGAGACACTTTCTCCTATAGAAAGAATGGGTCCCAATTCAGAATGCTAGAGAGATGAGAGAGTGCTTGTTTGCTTCTTTTTTTTGTGAATCATGAATCAAGGTCATCAGTAAGAAGGAGAGGGAGGAAAGGGGAGATTAGAAACATACCAGAATAGCTTCAGCCTGGGAGGCAGACGTTGCAGTGAGCTGAGATCGTGCTCCTGCACTCCAGCCTGGACAGAGGGGGACTCTGTCTCGAAAGAAAGAAAAAAAAAGAAAAGAAAGAAAAAGAAAGAAAATGCCCCAAGTGTACTTTACATCTCGGGTTTATTACACTAATTTGAAAATAATACATGTATACAACACTTTCACTTACCCAATAAACTCTACAGTTTCTCAGGGACCCAAACAAGAGAAAGAATGAAGAGGAGGAGCACCATCGTAAGTATCAAGAACAATAGTGCACCAGTCAAGATGAAGTTTTGGAAGAATTTTATTTAAAATCCCTAGGGGAGGCCGGGCAGGGTGGCTCATGCCTGTAATCCCAGCACTTTGGGAGGCCGAGACGAGCGGGTCACTTGAGGTCAGGAGTTCGAGACCAGCCTGGCCAACATGGTGAAACCCTGTCTCTACTAAAAAGTACAAAAACTGGTCGGGCGCCGTGGCTCACATCTGTTATCCCAGCACTTTGGGAGGCCGAGGCAGGCAGATCACGAGGTCAGGAGATGGAGACCATCCTGGCTAACACGGTGAAATCCCATCTCTACTAAAAATACAAAAAATTAGCCAGGTGTGGTGGCAGGTGCCTGTAGTCCCAGCTACTCGGGAGGCTGAGGCAGGAGAATTGGGTGAACCCAGGAGGTGGAGCTTGCAGTGAGCCGAGATCGCGCCACTGCACTCCAGCCTGGGTGACAGAGCGAGACTCCGTCTCAAAAAAAAAAAAAAAGTACAAAAATTGGCCGGCCGTGGTGGTGAGCCCATGTAATCCCAGCTACTCGGGAGGCTGAGACAGCAAAATTGCTGAACCTGGGCAGTGGAGGTTGCAGTGAACTGAGATCGCGCCACTGCACTCCAGCCTGGGTGACAGAGTGAGACTCTGTCTCAAAAAAAAAAAAAAAAAAAAATTCCCTAGGGGAATTTAATAATCACATGTTAAAATTGTATTATCTTAGTCTATTTTGTGCTGCTACAAAAATGCCTGAGACTGGGTGATACAGTTTGGCTGTGTCCCCCAAATCTCATCTTGAATTGCAGCTCCCATAATTTCCACATGGGAGTCACCGGGTGGGAGGTAATTGAATCATGGCAGAGAGTCTTTCCCATGTTGCTCTCCTAATAGTGAATAAGTCTCACAAGATCTGATGGTTTTACAAATGGGAGTTCCCTGGCACAAGCTCTCTCTTGCCTGTCACCACGTAAGACGTCTCTTTGCTTCTCCTTTGCTTTCTGCCATGATTGTGAGGCCTCCCCAGCCATGTGGAACTGTGAGTCCATTAAACCTCTTTCCTTTATAAATTACCCAGTCTCAGATATATCTTTCTTAACAGTTTGAGAACAGACTAATACACGAGGTGATTTATTTATTTCTACTTTATTCTTTTAAAATTTAGAGGCAGAGTTCCCAATGTGGCCCAAGCTGGAGTGCAGTGGCTATTCACAGGTGTGATCATTGTACACTAAATCCTGGAACTCCTGGGCTTAAGAGACTCTTTCCACCTCAACCTTCTATGTAGCTGGGACTACAGGCACCTGCTGCTGTGCCCAGCTCTAAGACTGGGTAATTTATAATAAACAGAAATTGATTGGCTTGTAGTTCTGAAGGCTGGAAAGTCCAATATCAAGGTGCCAGCATTTGGCAAGGGGCTTCTTGCTGTGTTACCATATGGTGGGAGGTGAGAGGGCAAGAGCAGAGGGAGAGAAACAGACAGACAGAGGAGGCCAAACTTGCCCTTTTATAATGGCACCAATCCCACCAGTGAGGATATAGCCCTTGTGACCTAATCGCCTCTTCAAGATTCTACCTCTTAACACTGTTGCGATGGCAATTAAATTTCAACATGAAAACAAAAACAAATTTAAAAAATAAATTTCAATACGAGTTTTAGAGGGGACAAAAATTCAAACCATAGCATTCATTAATGTTAACGTAGCAATCAGGAAAACTCCTAAGTCATGGATGGAAGAAGTTGTCAAAGTCTTATTCAGAGTCATGCATTATAGAATGAACACAGACCCAGTGCAATAATGTCTATTTTAGTGACTTAACCAATGCATTAAATTGCTTATCTAGGCAGGCGTGGTGGCTCATGCCTGTCAATCCCAGCACTTTGGCAGGCCGAGGCAGGCGGAACACCTGAGGTCAGGAGTTCGAGACCAGCCTGGCCAACATGGTAAAACCCTGTCTCTATTAAAAAAACAAAAATTACCCAGGAGTAGTGGTGCACGCCTGTAGTCCCCCCTACTTGGGAGGCTGAGGCAGGAGAATCGCTTGAACCTGGAAGGCAGAGGTTGCAGTGAGACAAGATTGTTGTTAGAAAAGAGACTAAATAATTAAATGATGTATTTATCATGGCCAAGGCAGACTAGACATGAAAGGACTTGTAAGATAAAGTCATTATGATTGAATGCAATGAACTACTGTAAATTGCACAAACTACCTGATTGACACCAAGAGTTGATACTCCTGGGAGTATTTTTCAGAAGCTATTAGAAAAAAAATGAAATTTGAGAAGAGCTTTTGGGTCATCAGCATCTATATTTAGAATCTTCATACAATCATAGATCGCAGCACTTTAGCACCAAGAGAAAAATGAAATGGGGTTATCTCCTCTTTTTATTGCTTTTTTCTTTTTCATTGAATACACTAGAAGTTTCTGTGATGAGACAAATCTAAGGCTTAAAAATAGATGTTACTATTTCCACATGGGGCTAAAATATGATCATTTAAAATGTATTAGTATTCATAGTGTAATACAAATTTTTAAAAGCATGGCCAGGCCTGGTGGCTCATGCCTATAATCCTAGCACTTTGGGAGGCCTAGGCAGGAGGATCTTTTGAGGCCAGAAATTTGAACTCAGCCTAGGCAACATAGCGAGACTCCCATCTCTATAAAAATTAAAAATTAAAAATTTAGTTGGGCATGATGGCATGCACCTGTAATTCTAGCTACTTAGGAGGATGAGGTGGGAGGATTACCTGAGCCGAGGAGTTCGAGGTTGCCGGGAGCTATAATCATACTACTGCACTCCAGGCTGGGTAACAGAGTGAGACCCTGTGTCAAAAAAAGAAAAAAAGCAAACATTTACTGAGCACTTAAGTACTAAACATTATTCTTGCTTGTACTTTTTTTTGTTTTGTGTTTGTTTGTTTTTGAGACCGAGTCTTGCCCTGTTGCCCAGGCTGCAGTACAGCAGCATGATCTCGGCTCACTACAACCTCCACCTCCTGGGTTCAAGAAATTCTCCTGCCTCAGCCTCCCAAGTAGCTGGGATTACAGGTGTGTGCCACTATGCCTGGCTAATTTTTGTATTTTTAGTAGAGATGGGGGTTTGCCATGTTGGCCAGGCTGGTCTCAAACTCCTGACCTCAAGTGATCCGCCTGCCTTGGCCTCCCAAAGTGATGGAATTACAGGTGTGAGCCACTGTGCCTGGCCTGCTTGTATGTATTATTTTAAGTAATCTTCAAAACATCTAAAACATCTTCATGCTATTTACTATTACTATCTACATTTTGCAGAACAGGAAACTGTGGTTCATCAAATCCAATATAATAAAAACAGATACTTACAAATACTGCATAACTGTTCTATGCCAAGTATATTACAGTTGTCCCTCAGTATTCTTGGGGGGATTGGTTTTAGGACCGCTGCAGATCTTTCAGGTCTGACTACAGGCAATTATGAAGGCAAAATCCAGGCATACCCAAGTCTTGCAGTTGGCCCTGGGGAAACTACCTGTATGAAGACTGGCCCTCTGTATCGTAGGTTTCACATTAGAACACTGTATTTTTCGTCCTCTTTTGGTTGTGGATGTGGAACCTGAGGATAAGGAGGGTCGACTATATTTATTGACAAAAACTCGTATATAAGTGGACGAGGATAGTTCAAACCGGTGTTGTTGAAGCTGCACTGTGTTCAGGGGATGCCGAAAGTCTGTTTGGAGGGTCAAAAAAGTTTCACAAAAGAGGTGTCATCTGAGCTGGATCTTTAAGGATAATAGCCAATGGGAGAAAGACAGATAAAATAACTGGAGGCTGGGTGCAGTGGCTCACGCCTGTAATCCCAGCACTTTGGGAGGCCGAGGCGGGTGGATCATGAGGTCAGGAGATTGAGACCATCCTGGCTAACACGGTGAAACCCCGTCTCTACTAAAAATACAAAAAAATTAGCCGGGTGTGGTGGTGCTCACCTGTAGTTCCAGCTACTCGGGAGGCTGAGGCAGGAGAATCACTTGAACCTGGGAGGCAGAGGTTGCAGTGAGCCGAGATCACGCCACTGCACTCCAGCCTGAGTGACAGAGCGAGACTCCCTCTCAAAAACAAAACAAAACAAAACAAAAACAACTGGAAAAGTGTACAGCTGGGACAAGGTCCTGGTCTCACAGGAAACTGAGCATTGACTGCAAACCTGAGCAGAAAATATGAAGTTAGAGAGTGGTGGGAAATGAGGCTGAAGATGTAATGAGAGGCCGACTGTGACGGTCATATATGAAGCTGTCAAGGTTGGGATGAATCCTGCAGTGCCACACTGCGTCAGAGACATACACACTGAGCGACAGGATCAGCTTTGGAGCAAAAGGGATGAGGTTTACAAAAAAGGTATTGTTCATGAACGTAAGCAGAGAAGCCACCTTTATGATAGGTTTCTGAGCAAATATATTAAGCTTTGAAATTTAATGACATAAAACCTGGATTTGTCACAACATATCTGCATTATGAATTGATGCTGGCAATTACCAGATAGTATCACTGGAAGGTTTTCAACTAATAGACAACTACATCACAGCTGCCACCTGCTTGACAGCGATTATAGAATGCCATCCCAATATAAGATGCAATCTGATTTTAGATATGTTAAGATGTAAGGAGGGAAACATGTTTAGAATTAATGAAATGGGGGGCACTGTATTAAAAATATATCCAAAAAGGCCGGGCATGGTGGCTCACGCCTGTAATCCCAGCACTTTGGGAGGCCAGGGCGGGTGGATCACAAGGTCAGAAGTTCAAGACCAGCCTGGCCAAGATGGTGAAACCCTGTCTCTACTAAAAATACAAAAATTAGCCAGGCATGGTGGCAGGCACCTGTAATCCCAGCTACTCGGGAGGCTGAGGCAGAGAATTGCTTGAACCCAGGAGGCAGAGGTTGCAGTGAGCCGAGACCGTGCCACTGCCCTCCAGCCTGGGCGATAGAGCAAGACTCCGTCTCAAAAAAAAAAAAAAAAAAAAAAAAAATATATATATATATATATATATATATATATATATATCTCCAAAAATCCAACCAGCTCTCCCTACTTCCAGTCTCATCTCTCTGGTCCAAACCCACATCATCTCTTTCCTGGATTATTACAGTAGTCTCCTAACAGATCTCCCTGCTTCTGTCCTTAACATCCTCTCCTCTTCTCTCCCAAATCTATTCTCAGGAGGGCATCTAGAGTCAGAGCATGTTATTTCTGCAAAGTCCTCAGTGGCTTCCCGTCTCACCCAGAGAAAAAGTTCATGTTCTTGCAGTGGCTACAGGGCCCTGCAAGACCTGGTGCCTCATTAGCTCTCTGTCTCCATCACCCCTGCCCCTCTCCCTTTGCTTGCTCCACTCTAGACAAACGGACTTCCACCTCCTGAAATTTTTACCTCTTGTACCCTCTGATTGACCTGCTCTTCTCTTGGGTAGCTGCAAGTCTCAATTTCTGAAGTGTTTCACCAAATGCCACCTTTACAATGAAGCCTCGTTTGCCTGCCTTTGACTCAAATTGCTATCACACTTGTACTCCCTAACTCTCATTTACTCCCTATCTGCCTTCCCAGCTTGCTTGCTTATTTATTTATTTACCTTTTTTGTCAGCACTTACCACTAATATAGCATATATTTGGCTTGAATATTTATTATCTAGAATGTTAGTGAGGAGTCTGGCTTTTGCTTAAGCCAAATGTGTGATCTTTCAGACCTGACTACAGGCAATTACGAAGGCCTTACCTGGCAGACCTCATACAGAAAGCTGCTGCTCTCTGAGAGACATTTGGTGCACAGCCAGTGGGTCACGGTCTCTGAAGGAAGTTGCAGTCAAGGACTCAGGCTCTCCCGGTCAGTCATGCTTTTCCTATGTTTACATTCCTGGCCCCAGAGTCTTCATTGCTAGTCTCTGGCAGACCTTGGGTAGACGTCCTTTTCAGATGCCTTTGCCAAGACCTCCTTATGCGGGGAGGAGGGAGACCTTGATGATACATTCCCCTACTCTGACTCATCACCCAGGACTTGTCCACTCCAAGCTCTCGCCGCTGCCCTCCTGCTTCAGGGTCCATAAAACTGCTTTAAGCTCTTGCTTTTACCATTGCCGTGAGTGATTAAAGGCTCGGTTCTTTTATCTCTGGCTTGTTGCTGTAACCGGCTACTCTGAGAGCTCTCTCTCTCCCAGCTCAGCTGAGCTCCTGACAATTCACTTCACAAGGGTCAGGGTTTGCTCTTTGTTTTCACTGCTGTATCTCCAGCACCTAGAAAAATATCTGGCACATATCAGGTGTTCAGCAATTTGTTGAATGAATTAGTAAGTGTCTGTTCAATTAATATAATTAATTAATTCTTGGAATAGATGCCTTGTTTTAAAATTTTATTACATATTGTTAAACCGACGTATTATACACAATGTGAAAGGAGTTATTACAATAGATTAAAGTTTCAAACAATTCTGATATTTTCATTGCCCATATGCCTTAGCTTGGGCTGCTTATAACAAAGTCCCATAAACTGGTGGCTTATAAACAGGAGGCATTTCTTAGAGTTCTGCAGGTTGCCAGTTTGAGATCAGGGTCCCAGCATGGTTGGGTTCTGGTGCGGACCCTCTTCTGGGCTGCACATGACTACTGTCTTGTTGTGTCCTCACATGGCAGAAATAGGACAAGCTAGCTTTCTGGAGTCTCTTTTATAAGGTCATTAATCCCTCCATGAGGGCTCTACCCTCATGACCTAATTACCTCCCAAAAGCCCCATTTTCTATTACACTGGGGGTTAGGATTTCAACCTATGAGTTTTTTGAGGGGGATTGGTGGGGGGACAAAAACATTCAGCTCCATTGCAGCTCACAACTTTGTTTCTTCTTCCAGCCATATAATTACAGCTAAAAGGGCCATGTTTTCTAAACTGGAAAACAAAAACAAAAACAAAAACAAAAACAAAAACAGAATAGATACAATTTTGTTTGGTGTAGCCAACAGGAAGAAGCCTTGTGAATTAATATTCAAAAGGAGAAGGGGGGCCGGGTGCAGTGGCTCACAACTGTAATCCCAGCACTTCGGGAGGCTGAGGCGGGTGGATCACCTGGGGTCAGGAGTTCAAGACCAGCCTGGCCAATATGATGAAACCTCATTTCTACTAAAAACACAAAAATTAGCCAGGTATGGTGGTGCACGCCTGTAATCCCAGCTACTCGGGAGGTTGAGGCAGATGATTTCAGCCCAGGAGGCAGGGGTTTCAGTGAGCCAAGACTGTGCCACTGCACTCCAGCCTGGGTGACAGAGCAAGACTCCGTCTCAAAAGAAAAAAAAAGAGAGAGAGAGAAGGGGTAAGATCCTGGATCTTAGGTCCTAGAGTTCCATTTGTCACTAGGTTGTCATTTGAAGGATCTATACTAACAGAAACAAAATCCAGTGTGCAAGTGGCTTTTCTTTAAGGGTTTCAAAATATCAACGGAGAAACGGAAAGCAAATTACAGAAAAATTTCTGGGGAAACTAGAGACATTTGTAATATTGTAAGCTTTCAACCCATCATTATCATTGTTACAGTTCAAGAGTTGCATGTATTGGGAATGCACTCTTGCACTGTGTATGTAAGAGCAAGGAAACAAATACTGACAGACTCAAGAGCCTTTCACTTCTTCCAAGAAGTTCCTGGGCTGCCCTAAAGCTCAGACTATCCTAGCCCAGAGGAATTCAGTCCCAGGAGAAGTTCCTAAAGGACACTATAAAGTGAAGGACTCCTGGATTGATGTGCCCTAATGAAGCCTTTGTGTATTATTGGTGCATCATTCCCACAAGTCCCCTCCCTCTAAACGCAGCTTCTTCCTACCTTACCTTTCCTCGCGTTGGAGCGGCCTGGTAAGGGATTGTCTGACAAGACCTGTGTTAGTCTGCAGTCTGGGTGAGTGAGAAAGAAACAGGATTTGACAATGGCCATACCTGGGCGTGGTGGCACGTGCCTGTAACCCCAGCCTGTAATCCTCGGCCTTTGGGAGGCCGAGGCAGGCAGATTACCGGAGGTCAGGAGTTCGAGACCAGCCTGGCCAACGTGGTGAAACCCCCATCTCTACTAAAAATACAAAAAAATTAGCCGGGCGTGGTGGCACGTGCCTGTAATCCCAGCTACTTGGGAGGCTGAGGCAGGACAATAGCTTGAACCCAGGAGGCAGAGGTTGCAGTGAGCCAAGATCATGCCACTGCACTCTAGCCTGGGCAACAGAGTGAGACTCCGTCTCAAAAAAAAAAAAAGAAGAAATAGGCAATGGCCACAATACCCCTGCATCCCTTCTCTCCCTTGAAATGTGGCCCAGTCCTTTTACGCCACCTCTAGTCCCCTAAAGCTTTTCCCGATAAGACTCATCCATCACTCACTATTCCAGGACATTTCCTATTTCCTCCCCACACATCTGAACTTTTTTTTTTTTTTTTTTTTTTGAGGCGGAATCTCACTCTGTGGCCAGGCTGGAGTGCAGTGGCCTGATCTCGGCTCACTGTAACCTCCGCCTCTCGGGTTCCAGTGATTATCTTGCCTCAGCCTCCCGAGTAGATGGGACTACAGGCACGTGCCACCACGTCCAGCTAATTTTTGTATTTTCAGTAGAGACAGGGTTTCACCATGTTGGCCAGGATGGTCTTGATCTCTTGACCTCGTGATCTGCCCGCCTCCCAAAGTGCTGGGATTACAGGTGTGAGCCACTGTGCCCTGCTTGAACTTGTTTACTCAGTATTCCATAATGTTTTCTTTCCCCTTCCTTCCTTCCTTCCTTCCTTCCTTCCTTCCTTCCTTCCTTCCTTCCTTCCTTCTTTCTTTCTTTCTTTCTTTCTTTCTTTCTTTCTTTCTTTCTTTCTTTCTTTCTTTCTTTCTTTCTTTCTTTCTTTCTTTCTTTCTTTCTTTCTTTCTGACTGAATTTCGCTCTTGTTGCCCAGGCTGGAGTGCAATAGTGCGATCTCAGCTCACTGCAACCTCCACCTCCTGGGTTCAAGAGATTCTCCTGCCTCAGCCTCCCAAGTAGCTTGGATTATAGGCGCCCGCCACCATGCCTGGCTAATTTTGTATTTTTAGTAGAGACAAGGTTTCACCATGTTGGTCAGGCTGGTCTTGAACTCCTGACCTCAGGTGATCCACCCACCTCGGCTTCCCAAAGTGCTGGGATTACAGGCGTGAGCTATCACACCCGGCCCTCATAATGTTTTCTACTAAGCCAATAAACTAAATCATAGGAAGTGATTGAACAAAAATGGCTTAAAGCACTGCCTCCTCCAGGGCACTCAGTGGTCTGTATTCCTACCAGCTTCAAATGTAGCCAATTAAAATTGCAATGGTGGACAATAGGCTTCTCCTGCTTTCTCTTATCCTGTCTGTAGCTGACCTCATCTGCCCCCTCTTGCTGACTTGCCACTGGAGGAATAATTGTACTACATGCTTGGACTGACCCATGAGTGAAGGACCAAGGGCCAGGTTGACTGGCATCTTACCTGTTCTGCAGGAACTCAAAATCCAACCTATTACAAAAGTTGAGTGGAGTTGCTGGGTGAAGCACTCTGGATCTGTTTATCACCTCACTGCACAACACTTGGACCTGAGATAAGTCCCATGACAATTGTGCTGTCATCAGAAGATTAATTTATCTCAGACATGTCAGAAAAGGGGTTGCTCAGGTGACCTAAAAGTTCATTCGCTCTACAGCTGGAAACTTCACCTTATGTGAGGTGGGATTTTGTTTGATTTTATTTAGCTATAAGGAAGACAGCTTGAATACACGTTTCTCCAAAAAAGACATACAAGTGGTCAGCAAGCATGTAAAAGGATGCTCAACATCAGTGGTCATCAGGGAAATGCAAATCAAAACCACAGTGGGGCACCACTGCAAACCAATAGGATTTCTAAAATTGAAAAAAAAAAAAACTGGGAAAATAGTCCCAAGTCCCTCTGGGGAATCCCCACAGTGCCAGGCAAATTGAGATGATTGCTCACCCGAGGGCCACCGATAAAGCAAATGGACCGTGGAGAGCTGCTGTTTGTATTGATTCCTGTAACCAAAAGGCCACGGCGGGCAGAAGTGATTACAATCTCTTCTGCCATAGGAAATAGATTTCTATGTCTTCCCCTGGTGTCCTGGGGCTCAATGCTGCCTTTACCCACCTTGGAAGAGTTACCAGAGTCCAGAAACAATTCATGACAATAAATCATAATTCAGGTTTAAAAGCACCAGAAAACACATCCCACTGGTGAAATTCTGTCTCACCCAAATATTAGCACCATGCTGGAAATTTACAGCAAAATTTAGAGTATATCGTACTGAAGACAAGCCAGGAAGAAAAAGAAAAAGAAAAAATATATAATATAAATAGAATTCCTGCCAACAAGCAGAGATTAAGTAAATCATAAATTCTAACCTGAAATTAAAACTATTGATAAAAAGTGTTCACGAGAGATGAAGACTTTCAAGATTCTATGTGCTTCCCCGGCTAAAAAATGTCCTAGAATCTTAATCACAGCTCTCTGAAACATCCATTTAATAAAATTTATAAATATACCCAACCTCAAATCCGATCTATCAGAATAAGCAATATAATATTAAAGGATTGTCATTTTATCCATCAAAACTAAATTACTTGTGTTCCACAGGGAAGATATAACATCCATTTATAATCAGCTACCAATGCTTTTGAAAATACATATTTTCTTTTACAATGAGATACATTAATGTTTTGAGTTTGGGGAACCCCAGAGACAATGACCATCAGAAAGTAGGTCCAAGCCCAGGCGATATAGGGAGACCCCATCTCAACAAAAAATTCAATAATTAGCCAGGCATGGTGGTGCATGCCTGTAGTCCCAGCTACTCAGGAGGCTGAGGTGGGGCCCAGGAGGTCAAGGCTGCAGTGGCCTGTAATGGTGTCACTACGCTCTAGCCTGGGTGACAGAGTGAGACCCAGCCCCTCCCCACCCTCACTTCCCCCAAAAAAGAAAAAGGAAAAGAAAATTCCTTCTCCAGGAATTTTATTCAGGCTCCTACATTCTATCCAAGAAACTATAAAGGAAGTGAACAAATAGTAGTAGCAAAGCTTTATGCAAAAGAAGTTACATCTCAATAGCAATACCAATGATGTGGGCCTACCCTGACAGTTCCTTAGCTTCTGTGTAGCTCATCCAAGTGATGTCTTACCATCAGCAGAACCAGACGGTTTTATAAAAATAAACTGATATGCAGACCTTTTCTCCAGGATTCATGCAAAGAAGATAATTACAATTTAAGATGAGCTGCCAAACTCTTCCTCTTCACATGATGAGCTTGTGATTTCTTAGCTGTTGCACATAAAAAAGACATTTGACCAAAAATGACTCAATTTGTTATATACTCTATAAATTTTTTTAAAAGACACCCCCTTTTTCTTCCTCCCTTCCTATCTTTATCTATATACCATCTATCTATCTATCTGTCTGTCTGTCTATCTATCTATCTATCTATCTATCTATCTATCTATCTATGTATCCTGATCTATCTATCTATCTATCTATCTATCTATCTATCTATCTATCTATCTATCTATGTATCCTGACTTTCTACAAGAGAGAGAAAAATAGAGAGAGCCAGACAGTTTTACAATTGGCAGATGCCAAAGGCATTTTATGGCTTTGGAAGTCAAACACGTTTGTTACTCAGTTGATAGATTCCACATGACAATCATAGGATGAGTTGGTTGTTTTTTCCAAGGCGTCACTACATCATGCTTCTCCTCTTGCTTAAAACTGCTCAGCGTCAGTGGTGTCCCATTCCTCAGCAATACACTTCTTTGTCATTAACTTAAAGCCAAATTCCATACTACTTCTATAATGAAACCTAAAAGAAAATCTTGGATTTCAGTGCATCCTGTTAAACTTCATTTGGTAAATGAAGGAGGCAGCTGCTGAGGAAAGCAGATGAGAAGAGGACGTGGGCTTCTATCATCTGCTACCACAACACCTGAGGCTGGTACGCCTGTCCTCAGGCCCAGGGCCCTCTTTCATTAAGCCGAAATAATAGGACTGCCTCTTTCCCTCTCACGTCCCTCTATTCAGGTTGTCTTTTAAGGACTTTTCCTCGCTCTGTTGCCCAGACTGGAGTGCAGTGGTGCAATCTTAGCTCATTGTAACCTCTGCTTCCCATGTTGAAGCAATTCTCATAGCTCACCCTCCCAAATAGCTGGGATTACAGGGGTGCACCACCGTGCCCAGATAATTTTTGTATTTTTAGTAGAGACAGGGTTTCACCACGTTGGCCAGGCTGGTCTTGAACTCCTGACCTCAGGTGATCCACCTGCTTTGGCCTCCCAAAGTGCTGGGATTACAGGCGTGAACCACTGCACCTGGCCAGATAAAGCTATTATTACCCAGATATAGTTTTATTTGATCCAGCTTCTCACAGCTTCGGAAACAGTACAGGATCCTGCTTTCCTTGAAAATAGATGCCTTTGAACCATCCACGTCCTAGGATAGATGTCACACTACATAATTGTAGTAACTACAAATTCAAAAATAGTTTAAGGTGCAAGAAGGCCTTGCGTGTTCCTCCCACCTTACTTTGGGCTTAAATGGATCAACTTTCCATTGTTTCAACTGTGAGTTTTTCAATGCAGGGAAAGAAGTTCCTCTCCTCAGGAAGGGAAAGTGTGGGAATACTTCCGGGGAGGAGTGCCGTGTCTCGTTGAAGAGTAGGGAGAAGGAACAGAGCGTGCTCAGCTGAGTCCCTTTGCTGTATTCTGTTTCTCTGTCCTGCCTCTCCTCAAGAACCCCTCCTTCTGAATCTCCATGAAGTAATACGCTTTTTATATCAGGATCTGGCCCTACAGTGGAGAGACCTAAAGTTTGGGATGGGTTGGATCAATTTAGAGGGAAGTTATTAGGGAACCCGATTTTGTCTAATGTCTATGCTTTATTCTCCAAACTAGCCCTTTCAGTAATAGAACTGGGCTTTCTTTTTTCTCCAAGCTGCCTGATTTTTCTGTTCACTTCTGAAGTGGCTTTTAAGTCAAAGGATTGATAGGAAATTATTACTTCTATAGAAACAAAGAATCCCCAAATCCTAATGGCTAAAACAACAAAGATTTATTTCTCACTCCTGATACATGCTCACTGGGGGTCTGATCATGTGTTTGACTGTGCATTGCCACACAGTGGGAGTTTAAAGTTCTTTTTTTTTTTTTTTTTTTTTTTGAGACACATTCTCACTCTGTTTCCCAGGCTGGAGTGCAGTGGCATGATCTTGGCTCACAGCAACCTCTGCCTCCCAGGTTCAAGCGATTCTCCTGCCTCAGCCTCCTGAGTCGCTGGGATTACAGGCGCCCACCACCATGCCTGGCTAATTTTTGTATTTTTGTAGAGATGGGGTTTCACCATGTTGGCTAGGCTGGTCTTGAACTCCTGACCTCAGGTGATCCACCAGCCTCAGCCTCCCAAAGTGCTGGGATTATAGGCATGCACCACCACGCCTGGTCCTTTTTTTTTTTTTTTTTAAGAGTTCTTAAAGACCAATTTCAAGTATTAGCACCACTGAGTAAGACTTTATTAGAAAATAGAACTAGAAACAATTTTCAGATTTGAATCCTGGGATGTAATTACAAGGACTGTGCCAGAGTAGTGTTTTTAAACTCAACGCTTTCTATCGGGGAACCACATTTATAATAAACAGCAAAAAGAATTATCATCGACAACTGAATAGGCCTTTTCACATCCCCCAGATCTGCTGAGAATTATTTTTGGGAATACTTAATTCAGAGCTTTTCTTTCAGGGTGTTGGCACTTTCCCTTTTTGGATATGAGTTATACAAGACTAACCTCTATTATTTCTGGATTACATGTCAGTGATGGAAAATGAATTGAGTGCTTTGAGGGGGAAAGAAATCATTACCAGAAAGATGAATAGACCGATTGTACTGGATTACTAAAAGTCAGGGCTCTGGAAAGATCTTTGGTTTGATTTTCCGGGAAACGTATCTTCTTGGATACTCTTCAGAGTTGTGATAAATTCCTCCAGCAGCAGGTGGGAGGTAGGCCTATTCATACCACACTTTCTCCTGGCCCTGGGCTTCCTAGGCTGACTTCAAAGAGAGGCCTTTTCTTTGGTATGTGGTGTTTAAAGAAAAAAACTGCTTTGAACTCTCAGATTTCAGGCATTTGGGAGACAGTCAATAGCCAGCCAGATTTACATGTTTATCACTTTTGCCATAGGATGCAGAAAACTTTTTTTCCCTCACTCAGTGAACAATGGTATTTATCTGCTCCATAGGTATATACTATGTGCCAGGTAGTACTGTGTACTGATGATACAACAATGATCAAGTCTGATACAGTTCTTACCTAACAGAGCTCTCAGTTATGGAGAGGGAGATGGATCTAGACAGGTAAACAGCTTACAATTCAGGGTGAGAAATACCATGATAAGGACATACCAGATGCTGTGGGAATCATACAGATAACAGAAAACCAAACACCACATGTTCTCACTCATAAATGGGAGTTGAACAATGAGAACACATGGACATAGGGAGAGAAACACCACATACCAGGGCCTAATGGTGGGTGGGGGGCTGGGGGAGGGACAGCATTAGGATACCTAATGTAGATGATGGGTTGATGAGTTCAGCAAACCACCATGGCACGTGTATACCTGTGTAACAAACCTGCACGTTCTGCACATGTATCCCAGAACTTAAAGTATAATAAAAGGAAAAAAAGAAAAGAAAAGAAAAGGAGATCAGAGAAGACTTTCTTAAAGAAATGACTTGTAATTTTGATCTCAGGGATCGTAAGTCATAACTAGAGGAAGAGAGGGTGAGCAAAGGCCCTGAGAGTGGAGAGAGCATGGCATATTTGAAGGACTGAGGGTAGAAAGTATGTCTGTAGGTGAAGGGAAAAGACACATTTTTTAGGGAATTGTTGAACAGGAAAGGAATAAGGTGTGAAGTTGTGCAAGGTCCTGGAATGTCTAGAAACACCTGTTAGGACTTGTGGCCTCTATCCTCAGGGAAAGTCACTGAATGGTTTTTAGCAGATAAGATGCATAATTGAATGTATGTTTCTGGAGACCACTTTGATTGTTTTATTGCAAATGGATTAGAAGAGACAAAGTCTGGAGACGGGAGTTGGAAAGACCAATGAGGCATCCAGGTGAGAGATGGTGGTAGCCTGAGATTATGTATTGGTGGTGGAAGGCACAGACTGGGTGGATTTGAGAAAAGCTTAAAGGTGGAATTGACAAGACTTGGTGACAGACGTGATATGGATGGTTTAGGAAAGGGAGGAATCTAGCGTAATACTGAAAAGGCTCAAGGTTCTGGGTTGGCAGTGAGATCATTTAGTGAGGCAGGAAACCCAGGAGAAAGAGCAGTCTTGGAGGTTAAGATCATGAATTCAGTTTGGCGCATGTTGATTTGAGGTATTTAGTAGATACTGTTGATGACCCATTCATATCCCCTTGACCAACCATTGAAGCGAGAGGCAAAATTGCCCAGTGGCTGAAACAACAGGCTATGGATACAGTCAATGCATGTTATAAATCCTAGTTCTTTCAATTAACTAGCTGTGGGTCATGGTACAACTTCTCTTATCTGTTTCCTCCTCTCTAAATTGCAGACAGTCACTATGTCATGGGGTTGCTATACATATTAAATACCTGTAACTTATAATATAATTTCCCATGTAAACTCCATCATCAAGCAACATCTGAACTCTGCATGGGGGAAGGCTCTTCTCTCCTTGTCCACTAAGCACTTGATATTTGTGTTTGTAATTATATTACAGGTATTTTCATATCAGTATTGTCTTTATTGACATAAGCCCTCAGCAGTAGTGTATTAGTTTCCTACTGCTGCTGCAACAAATTAGCACAAACTTGTTGACATAAACCAACACAAATTTATTACCCTGTAGTTCTGGAGGTCAGAAGTTTGAACTGGGTCTCATGGAGCTAAAATCAAGGTGTTGGCAGGACTACATTCCTTCTGGAGGCTCTGGGGGAGAATCTGTGTTTTTTGCCTTTTTCTATTCCAATTTCTGCATTCCTTAGCTTGTGGCTCTTTTCCTCCATCTTCAAAGACAGCAGGTAGCATCTTCAAATCTCTTTCTGCCTCACTCTTTGGGCTCCCTCTTCTACTAAAAGGATCCTTGTGATTACACTGGGCCCATGCAGATAATCCAGGATAATCTCCTTATCTTAAAGTCAGCTCATTAGGAGCCTTAATTCCATGTGCAACCTTAATTCCTCCTCGCTACGTGTGTTAGTCCATTTGCATTGCTATAAAGGAATACCTGAGACTGGTTAATTTATAAAGAAAAGAGGTTTATTTGGGCTCTGCAGGTTGTACAGGAAGCATGGTGTAGGCATTGGTTTCTGGTGAGGGCCTCAGGAAGCTTCCAATCATGGCAGAAGGTAAAGGGGTGCAGGAGTGTCACATGGCAAGACAGAGAGGGAGCAAGAGAGGAAGGGGAGGTGCCAGGCTCTTTTAAACAACCAGCTCTCACAGAAACTACCAGAATGAGAGCTCACTCATTACCACGGGGTGGGTACCAAACCATTCATAAGGAATCAGCCCCTATAATTCAAACATCTTCCACCAGACCCCACCTCCAACACTGGGGATCACATTTCAATATGAGATTTGGAGAGGACAGGCATCCAAACTACATCACTATGCAACATAACATACTCATAGGCTCTGGGGACTTATGGATTCTTTTTTATTCATAGCTCCATTTTTCATACTGTCTTATCATTGCGTTGTGTCAAACTCTTCTAGGACTAACATTTCCAAATCTTGTGATATTCTTGTACGTAATACATGTTGTGCAATAAAAGTATATCTGGCCTGAAAGCAATAGTGATGATTTTTATTTTATTATTCATAAGTTATATAAGAAACACAGAACTCAAACTTTCAAGTGATATACTAAATATGTGGTAGAAAATAAATATCCATAGGACATTTTCCCCAGTCTTCCTAACAGTGACAAGATAGCAGCTGGAAGATTATGAGAAAGCAATAAATATTAAACACCAATGGAAACAGTGGCTGCCTAAAGGCACCCAGAGCACACGGTCGATCTTTACTAATGATTCTTCCCCAGACCTAAAGTTCTCTATTGGCACTACCCCTATAAAGCTTTAATGAGCTCTATTCCACTCCGATCTGGGAAGGGAGAAGTAAGAAAGGGAAGCAGAAATGTAGGTGTCATAAATATGAACAAAGACCCTGGAGTATGAGAAGGCAGCCTCAGCCACCCACCCAACCATCTCTAGTGCAAGAGGCCAATTCACACAGGGGCCACAGCCCAGGCTGCCAGGCTGACCTGTGCTAAAAGAGGCGTTCCCTGAAGGCTGCTGAATGGTCCCAGCTGGCCACAGCCTGAAACACTTCTTAATCTATCTGTCTCTAAGTAGAAAAGTCAAATAAAGTCATTAACATCTCTGCAATCTCTACAAGATTGATCGGCAGATTAGCAGAGGATCCAAGAGAATGGGACCCCAGCCTAGCAAAGAAGCAGGCAAAGTTCCCCAAAGGTATGTTGTAGGTAACCCTAGGCAGGGTAAAGGAACTGTGCACCAAAAGCATTTAAATAACTTCCTGGAACCCCCCACATCCTCATTTGCAGATACATAAAATTGGCATTAATGACCTATCACATGAAAATTGCTTCTACTTTCTGAATATGAATTAAGCATCAGACCTGGCACTAGGTACATGATAAGTATTATCACTAGTTCACTGGGTTCCTTTCAGCACCTACAATGAACAGAGAGGGCCAATTGCGGTGGCTCACGCCTGTAATCCCAGCACTTTGGGAGGGCAAGGCAGGCTGATCACCTGAGGTCAGGAGTTCAAGACCAGCCTGGCCAACATGGTGAAACCCTGTCTCTACTAAAAATACAAAAAATTAGCCAGGCATGGTGGTGGGCGCCTGTAGTCCCAGCTACTTGGGAGGCTGAGGCATGAGAATCGCTTGAACCCGGGGGGTAGAGGTTGCAGTGAGCTGAGATAGCGCCACTGCATTGCAGCCTGGGCGACAAAGTGAGACTCTGTCTCAATAACAACAACGACAACAAAACACACACACACACACACACACACACACACACACACACACACAGAGGGATCTGAAGCCAGAGAAGTTCAGTTACTTACCTAAGGGCACACAGCTGATACATTTCAGGGCTGGGATTCAAATTCAAGACTTCTGACTCCAGAGCCCTACCGTTCAACCAGGAAGTACCTTATACAGTCTTTTCCACAGATGGTTTCTTCCTCAGTGGGGGAGTGATTCAAATCATCAGCTCATCTTGTCCTACGACAAGTGGCTTTTTCTAGGTTTATTTGGGACAAATGCATAAACTAAAAGCTATGCAAGAATATCAGCAAGGGAAATAATGAATGAGAGCTAGGTATATTGCTCCATTCTGGATCTCCAGAAAGGGTTAACTTTTGGCAATTTAGCTGAAATGTGGGAGAACAGATGTGTAATACTTTATATCAACAAATACTTATTTAGTGACATCGCCAGAAACAAAGATGGCTTCTGGTATTTCACACCTAGCCTTCGGGAAGGCCTGTTAGACTTGATTTTCCTCTCTGCCTTGGAGAGACACGAAGTTGCTAAGCTACCATGGGGAAGGCAACTTCTGCTGTAATTGCTTTCCCAGTTTTGGTGCTGCCCTAGAATCTTTGGTTCTCCACGTTTGCTGAGTCATCTTCACACTGGCACCTAGAACAATGACAACGAACTGTAAAAGCATGTCACTGGGTACGTCATGACCATCCACCAAAGTCTAATTAGCTGGTGCTTTCACATGGGAGAGTACTTACTGTCTATAGCCACTGTGTTCTTGTAAAAACAGGCTAGAATTACTCCCTCGCTCTTTCTGAAAGAAACAGGGAGAGGGTTAGGGTTATTGTGTTGAAAGAGAACAGGACAATTACGGCCACAAAATCAAATCACAAGCAAAACCTCGTTGATACAACTCTATTTGGGGTTTTTTGTTTGCTTTTTAAACTTTTTATTTTAAATATTATTATGTAGTGGTTTTGAGTTTTTAAATTTAATTAATTAATTAATTTATTTATTTTGAGACAGGGTCTCACTCTGTTGCCCAGGCTGGAGTGCAATGGCATGATCTTGGCTCACTGCAACCTTCGCCTCCCAGGTTCAACCAATTCTCCGGCCTCAGCCTCCCCTGCAGCTGGGATTACAGGCATCTGCCACCATGCCCGGCTAATTTTTTGTATTTTTAATTGAGACAGAGTTTCACCATGTTGGCCAGGCTGGTCTTGAACCCCTGACCTCAAGTGATCCGCCCGCCTCGGCCTCTGAAGGTGCTGGCATTACAGGCGTGAGCCACCGCACCCAGCAGATCACCATGATAAGGATACAGAACAATTCCATCACTCCCTAAAAACTCCCTCCTGTTCTCCCTTCATACTCACCTGGCCCTAGCTTCCGAAAACCACTAACCTGTTCTTTCTTCCTATAGTTTTGTCTTTGAGAATGTCATGTGAACGGAGTCTGACAGCCTCTAATCTTGAACACTGGCTTCTTTCAGTTAGCATAATGCCTTTCTGATTTATCCAAGTTGTTGCAGGTATCAATACTTCCCTTTCTGGCTGGGCACGGTGGCTCATGCCTGTAATTCCAGCACTTTTGGAGGTGAGTCAGGGGGGATCACTTGAGGTCAGGAGTTCGAGACCAGCCTGGCCAACGTGGTGAAACCCGGTCTCTACTAAAAATACAAAAATTAGCTGGGTGTGGTGGCACACACCTGTAATCCCAGCTCCTTGGGAGGCTGAGGCAGGAGAATCACTAGAACCCGGGAGGCAGAGGTTGCAGTGAGCTGAGAGCACACTACTGCACTCCAGCATGGGCGACAGAACAAACCTCTGTCTCAAAAAAAAACAAACTTTCTTTCATTTTATTGCTAAATAAATTTTTTTGGTATTAAACTTTTTATTTTAACTATTATTATATAGTAATTTTGATTTTTTAAATTTTATTTATTTATTTATTTTGAGACAGGGTCTCATTCTGTCACCCAGGCTGGAGTGCAGTGGCACGATCTCGGCTCCCTGCAACCTCGGCTTCCCAGCTTCAAGCAATTCTCCTGCCTCAGCCTCTGCAGTACCTGGGATTACAGGCACATGCCACTACGCCCGGCTAATATGATGGCCGATGAATGTATCATCATCCTTAACATCTTAAAAGTTAATGTATTTATTAAATTGAGGTATAATTTATATACCATAAAATTAACCACTTTACTTTGGTTTTGAAAAAGAAGAAATGGATCACGTGATAATCCTCATCCTATAAAAAGATAACCTTTAAGCTGGAAACAGATTTCTGAACATGCCATGTTTGTCTAACTTTCTCTGGCTTCCTGCCCCTTGTTCTTCTGCCTTTGGAGAAAAAAAATCAAATTATTTCTATATTTGGAGAATTGTTCAGTACAAGTTCCTTCTCCATCTGCTTGCACTGATGTTATTAAAAAATGTTCACTCTTTTCTATTGATTTCATATTGGCTCTCTAACATTCTACATAGTATTTTTATTAATTAATTTTTTAAAGATAGGAATACTCATATTTTGCACAAAACACAAAGTGAAATACTGGAAATACTGAGGTAAGTCTCCCTTACCCTCTCTCTTCCAGCAACTCAGTTCCTTTCTGAGGCCAAAATTTTCTCAACTTTCTTAGGCATCATTAGAGAGCTATCCTATTAATTTACAAATATATACATATACCAATGTATACAAATATATGTATATAAACATATACAGAAGTATACAAATATATGTGTATATGTGCATACAAAATATAGATAGGTGCATAATAAAATAAATGCATATACATACATACACATATACCTTTTCCCACACACAAATAGGGGCATATTCTACCAAATGTTCTATGCTTTACTTTTTTCTGTTAATAATAACCCTATTCTTGGGATTCTTTCCAGAAAAGTACATTTATAGGAATCTATTGTGTCCATTTTACTATATTTTAAAAGTATATCATAATTTACTTAAAACCATCCCATTACTGGCCGGGTGCAGTGGCTCACACCTGTAATCCCAGCACTTTGGGAGGCCGAGGCAGGCGAATCACGAGGTCAGCAGTTCCAGACCAGCCTGGCCAACATGGTGAAACCCCGTCTCTACTAAAAATACAAAGATTAGCCAGGCATGGTAGCGGGCGCCTGTAATCCCAGCTACTCCAGAGGCTGAGGCAGGAGAATCACTTGAACCCAGGAGGCGGAGGGTACAGTGAGCTGAGACCGCGCCATTGTACTGCAGCCTGGGTGACAGAGGGAGACTCCATCTCAAAAAAAAAAAAAAAAAAAAATCCCATTACTGTTATGTACATTGCTTCCAAACTCTGCCCTTACAATGTCTTTTTTCTTTTTTTCTTTTGAGATAGAGTCTAAGTCTGTCGCCCAGGCTAGAGGGCAAAGGTATGAGCTCAGCTCACTGCAATTTCCACCTCCCAGGTTGAAGCGATTCTCTTGCCTCACTCTCCTGAATAGCTGGGATTACAGGTATGTGCCACCACGCCCGACTAATTTTTGTATTTTTAGCAGAGACGAGGTTTCACCATGTTGCCCAGGCTGGTCTGGAACTTCTGACCTCAAGTGATCTGCCCACCTCGGCCTCCCAAAGTGCTGAAATTACAGGTTTGTGCCACTACGCCTGGCCTGCTGCCCTTATAATGAATACGCAATTTTATTTAAACCATTTCACACATGTGAAACCAACTCTGTAGGACAATTGCTTATAAGCGGAATTTTTGATCAAAAAGTATGTACGTTTCTGCTTTTGAAGGGTATTGCCAAATTATCCTTCAGGGAAATTGCATCAATGTGCACTCTGTTAGCAATGGAGCACAAAGTTTCTACATAGTCTATGTATACGTAGTAACTATTATAACATAGTTTCAGACTAATTAATAATAAATATTCAATGATTAATATCAGGAAATTAGCATTAATGGTTTCTCAATCTTTATTTTCACAACATTAACATTTTTGAAGAGTGTTGGCCAGTTATGTCAAAGAATAGCCTTCAATTTGGGCCTGTTTTTTTCTGTAAAACAAAGAACCAGAGGGGGCGGGGCAGCATAAAAAAACAAAACAAAGAAACAAAAAAACAACAAACAGCCAACTGCAGGTGGGAGGCGGTGGCTCATGCCTGTAATCCCAGCACTTTGGGAGGCCGAGGCGGGCGGATCACCTGAGGTTGGGAGGTTGAGACCAGCCTGACCAACATGGAGAAACCCTGTCTCTACTAAAATGCAAAATTAGCTGGGCGTGGCAGCACATGCCTGTAATCCTAACTACTCGGGAGGCCGAGGCAGGAGAATCCCTTGAACCTGGGAGGCAGAGGTTGCAGTGAGCCGAGACTGTGCCACTGCACTCCAGCCTTGGCAACAGAGTGAAATCCGTCTCAAAAAAAAAAAAAAAAAGAGAGAGAGAGAGAAAGAAAGAGACAGTGAACGAGGACAAACAACTGTGCATGTGTATTTCCAGACCATTTTCAATTGGAATAAAAAATCCGACCTTTTCTGAATCCAAAGCCCTTCTTGATAATGAATATTCACTGTCGCCCTCCATATGCAAATAGCAAAGTTATATGATTATATGTATACTATAAAACAAAATGACCCTTCAAACTTTCTTATTATTTTATTTATTTATTTATTTATAGAGACAGGGTCTCACTATGTTGCCCAGGTTGGTCTCCAACTTCTGGGCTCAAGCAAGCCTCCCACCTCAGCCTCCCAAAATGCTAGAATTACACGTGTGAGCCACCACACCTGGCCTTGATGTTTTGATATATGTATCAAAACATATTGATACATATATCAATATGTGATTGTAAAATGATCACCACAACAAAATTAATTGACATATCCATCACCTCACATAGTTACCATTTTCATGGCTCACTGCAGCCTCAACTTCCTGCACTTGGGTGATCCTCCCACCTCAGCCTCCCGAGTAACTGGAACCATACATGCATGTCTCCCATCCTGGCTAATTTTGTAATTTTTGTAGAGATGGGTTTTCGCCATGTTGCCCAGGCTGGTCTCCAACTCCTAGGCTCCAGAGATCTGCCCTCCCTCAGCCTCCCAAAGTGCTGGGATTACAGGTGTGATCCACTGTGCCCAGCTTCTTTTTTATTCTTGTTTTTACTTTGCATTCTCTTTCCTTTTGGATATTTCTTCTTTCTTTTCTTTTCTTCTTTTTTTTTTGAGATGGAGTCTCGCTCTGTCGCCCAAGCTGGAGTGTAGTGGCATGATCTCGGCTTACTGCAAGCTCCGTCTCACAGGTTCAAGCGATTCTCCGGCCTCAGCCTCCTAAGTAGCTGGGATTACAGGCACGGGCCAACATGCCCAGCTAATATTTTTGTATTTTTAGTAGAGAAGAGGTTTCACCATTTTGGCCTGGCTGGTCTCAAACTCCTGAGGTCGTGATCTGCCCACCTCAGCCTCCCGAAGTGCTGGGATTACAAGCTTGAGCCACTGCGCCCGGCCTCTTCTTTCTTTTCTAACTTCTTGAATTGTATATTAAATGCTTAATTGACTTATCCTTAATATTTCTTTTTGGTGTAAACACATTTTAAGGCTCTATCACTCAAGATGAAACTTTAGCTGAGGGTGGCATAAAAGCAGATTTCCTGGGTCTGGATCCCAGCTCTTCACTTACTAGCTACAAGACCTTGGGCAAGTTATTTCATTGCTCTGTGCCTTGGTTTTTCCTTCTTGTTCAAATCACTTATTCTTTGTCCTTATTATGTTTTAAATAGTTCATCCATCATTATCTGATGTGCATGTGTCAATTCTCCCAGTTTGAGAATTAACATATTCCAGGACATTTTTTCTTTTTTTAGTGCATACAAGTACATGATGATTCTATCCTCTTGGTGAACTGTTCCTTATCAGGGTGTTGTATCCCTCTTTATTTTTTTATTTTTTATTTTTTTTAGACGGAGTCTCGCTCTGTTGCCCAGGCTGGAGCGCAGTGGCGCAATCTTGGCTCATTGCAACCTCCGCCTCCTGGGTTCAAACAATTCTCCTGCCTCAGCCTCCCAAGTAGCTGGGACTACAGGCACGGCTAATTTTTTGTATTTTTAGTAGAGACAGGGTTTCACCATATTAGCCAGGATGATCTCGATCTCTTGACCTTGTGATCTGCCCGCCTCGGCCTCCCAAAGTGCTGGGATTACAGGTGTGAGCCACCGCACACGGCCCCCTCTTTATTCTTAATAATGCTTTTTTGTCTTAAATTGTATTTTTGCAAATATTAGCATTTTTATACCAGGTTTCTCTTGTTTGGAATAGGTGTTGACAGGTTTACATTTTTTCATATCTTCATTTTCAAAGACACCCAGCTAGCGTGTGGCAAAGCCAGTTTTATTCCTGCATCCCCTAACCCCCAGTCTATTATTCTTTTTTTCGTGTCTCAATGTCTCAGGTCCACCTTCTTTCATGATTCAACATAAGTCACTCTTCACTTTGAGGCTCCCCCAGCAACTCAGTCTATCATGATTGCTTCCTCTTCTGAGTGCTCAATGTCCACAGTACCCATTTGGTCCTTAAAATCTTAAAAGTATGCTACCTTGGTTTTGTGTTGATCTCTATCCTGGAAGTTCCTTGAAAGCTACAATATGAATTATATCTCTTCTGCAGACTGCTCCAAAATTACTTTACTAAGGGGGGCTAGTGGTACAATCTGATTGGGAAGGGAGTGCGTAGGGGACTTGTCTGGAAGCTGCATTTGCATAGCAGACACTTCATTTTATTTGCAGTGATTGAGGGTGAGTGTTACAGAGTTTAGGAAGAGGTAAGCTAATGCCCCCGTATACCACTCTTTCAGCTGTCACTGACCTCTACCGGCTTGCCTATGATAGTGGTTTCCAACAAATTTAGCTGCTCTTCAAAATCACCAAGGGAGTAAGATTTTTTTAAGTACTTATTTTCAGATCTCCCTCCAGAGCCACTGAGTCAGAATCTCTTGAGTGGAGCTTGGGAACCTAGTGTTTAAGGAGCTCTGTTGAAATTCAAGACATCTAAGCACCTGGTCCGTAGGCAATAACTGCTTGTAAATACAGGATGGGTACCAAGTCGGGAAGCAGAAAAGCTTTAATTGACATTCTATAATAATATATAAGAAAGTGATATCTGTTTCCAAACTCCCATTGCTACAAATGGTTTAGTGTAAAATAAGCTCTATTCAATCCCATTTAGTAAGCATTTCTATATGAAAGAGGCATATAATAATAACAAAAGTAATATCTGACGTCCGCTGAACACCTAATACACACCAGCACTTTGTCGAATGTTGTATGTACACTGTCTCATTTATTATTCACCAGGCTTCTCTGTGTGCTCTATAATCAGGGTCAACTTATCCATTAGGCTCACTAGGCACTATGTCAAGGGTCCATGACACTATTAGGGGCTCATGAAAATGTTTTTGTTTATTTTAGCATCAGAAAGGAAAAAAAAAGAACAGAATCCCTGTTGAATTATATTAGCCTTTTTACCAACACAGTCACAAAATATAGTTGGTAATCATTTTCATGGAGAAAGGGGCCTATGAAGGCAAAAGTTCCTTGGGCCTCTGAAAGTCATAATGCAAGCTTCACCATAATCATTCCCATTTAACAGCTGAGGAAGCTGAAGATCAATGAAGATGAAAATTTAAACTTGCCCAAAAGCCACATCTCTAGGAAACGGCAGAAGTGACCTTTGGACACAGGTCTGTGGGACTCTACTGATGACCCTTTCAACCACCACACTGTATACTGCACAGCATTATTTAGCAAAGAAGCTCATACTAAGTTGAGAAAACAGGTTTGTTGTACATTAACCAGTTAGAAAATCCTTCAAGAAAAGAATATAAATTAATGTCTAAATTCAGGGACAGACCCAGATTGCGTGGGGCCTGAGGCTTTTACAATTTAAATGATCTTCTTAAGACAATACAAAATTATAAATAAAAATTAGCCACACAGTCTTGGAGGGGACTGTCCAAGTTAAGGGGCCCTCAAGTGTAAGCCTCCTTAGCAACATGGCCCATCCGCCCTTGCCTAAATGTCTTTGGGTCTAAAGAAAGCCAGGGTAGGAATCAGTGTAAACCAGGGCATATCAGCAAAGGACTCAAGGAGGAAATGGGACTTTGCAGTATGGCTGTGAGTTGGGCACCCTGAGTGCAAACCCTGGGGGCCAAGTGTGAGCATAACATGTTTAGAGGAAAGCAGAGAACTCACCCAACTGAACCTACTGTGTCCGGGGTAGGGAGAGGATCCAGGGTTCCCTGAGGAAAGTGAGGCCTGTTTTGTTTAATTCATTAATTTATTTATTTTTAAGACAGGGTCTCACTCTTTCACCCGGCTGGGTGCAGTGGTGCAATCATGGCTCACTGCAGCCTTGACCTCCCAGGCTCAAACAATCCTCCCACCTCAGCCTGCTAAGTAGTTGGGAACTACAAATGGCTAGTTTTGTTTTTTGTTTTCAATTTATTTTTTTGTAGAGATGTGGGGGGAGGAGTTCTCCCTGTGTTGCCCAGGCTGGCCTTGAACTCCTGGACTCAAGCAGTCCCCCAGCCTTGGCCTCCCAAAGTGCTGGAATTACAGGTGTGAGCACTGTGCCTGTTTTAAATACCAGGATGGAGGCCAGTGGGAATCCTTATACTTATTCCTGGGTCTTATGTCATTACCTAATAGTAGGGCAGGACCCTTGGGAGGGTCAGGAAGAGGCAAAGAGGTCTAATTGGGGGGATTAATCTGAGTGTGTTTTAATAAGCACCTGAAATTATGGTTGGCTGGGAGGAGGGAAGAGAAAAAAAATGAGTAAGCGTCAAAAAGGCTCAATCAAGTAGATAATGAGGACTACAGGGGAAGAAGAGTCAGCGATCATTTATGCATTTCGAGCATGGATCACTGAAGGAACGGTGTGAGATTGCCAGAAATGTAGAGACCGGTTACGTTTGGTTCTAGAGAAGTTAAATCCAACAAAATAATCACAACAGAGAGGCATCCTGAACTAACTTGACCAGACCCGCTGGCCTTAGCCTTTGCTGTTGTTTTCCAGTTACCAATGCCCCATCTGATTGACACTTGTTTTTCTCAGTTGTGTTAACAGCATTAAGACATTACAGTCAAGGTCGGCCTCCTCTTCTTTCTGGCTAGGAAGCTGTGGTGTTATTTTATACACACACACACACACACACACACACACACACACACACACACACACACATTTCCGTCCACAGTTCCTGGACCATATCTCCCAGAGCCCTCGTTACAACCTTTCGTTATAAGGTTGGGTGTGTTAGGCCTCAGGAGCAGATTCAGAAAACAGAATCTCTCTGACCTTTTCCTGCCCTTCTTTCACCTTCTGGAAGGCAGGACTCTAGTCTTACCCCACCTTTCTGACTACGGGTCTTAAGATCCTCTCCAGAGATGCTCCTGCCCTATAAGCCGGGGGAAGAAATGCTGATATCATGAATCTTCCACAAAAACCCAAGAGGACTGGATTCAGGCAGCTTCCAGATAGCTGAACACACGGAGGTTCCTGGATGGTGACCGCCAAGGGAGGGGATGGGAGTTCCGCGCCTCTTCCCCCATACCTCACCCTGTGCATCTCTCCGTCTGTATCCTTTGTAATGCCCTTTATAACAAACCAGTAAACTTTTTTCCTGAGTTCTGTGAGCTGCTCTAGCAAATTAACTGAACGCAAAGAGAAGGTGTAGGAACCCCAGCTTGAAGCTGGTTGGTCGGAAGTCCCAGAGGCCCACATCTGCAATGGGTGTCTGTGGAATGGGCAGTTTTGGGGACTAAGCCCCAAGCCGATAGAATCTGATGCTATCTCCAGGTAGACAGTGTCGGAACTGAATTGGAGGACATCCAGCTGGTGTCTGCTGCTATGTGAGTCGGGAAATTCCCCGCATATTTAGGCAAAGAAGTCTTCTTCTTTGTTGTTGATTGCTGCTGAGGTGGTGTGAGGGCCAAGAGAAAACTGGGTTTGAGAGTATTTTTCGAAACAGAAGCACTTTGCCTTTAACATGGCTTTTGTTAAACACCATCATTAGAAGATTAGTTATAATTCAACTCCCAGAGTTACAACCCTCTCCTCTGCCTTTCCAGGTGAGCGGCCAGAGGACTAGTCACAACGAAAATAGAAAGAGGAGAAGGGATTCAAGAGGGCATTACAGAGGTATAAAAATCAGAGGCCCAGAGCAGTGGCTTATGCCTGTAATCTCAGCACTTTGGGAGGCCGTGGTGGGCAGATCACCTGAGGTCAGGAGTTCGAGACCAGCCTGGCTAACATGGTGAAACCCTGTCTCTACTAAAAATACCAAAAATTAGCCGGGTGTAGTGGCGGGTGCCTGTAATCCCAGCTCCTCAGGAGGCTGAGACAGGAGAATCGCTTGAACCTGGGAGGCAGAGGTTGCAGTAAGCCGGGATCGTGCCATTGCACTCCAGCCTGGGTGACAAGAGCGAAACTCCACCTCAAAAAATATATATATATATAAATAAATAAAAAATCAAGGAATTATACAGAAATGGCGAAAGAAAGGAAAAAAGTTAGATTGGTGAACAAAGTGCAAAGAAGTCAGCAAAATGAGGAGGAGGCTCAAAACTAGAACTTGCTTTTTGGGATATAAATTTCTCTGTAAGGAATCCTCTCCTCGCGCCCCCCACAGGAAGTGGGGAACATCTTTCCTTTACCCCCTGTGACTCCCCAGGTTGCAGTCAGTGCTTCCCATTGCAGAGCCTACCAGGTTACCAGAGACCAAGGGAGCTGGGAAATGCTAGTTCCTTTTTATAGAGGAAGAGTAAAGAAGAGTTAACACACAGAGGGGTTAACTATCCTTTTGCTCCTGATTTGTAACTTTATTATATTGTGATCAGGGAATATGGTCTATATAATAATGACTGTGTTGTTTGTTGACTCACTTTGAGACATAAGACATAGTCAATTTTTGTAAACTTTTTTTTTTTCAGATGGAGTCTTGCTTTGTCACCCAGGCTGGAATGCAGTGGCGCGATCTCGGCTCACTGCAATCTCCGCCTCCTGGGTTAAGCTATTCTCCTGTCTCAGCCTCCTGAGTAGCTGGGACTACAGGCATGTGCCACCATTCCTGGCTAATTTTTGTATTTTTAGTAGAGATGGGGTTTCACCATGTTGGCCAGGCTGGTCTCAAACTCCTGACCTCAAGTGATCCGCCTGCCTCGGCCTCCCAAAGTGCTGGGATTACAGGTGTGAGCCACCACATCCAGCCAATTTTTGTAAATGTTCTAAGTGTTGTTGTGTATTCTTTATTTGTGTGTGTGTGTGTGTGTGTGTAGTGTTCCACATATTTCCGTAAGATTTGGATCATTAATTGTGTTATTTGCACAATAAAAATAAATGTTTTTGAGTCATATGACTATTTTGTCTGCATGAAGTCAGTTTTTGAAAGAGGTTTTTACCAGCCAGGTACAGTGGCTCATGCCTGTAATCCCAGAACTTTGGGAGGCTGAGGCAGGTGGATCACCTGAGGTCAGGAGTTTGAGAACAGCCTGACCAACATGGAGAAACCCCATCTCTACTAAAAATACAAAATTAGCCAGGCATGGTGGCACATGCCTGTAATCCCAGCTACTCAGGAAGCTGAGGCAGGGAAATCGCTTGAACCTGGGAGGCCGAGGTTGTGGTGAGCCCAGAGAGCACCATTACACGCCATTACACTCCAGCCTGGGCGATAAGAGTGAAACTCCGTCTCAAAAAAAAAAAAAAAAGAGGTTTCTAAAAATCTCTCATTATGATTATGGATTTATCAAATTCATATGTCATTTATATGGAGAATAGTCTATAAAGGAACATTAATGGAAATAGTTGGAAGGCTGGTGCAGTGGTCTGGGTGAGACATGGTGGTAGTTTGGCCTAAGATGGTAAGAATGTGGAGAGAACAGGAGAGAAAGCAATTAATCCTGATTCTTAGGTTTCTGGTGTGGACAAATGATGGTATGGTTGGTGGTACCAATTACCAAATGGCATGCCACTGAGCAATGTTTTTCCTTGAGCACATTACATAAACTCTCTGGATTCTATTTTCTTATTTATCAAAATGGATATAACAATAGATTGTATTTCATAGTGTTATTGGGATGGTGAGAAGAGTTAATATATGTAAAGTGCTTAGCACAATATCTAAGTCGTTGTTCAATGTGTGCTTTTGTTATTACCAATTAGGATATAGTTAAAGGAGGGAAACTTTGGGTTTGAAGTGGGAAATGAAGTTTTTCTGCGGAGGCTCATGACATGTGAGTTGTTTTATAAGTTATCTTTCAGTAAAGAGGGTCTGAGTCATCTTCGCAAATGCTGGCAGGGCTGAAAGAGAATGGAAGTGAGAGAAGACCACTGGAAGGTCAAAGGCAACTTTCAAGAAGTAGCAGAATGCAGAAAAGATTTTCTTAAGGTTGGGAAGGTAAATTATGGTTTCAGGCCGAGAATGGGGAGACGTTTCACAAAGAGATGAAATAGCTGACTCTACTTACTTTCCTTTTTTTTTTTTTTCAGTGTCCCAGTGTGATTGATTCTGGGTAAGATAGCCAGCCGTCCGCAAAACGCTGCAGGAGAGCACAACTCTGGGAAAAAATGACAGCAATTAACAGAGTAACAGGAACTTACAGAACAACAGTAACTTACCTCGAGTGTGATTTATCATATGATTTTAGTAAACAGATTACGCTAGCGACAGTTGCTAAGAAGTCTGTTTTAAATTTTTGGTGCAAAAGGAAAAAGTGATTAACTTGACAAAGATTCATAAGCACATATGTTTCCAGCTCTGAGCTGTGGGGCAGAATGAAAACTGAAGTTGTGGATTCTATAGTATTCACTGCCTTGGCAGATTTCGATGTGAGATTATGCATGACTACACCCCTCCCACAAGTTTCCATAGGCTTAGGAATTTTCTTATTAAGGCTGTTATGCAACCTGCATTTTAGCAAGGGCATACAAACGCACGGAAAGAATATTCCCATACAGAAATCTTTTTTTTAACTTTTGTTTTTGTTTTTGAGACAGTCTCGCTCTGTCGCCCAGGCTGGAGTACAGTGGTGTGATCTCGGCTCACTGCCACCTCCGCCCCCAGGTTCAAGCTATTCTCATGCCTCAGCCTCCTGAGTAGCTGGGATTACAGGCATGTGCTACCACACCAGGCTAATTTTTGTATTTGTAGTAGAGATGGAGTTTCACCATGTTGGCTAGGCTGGTCTTGAAATCCTGACCTCAGTTGATCCACCCACCTTGGCCTCCCAAAGTGCTAGGATTACAGGCATGATCCACCGTGCCCGTCCCCCATATACAAATCTTGACTTATCTGTATGCCCCTTCACTGGGTTAGTGCTGAGTTGCTTTTTCTTTTCTGTATTTTTAAGGAGAAAGACATTGCTTTAAGCCTACTGTAATTGAAGCCATCTTTCATTAACCAGTTTTAGATCTATCACAAATAAATTATAAGCTAGATTCAGTTATGAAGCCATTAACACACTTCCCGTAAATAGAAAATGAAAAGCAAGCTTTGCGTAAAGGTAGGAGACTAACATACAATTCTATTTTGTTGACTTCCGGAAATCCCAGTAAAACTACCAGTAAATAGATATTTTAAGGCTTAAACCCAATAGATGGAGAGAGCTGAAGAAGGGACAATTTTGGAAGCTGGAAAACAGATGAATACATAGGGATAAAATGAGCAGATTTGAGAAATTTAAATCCCACCAGGCAGAAGAGAAAACTAAAAACTAATCTGATTTATAGCATATCTGAAGACTTGGAAACTAATGGCAGCAGGTCCCTGAAGAAGTGAGGGTAAAGGGGATATGGACTAAATAAGGAGGATTGTTTGGAAGTATTCTTTAGGAGGAATTTGATTGGATCCGTAGCCTTCTCCCCAGATCTGTGTAGCATCCCAGAGACTGCACCTTCCTTAACTGGCAAAAGGGTGAAGTTTATTTCCAGAATGGGGTAAAATAGATGGTTCTACACTGGGAGAACACCAGTGCAGTTGAGTGTGAGAGAATTGTACTAAAAATAGTGGATTAAGTGAATTCATGCATATTAGCTTCTGGGATACCCAATACATATCCATCTTTTCCTTCTCTGGGCCAAGAACACTGAAAGTTAGACCTTCACCCTCCAGGCAGGACATGGAGTCTTCTCTGGGAAATATGCTTGGTCCATGATGAAAGACCTGACCTTGGAAAGATATTGACATTGGAAGTTCCCTCAGTAGACCCAACCCACCGTGATGCTCTTACAGTGAAACCCACATCAGACCAGCCCAGCTCTCATATTCTCAGGGCTTCCAGCCAGTGTTTCAGTATCTCACTCTTAAATATTATCAGATACAAAGATGATAAGATATGTGAGGAAAGCCTTTAACTTGGAAGATAGAAAATGAATAAAGAAAAAAAGTAATGTCAAGGAAATGAAGATAAAATAAAAGTCAAACCTCTCACAAAGAGAAGCTACTATAACCACAAGACAAGAAAAGAATTCTACGCAAAAATAAACAAGCAAATAAATAAATGGAACAAAACACATACAGAAGATCTTGAAAATTAAATACATAGCTGAAAGGAATATTTTATTTTCTTTCTTTGTTTCTTTTTTTGAGACAGGATCCTTCTTAGTCACCCAGGCTGGAGTGCAATGGCATGATCATAGCCCACTGCAGCCTGGACCTTCTGGGTTTAAGCAATCCTCCCACCTAAGCTCCCTGAGTAGCTGGGACTACAAGTGCATGCCACTATGCCTGCCTAATTTCTTTTACGTTTTGTAGAAATGAGTCTTACTATGTTGCCTTAGTTGGTGTCAAACTCCTGGGCTCAAGTGATCCTACAGCCACCGCCTCCCAAAGTGCTGGGATAATAGATGTGAGCCAATCCACCCAACTAGAAATTAATATTTTCAATAGAAAGGTCAGAATGTAAAGTTGAGAATTTTTCCAGCAAAAAGAAAAGGGAATGGAAAACAGGAGATACAAATGTCAGACAATTAGGAAATTGGTCAAGGGTGTTAGCATCTGTGTCCATACCCAAATCTCATCTTGTAGCTCCCATAATTCCCATGTGTTGTGGGAGGGACCCGGTGGGAGATGGCTGAATCATGGGGGTGGGTCTTTCTTGTGCTGTTCTTGTGACAGCGGATGGGTCTCATGAGATCTCATGGTTTTAAAAAACGAGAGTTTATCTGCACAAGCTCTTTTTTTTGCCTGCTGCCATCCATGTAAGATGTGACTTGCTCCTCCTTACTTTCTGCCATGATTGTGAGGCCTCCTTAGCCATGTGGACTGTATGTCCAATTAAACCTCTTTCTTTTGTAAATTGCCCAGTCTCGAGTATGTCTTTATCAGCAGCAGGAAAATGGACTAATAGAGCATCCAAAAGAAAAAAATGAAGAGAAGTTAATAATCTGAATTTCCAGACAGAAAAATGTATTAAGTGAATACAGTCTTAGGCTAATGCACACATTGTGAAATTTCAAACATTGAAGACAAAGAGAAGATCCTGCAAGATTGTAGAAAGGGGAAAAATATACAGGTCATATACACAGGATCAGAGATTTATGAGAATAAAAATGTTCCCCAAAACTTAGGGAAAGGCAGTTGTTCTGTAGTCATAATAAGAAGTAGCTATCAAAAACTGGTTTTAAACCCATGTAATCAATCAACACAATTCCCCTCAATGTACACACTTTTACAAACCAACACATCAGAATCAGGTCTTTGTTTCTGAAAAACAGCCAGTCATAGATGGATTCACTCCTGTAAAAACACCTTTGAGTGGTGAACGATCAATAAAGTTTCCCCTCCCCTAAGGAACTGTGATTCTGCAAATGATGACATCCTACTGAAGTCTCTGAACTCCCTGAACTCATGCTTCCTCAAAACCGTAGTAGTCTGCTCCACATGGAAAGACAGTTTCTGACCATCATAGCTCTCACTAGAGCAAGGAGTAAATTCAGCTTTGTCCTTTTATTTCAGATATTAAGTGGTGGTCTCATCATCTTTTGGCATAGACTTTTAACTTGTGAACAGGAGGACTGGCTACAAAGCAATGGAGAAAGGTTTTCAAAATGTTAAGAGAAAATAATTAACGATCTAAAATTCTACTTCCAACCAAACTAGCACTTAAACACAAGAATCGAAAAAAAATTAAAAAAAAAAAGACATTTTCAGACATGCAAGATTTCATACAATTAATTTACTGCTCATGTACTCTTCCTTGGGAAGTCACTGAAGGAAATCAAGCAAGAGGAAAATGTGGATTACTAGAAACATGAGATCCAATACAGGAAAAAAAGCAGAGGACAGCCCCAGGATGATGGTAAAGAGAGATCCCAGCATGGTATCTGATTCATGCTGCAGCTTGTATAAATTACCTTGTGCTGCATAACAAACCAACTCAAATCCCAGTGGCTTAAAACAACCATCTATTTAGTTCACAATTTTGCTAGGCGGTTCTTCTGGCTGATCTTAGCTAGGCTCACTCATGCATCCATGGTCAGTTGGCAGTTTAGCTGGGGCTGACTGGTTCCAGATGACCTCACTCAAATGCCTGACACGTGTCTTGGTGTTGGCTGCAGTGATGAGATGACTGGACTATGTTTCCCTCCTCATCAAGAAGGTGAGCCTAGTTCATCACATGACAGCGGGGGTCCAAGAGCCCAAACCACAAGGACTCTTCAAGCCTCTACTGTGTCATATTTCGTTGGTCAAAGCAAGTCACATGGTCAAGGTCAGAGCCAAAGTGGAAAGTATACTCAGAGTTACAGAGCAAAGGAACACAGACACAAGAAAGGGAATCATTGCTATTGTTGCTGTTGCTGGCCTCATTTTTTTTTTTTTAAGTAAGGATAAGGTTTTGTTTTGTTGCCCAAGCTGGTCTCAAACTCCTGGGCTCAAGTGATTCACCCACCACGATCTCCCAACATGTTGGGATTACAGATGTGCACCACCGTATTTCATGTTTATTATTTTTTTCATTATTTCATATTTAGTTTTTTATTAGTTGTCTCCCCTAACAGAATGTAAAGTCCCATGTGGGCAGCCATATTTGCCCCCAGGTGCTGAAAACCGTTTCTTTAGAATAAATTAATGAAAACAAAAAATACATGCAGAAAGGAAAAAAAAAACACAAATCTTTATAGTGGCTGCTTTGAGAGAGGAATTGAGAATTTGAGTGTCAGGAGTGGAAGAGCAGGAGAAATGGACTGACTTTTACTTCTTTAGGTCCCCCTGTCTTCCAATCCCTACAGGCTTCCGGGTCCAAGTGGTGGCCTCCACGGCGCTGCACACCCACAGAGATTCATGAGAGTGTCGAAGGGAAATGTGAGAACATCTATTTATCTGCTATTTATTTTCATGTCAGATGGGCAAAATGTTGACATCATGACAAGGTTTGAGGATGGCACATCCCACACTTGAATGTGAACACCTAATCATCATGCTTATGAACTACAAAAGCATCAACATATTTATGTTTGCTTTCTTCCTAAGAGAAAAAAGGCATTATTTGTATTTAATTTACAGATTTTTAGTACTTGCTTATAATTTATAAATTATATTCTAGATTGCATGCTCAGTGATTTTGCTGACAAGAGTATGGAATCAAAGACATTTGGTCTGAAGAAGTTTAGTTACAGACTAATAGCCCATAGGTCTTGTAAATGGTGAACGTGTTTGACTTGTCTTGTACTGTTTTAAAATGATTTGAATAAAATCCAGAGATTTCACATAAAATTCCAGATTTCTGGCTGTTTTTTTTTTTTGTTTTTTTGTTTGTTTGTTTTTGAGATGGAGTCTCTCTCTGTCCCCCAGGCTGGAGTGCAGTGGCATGATCTCGGCTCACTGCAAGCTCTGTCTCCCGGGTTCACGCCATTCTCCTGCCTCAGCCTCCCGAGTAGCTGGGACTACAGGTGCCCACCACCACGCCTGGCTAACTTTTTGTATTTTTAGGAAAGATGGGGTTTGACCGTGTTAGCCAGGATGTTCTCGATCTCCTGACCTTGTGATCCGCCTGCCTCTGCCTCCCAGAGTGCTGGGATTACAGGCGTGAGCCACTTCTGGCTTTTTGAGACACTAGAGGAGCTGGCATTACTGGACCTGTGATGTGCTGGAGCTGGTGAGCATGTGAACGTTTAGAGGTGTGTGGGTGTGTGTGTGTTTGTGTGTGTACGTGTACTCTTGTGCACCAAGGTCTTCCTAATGGCTTCCTGTGGGTTCTCCTATTCAGTTCACTTCACTCATTTATCAGCCTGGCCTTGCAGACATTTTAGTTTCTGGCCCTTTTCTGACAGTTTCTCAACATCAGCCAAATCATTGTGCCTGCTAGCAGGGAAAGTGATGAGATTTGCTAATAATGTAATTTTTTTTTCAAAAAAAAATGACTGATTTCAGAGCTACTGCTACCCTAACACTACACTTACTCACTTTCAATCCTGGTGAGTAAGAATAATAGGGCATGTGTTGACACACCAGAAACCAGGCTTAAAAGGGGAGTGTGTCCTTGTGAATCACCATTACTCAGGTGCGTTCTGGCTGAAAGCAGGCTGACAACCACTGATCTGCAGTCCACAGTTTTGTACCTTGATATTCTAATTATGTGTAGTCCTCCTTTGTTACATATGTAACTACAGCTTCACAGGAACTTCTTGCAGGTACTGCTTTATCACATATATCACCATGGTTTGCATAGTGAAATATAGAGAGATGGTAAAGGAATACACACACAGATGTATGTACATAGAGTAAAAGCAGGAAGAGAATGTCTCATTTTTGTTTTGTGGTCTGTCTTTAATATCATTTTCTCATTCAATCCTCATAATAGTCATATATGGGTAGTATTTTTCTTTTTATCTTAATTTTAGAGATGAGAAAATGATGCTTAGAAAAGTGAAATAAGGGCCGGGCATGGTGGCTCACGCCTGTAATCCCAGCACTTTGGGAGGCTGAGGTGGGTGGATCACGAGGTCAGGAGTTTGAGACCAGCCTGGCCAATATAGTGAAACCCCGTTTCTACTGAAAAATACAAAAATTAGCCGGGCGTGGTGGCGCGCTCCTGTAGTCCCAGCTACTCAGGAGACTGAGGCAGGAGAATCACTTGAACCCAGGAGGCGGAGGTTGCAGTGAGCCGAGATCGCGCCACCGTACTCCAGCCTGGGAGACAGAGTGAGACTCCATCTCAAAAAAAAAAAGAAAAAGAAAAGAAAAAAAGAAAAGTGAAATTAGTATTCCAAAGCCCCATAACTACTAAATGGCAAATCCAAGATTCAAACCCAGGTTTAATTCCAAAGGCAATGGTCTTTACTAAGTAGTATCCCCTACATTCCAAAAAACAAAAAATCTCTTAATAAGATATTGAAATTTCTCCAATAATATATTTCCAACAAATGATTTAATTGTCACTGAAAATAAACTATAAAATCAATATATTCTGCTACAGCCAATGGAGAAGTTAAAGATGTCTTCAGCCACATTAATAGAGGGAAAACTACAAAGGGTGCCCCAGAGCAGAATTCAGTGCAGGTTTAAGTACATGGCCAAAAAAAGCTAAAACCTTAACATTTAAAAATTTTTATCAGAGGTTAGAGATAACCTTGAAAAATAATAGACCATTTACTTGTTTCAAAAATGACAGATTGCTTCTTGGCCGCAACTTCTATTTACCAGAGACAAAAAGTAGAGACTAAAAGAATTTTTTTAAATACAAGATCAAAACTCCAGTTTCATTCATTCAGTAGGAGGCTTTCCAATATGACCAAGGGGCACTGTTGGACAAAAGAGACATAAACAGTTTAAAGCCTCAGGCTCCACTCACAAGAAGTTTATCATTCACTAGGGGAGCGGAGGAGTCTACCTCTGGGTGCAAGAAAGTACTAAGTCAAGTGAGGCCCCATTCCAAAGGGTCCTGACAGCCAGGCAGAGAATTTTGGACTGACAGCTGTCAAAAAGGGAGTTTGGGGCAGCAAAGCATTAAGAGGCCACTCTGTGCCCAGGCTGCATTAAACTCGGCGTGTGTACTACTGAGAAAAAGAGATGTGGTAACCAGAGGCTTTCACAATGAGATGAGATAAGGTAACAGTCTAAAATAAATTAATCGAAATGGTTCTGAACATGATAAGATGTAGGGTTTAGATGAGAGAGGGTGAGGCAGCTGCTAAAAAAGAAGAGATGTACATATTTCTCCAGCAGAAACAGGTTATGCAATCCAGGGCAGCTTGTACAATGGAAGGAAAATATGTTAATTAGATGGAAAGTGGACTGTCTACTATGGGTGTGTGTGTGTTGGGGAGCAGAATTATAAGTGAAAAATCAAAGATGAACTCCTAAGCAGAGCTTTCATGGGGTGATATAAGGGAGGTTTTGGGTTGTTTTTTTTTTTTTTTTTTTTTGAGATGGTATCTCGCTCTGTCTGTCGCCCAGGCTGGAGTGCAGTGGCACCACCTCGGCTCACTGCAAGCTCCGCCTCCCAGGTTCATGCCATTCTCCTGCCTCAGCCTCCCGAGTAGCTAGGACTACAGGCTCCCACCACCACGCCTGGCTAATTTTTTGTATTTTTAGCAGAGATGGGGTTTCACCATGTTAGCCAGGATGGTCTCGACCTCCTGACCTCGTGATCCACCCTCCTCGGCCTCCCAAAGTGCTAGGGAGCCGAGGCATGAGACACCGCGCCCGGCCGGGAGGTTTTTTAGCTTCCTTTTACAATTTTTCTATTTTTTTCTAATTGAATAACTAATACATGAATATATTTTCCTTGAAAAAGTTACAAAATTTATAGGTCAAAATGAAGTCCCCTTTGACCATCTCTCAACTCTACCCTGCCAAATCCCAACACCCTCCCCAGTGTATCTTTTTTGGAAATCTGGAGTACAAGCATATGTAGTATTTCAGCATGATGAACAAAATTAAAAAAAAAAAAAAACAGGAAAAGGAAAGCTTGCAGTAATCATAACACTAACACCCTTTTATTAAGCAGGGGCTGTGTTAGACGGTTGCAGATAAGCTATTAGCTCATTCAGCAAATGTGCTGTGAGCAACTACAAAGTACCAGGAGCTGGGAATACAACAATGACCTCAAGGCGAGCATAACCACTTCCAAGGTTGGCATCATTTCCCACAATATACTGATAAGGAAAGTGAGACTCAGAAAAATTACACAACTCACCCAAGGTTACTGCAAGTTGAGCGGTAGTGCTGGGATTCAAATTCTGGCCCTCCTTCTACAACTGTCTTCAAAGCCTGGCTCTCCTTCTACAACTATCTGATGGTTTTTAAACCATTTGTTACAAAAGTGGAAGTCTTTTTAAATTTTTTAATGAAAATATAATAAAATTACTATATTGTAGTTCAATATAGAGAAAACAAACGTAAAAGTGGATGTGCTCTGGTTCATTTGAAGTGGCCTACGCAGAAAGATGATTTTGTTTTTATCAAGAGGACGGGAAGAGATTGCTTATATGAAATATCCCAAAGGCCCAAGTCTTCTATTGCCAAACAGCTTTAGGTGTAACTACCAGGCATCCTTGGTAGAGATCATCAGGGCCAATGAATTACATACTGGGCAATGCCTGGGAATTACAGATTCCTATCCTCCTCCCACTACTTGTGACCCTCCATTGCTAATTTTGAATTCAATGGGATTCAGAGATCCATTGTAAAAGGGTAGTTAAAAGCTACCCTTTGGTGACTCTGATGATCAACCAGGTTTGAGAAGTAATTCTAGTACAACTTGTTGTTTTGCTTAATTCATCTCCTTTAGGGATCCTGCTTTGCCACCCCATCCTCCACCCACTCTTTCGATTTAGAAACAACTGACGAGACTTGTGCCGTAGGGACACTTGTGTGGTATGCCCAGCACTAGTGGATTACCATCCTGGAATGCCTTGGTTTCCTTCCTTCTGCTCTGATTTTTTATTTCTACTCACCCTTCAGTTATGAACCACATAATCCTTTCTAGAATGATACAGGTCTGGTTATTCCTGGCCCTAGTCTAATCATTGCTCCCTAATTACTGCTTTAACTTCACATTTATCGTTGGTGAAGTTTTAAATTCCCTCCCATGTAATACCAGGGATATTTCATGCGGCATCTACGCTTTTTTCCTGATGGTGTGTCCTAGTAGGACTCCATGTGCCTCTGCTGCATGAATCTTCCCAGATCAATCCCAGCTTCTGTACTCAGGACACTACTGTTTATTGCAGCAATCA
This sequence comes from Homo sapiens, assembly GCF_000001405.40. Lineage (NCBI taxonomy): Eukaryota > Metazoa > Chordata > Mammalia > Primates > Hominidae > Homo > Homo sapiens. The sequence goes on from NC_000002.12 coordinate 113,852,976, forward strand.
TTTTTATAATATCCCCCAATGAGCAGTTATTCAATGTCTGCTTATTTCCAATAATAGAAAATTCTTTTTATTAAAGAACCTGTTCTGCTGTTGAAGAAGAGGAACTGCTTTAAAGAAAGATTCCACCAGATCTTGAGCTAAACCTAGCTTTTCTGTACTTTCTGCCCATTGGTTCTTCCCTCCTGAACAGTGGTTCTCAATGTGGTTCAGCCCCAGCAGCAACAGCTTCACCTGGGAACTTGTTAGGATTGCAGTTCTCAGGCTCCACCCTAGACCTAC